>NC_000008.11:60000-362285 GCF_000001405.40 Homo sapiens | reverse complement strand
GTGCTGGCCTATGTGCGTTGTGGGACAATGGTATAGGGTAGTAGCTGACGTCCACTTGCCCCATTGGCACAGGGTTCTTTCCCAGTTTGTGAAAAAAACTTTTAAAGCTGTTCAAATTAAGTGGATTTGATTTAAGATAAGCAGAATAAAAATTCTATGATCTTTTAAAGTTTTCAAACCTGCAGGATTCTTGGAAGCTGGGAGAGACAGTGCATTTTTGAATCTCAACTAGGTAGCAAAACCCAAAACATCATTAATAAAACTAAGTGACTAAAGACCCTAAACTATATTCGGATGAGGTTAAACCAAAATCCTTCAGAACGCATGATGTTGGTCTCTGTGTAAGAGGAAGCAGAGGCTCACATGGAGCACGGGGAAGCATCCACGATCCCAGATGTGCAGCCATTGCCACAGGGAAGCATCGACAATCCCAGATGTGCAGACATTGCCACTGGGAAGCATCGACAATCCCAGATGTGCAGACATTGCCACGGGGAAGCATCGACAATCCCAGATGTGCAGACATTGCCACGGGGAAGCATCCACAATCCCAGATGTGCAGACATTGCCACGGGGAAGCATCCACAATCCCAGATGTGCAGACATTGCCACGGGGAAGCATCCACGACCCCAGATGTGCAGACATTGCCACGGGGAAGCATCCATGACCCCAGAAGTGCAGACATTGCCACGGGGAAGCATCCATGACCCCAGATGTGCAGACATCACCATGGGAAGCATCCACGACCCCAGATGTGCAGACATTGCCATGGGGAAGCACCCATGACCCCAGATGTGCAGACATTGCCACGGGGAAGCATCCATGACCCCAGATGTGCAGACATCACCATGGGAAGCATCCACGATCCCAGATGTGCAGACATTGCCACGGGGAAGCATCCACAATCCCAGATGTGCAGACATTGCCACGGGGAAGCATCCACAATCCCAGATGTGCAGACATTGCCACGGGGAAGCATCTACAACCCCAGATGTGCAGACATTGCCGTGGGGAAGCATCCATGACCCCAGATGTGCAGACATTGTCACGGGGAAGCATCCATGACCCTAGATGTGCAGACATCACCATGGGATGCATCCACAATCCCAGATGTGCAGACATCACCATGGGAAGCATCCATGACCCCAGATGTGCAGGAGTCGCCATGGGGAAGCACGGCAGGTCAACCCGAGTGCTGTGACTGACACATGTGGGGTTTACTCATCCAGTAGTTGATGAGTCAAAAAGGACTGAGGGACTGGGGCCTCTGACTCCTGGGAACTCTTAATTCTGATAAGCCAGGCTCCTTTCTATGAATGAAAAAAAATTATTGGGAGTAGGCTGGGCACAGTGGTTCACGCCTTTAATCTCAGAACTTTGTGAGGCTGAGGTGGATGGATCAGTTGAGGTCAGTTCAAGACCAGCCTAACCAACATGGCAAAACCTTGTCTCTACTAAAAATACAAAAATTAGCCAGGCATAGTGGCATGTGCCTGTAATCCCAGCTACCCAGGAGGCTGAGGCAGGAGAATAACTCGAACCTGGGGGGAGGAGGCTGCAGTGAGCCAAGATTGTGCAACTGTCCTCCAGCCTGGGCAACAGAGTGAGACCCTGTCTCAAAAAAAAAAAAAAAAAAAAAAAAAAAAAAAAAATATATATATATATATATATATATATATATATATATATATGAGGTTTTATATATATATATATATATGAGGTTTTATATATATATATGAGGTTTTATATATATATATGAGGTTATATATATATGAGGTTATATATATATGAGGTTATATATATATATGAGGTTATATATATATATATTTTTTGAGACATATATATATGAGGTAAAACAAAAAAATGAAGGGCAGGGACAATGAAGACCAAGTGAAGAGAAGGTCTAGATAAAAGTGGAGGAAGGGAATAGAGTGAAGAAATCTCAGAAATCAAACTTCCATATTTTTTTTTTTTTTTTTTGAGTCGGAGTTTCGCTCTGTCGCCCAGGCTGGAGTGCAGTGGCGCGATCTCGACTCACTGCAAGCTCCACCTCCCGGGTTCACGCCATTCTCCTGCCTCAGCCTCCTGTGTAGCTGGGACTACAGGCACGCGCCACCATGCCCGGCTAATTTTTGTATTTTTAGTAGAGACGGGGTTTCACCGTGTTAGCCAGGATGGTCTCGATCTCCTGACCTCGTGATCCGCCCGTCTCGGCCTCCCAAAGTGCTGGGATTACAGGCGTGAGCCACCGCGCCCGGCCAAACTTCCATATTTTTTAACATCACATAAAAACAACCAAAGAGGGACTTCATAAAGTTTTAAACATCTACATTGAATCCCACTTTTTCTAAAACTTCAGGATATCCAATTTTACATAAAAATTAACATTAGAAAAGTATTGAAGGTAAATCCCGCACAAAATTAATATAAGAAAATAGAGAGTAGAGAACAGAATGAAATGCCTACAGATAATGAAAGTGCCCCACAAGAAGTTCCCACACAGCAGGGCAAAACTGCAACCTCTCAGTTCATGATGCGCTGAGATACACTAAGGAAATGGCCCAAAACTATAAAGAGTAACATAAATCAGAATTAGAACACTGTGAGGCAATAAAGTGAGATAGAATTGTGGCATACGAGAAAAACATCATTTCTGAAATGAAGACTAAACTAGAAGGAAAATAAGAGCAAATAAAGAGGAATAGAGGGTGTGAACGAGGAAAGATTGTAAAAATAAAACAGAAATGACAAAGATTAAAAAAATTCAACAGAAAGTGACACATTAAAAATAGGTAAAGAAGATTAAACACAAGGATAACGGGAGATGCTGAAGGCAAAAAGCAAAGCCAGGGCACCAAGCAGAGGCACAGATGCGCAAGCCGAGAAGGTGCTCTGCAGTACGAGAACATTTAAAGATTTAAAGAATGAAAAGCTCATCCTTCACCTTAGACTACTGCTCCAGGCGACTTACACCAAGACACATTCTAATCCAATAACTGGATAGACTACTGCTCCAGGCGACTTACACCGAGGCACATTCTAATCCAATAACTGGATAGACTACTGCTCCAGCCAGCTTACACCGAGGCACATTCTAATCCAATAACTGGACTTTAAAGAGCAAGAAGCCATGTGGGTGTATGCTCAAAAAGGGTAGGTAACTTAACCAGGAAAGGAAATAAGATAACTATCTAACTTTCTGACTTTACAAAAGAAGAAAATGGAGTAACATTTTTACAATACCTAAGAAAATAAAACAAGCCAAGATTTTACATACATATAGCAAACTTACTTGCAGGTATACATGGAACAGAAAAACTGTTATCAACGTGCAATAACTCAGGAAATATTATTCCCAGGAACACATTTAGAGGAATCTTTGACAACTCATTTCAAGACAACCAGAAGAATGAGAGACACATCAACTTAAGTATTGGTGGTAAAAATTGAAGGTATAGTTCTTTGTAAAACTAAGATAAATGAGGATTGAAAGAAAGAGAACATCATATATGTGCTATGTGCTCTGACAATGTGACGAACTACAATGATAAAAAGTGGGGGATGGGCCAGGCGCAGTGGCTCACACCTGTAATCCCAGCACTTTGGGAAGCTGAGGCGGGTGGATCAGCTGAGGCCCAGGAGTTCAAGACCAGCCTGGGCAACACGGTGAAACCCCGTCTCTACTAAAAACACAAAAAATTAGCCGGGCGTGGTGGCGGGGCGCCTGTAGTCCCAGCTACTCAGAAGGCTGAGGCAGGAGAATGGCGTGAACCCGGGAGGCGGAGCTTGCAGTGAGGAGAGATCGCGCCACTGCACTCCAGTCTGGGCGACTGAGCAAGACTCTGTCTGCAAAAAAAAAAAAAAAAAAAAAAAAAAAAAAAAAAAAAAATTGAAAGAAAAAACATCCACAAGGGAACAATTACCTTGGGAGTCAGTGGTCACCTTCCAGAGAGAAGGAGGGTGTTGAGGCTGGGATGGGACTGTGGAGGGGCGGCCGGTGTCACTGCCAGTGTTATCCTTACAGGAAATCATTAAACTTTTGGGTGTTATTTTGTACCTGTGATTTATTCAAAATTAAAGAGTTTTAAAAACCTAAAAGATAGTTGAATTCAAGGGAAGATCAGTGCTGCAATAGATCAGCATTCGACCAGATGGAAGATAGGACATTTGGAATTAATGTTGGAGCCTACAACCCTGCAGCTGAGTTCATTTGGACTAATGACTCTGTTCCTCTTTCTCTGTTAGGACTTGAAACACATTTTCCTTGAAGTTTCCTTTTGCCTTTAAAATCGAGTGTGTCATCCTCTTTGGGTCGGCGCTGGCTGGGATGCAGCTGCTGTGGGCCTTAGCAGGAAGGAATGGATGTTGGCCCAGGCTTGAGCCAAAAGCTAGCATCTGTGGGGTGGGATGGGAGGGGCTGTGGTGACTTGCAGCAGAGAGCAACCGCGGAGCAAAGTCAGACCAGGGTCAAGCCAGATCAGCAAGGAGAAGAAAGGCGGCAAGCCGACTTCCTGGGGGCAAACCTCCCTCCTCTCCCCACCTGCACACACTGTCAGAGGTCTTTAAAGCCAGAATGCTTTCAAGAACTTTACCTTCTATTGTTTTTTGATTTTTTGCTTATGGTCATTCTTGCAGGAGTAAGGTGGTATCGCACTATGGTTTTGATTTGCATTTCCCTGATCATTAGTAATGTTGAGCATTTTTTCCTATGTTTGTTGGCCATTTGTGTATCTTTTGAGAACTATCAATTCATGTCCTTAGCCTACTTTTTGATGGGATTGTTTGCTTTTTTCTTGCTAATTTGTTTGAGTTTGTTGTAGATTCTGGATAGTAGATGTTGGCACGGATGCAGTAAAAAGGGAACACTTCTACACTGGTGGTGGGAATGTAAACTAGTACAACCACTATGGAAAACAGTGTGAAGATCCCTTAAAGAACCAAAAGTAGAACTACGGTTTGACCCAGCAATCCCACTCCTGAGCATCTACCCAGAGGAAAGAAGCCATTTGAAAAAGATGCTTGCACACACATTTACAGCAGCACAATTCGCAATTGCAAAAATATGAAACCAACCCAAATGCCCATCAATCAATGAGTGGATAATAAAGAAACTGTGGTATATATAGACCATTGAATACTAATCAGCCAAAAAAAGGAACAAAATAATGGCATTCATAGCAACCTGGATGGAGGTAGAGACCATTATTTTAAGTGAAGTAACTCAGGAATGGAAAACCAAACATCTTATGTTCTCACTCATAAGTGGGAGCTAAGCTATGAGTCTGCAAAGCCTTAAGAATAACACAATGGACTTTGAGGACTCAGGGGGAAAGGGTGGGAGGGGGAGTGAGGGATAAAAGACCTACTGATTGGGTTCAGTATATGTTGCTCGGGTGATGGGTACACCAGAATCTCATTAACCACCACTAAAGAACTTAATCATGCA
This sequence comes from Homo sapiens, assembly GCF_000001405.40. Lineage (NCBI taxonomy): Eukaryota > Metazoa > Chordata > Mammalia > Primates > Hominidae > Homo > Homo sapiens. Next base: position 356,838 of record NC_000008.11, on the reverse strand, counting down.
ACCGAATACCACCTGTTCCCCGAAAACCTATGGAAATAAAAAAAATTTTAAAAAGAAGTTTGCTTTCAAATAGCTTACAATTTATGTATCGTGCTGGTCAAACAGAGCGACTTGACGTGTGCATTGTAATCAGCATCTCCCCGGGTCCGGCTTCTTTCACTGTGACTGAATGGCCTCCCTCCTTCTCGGTGTTGACAGGCGGAGTGGCCTTTGCCTGAGAGGGATGCTTGTTTGTGGATTTGTGGGCTCAGGCTGCTTTCTGATGCTTCCAATGCCTTCTAAAGGTTGCCTCAAGGAATTAACATGTTTTTGACAATTGTTCTTCAGGAGACCTCCAGTCATCTGACAGAAGCAAACAATGCAAAGATTCACTGGGAAAGTTGTTGCCATAAGAGAACTGGCTGATCTGCAGATGGACCCAGGTAGCCTCTGTGCCTCTAGCTGTGAGCAAATCCCACCTCACCGTTGTGAAATATGAAGTGATTCACCTGCTTTCAGTGCATTCACACTCTGCTTAATTACACTGTTGTTCTCGCAGTTGGAAAGCACATGGATACCTCATTTCAGTTATTTAATGAGATTGGAAGTCAGCTTTTCTCCCCAGCCCCCATCCCTGGCCAACCACCCACACTCCACAGTGACTGAGGTGCAGGCCTTGTATAACGTGTGTATTAAAAGCACGATTTTTAATGGTACTCAGTCTCAAACACGTTGGCAAGGGATTTGGCAGCAACTGTGAATAATTTGCAGAAGGTTTCTCCTGGAACACTCACTTTTATTAATTTGCCAACTTCCCTAATTTAAACAGTGACTCATGTTTCATATAAATTTCTTCCTAGGACATAATTATTCTGACATTGAATACTCTGTGTATGGGACGTGATCTGGACTTGAAAATAGCATTTTTTTTCAAAAAGTCAACCTTTGTTTCACCAAAAGTATAAAAGCTACTGCAAGTAGATTTATTCAAACAAATAGAAAGCAAATGAGATGGCATTCCCTCCTGTGAATGCATTACAGCCTGTGCTCATTGGAAACAGGGAGAGAAAGCTGGGCGCTAGGTTTTTGAGTAGGAAAGTCTCTAGTTCTTTATTTTCAGGGCTATAAATACCTTAACTCCAGGTTTGACTGACTAACGTGGTCGGTTGCTGGAGAAAGGCTCTGAAAAGAATCATCTGCATCCCAGCGTGGTGGCTCACACCTGTAATCCCAGCATTGTGTGTGTGTGTGTGTGTGTGTATATATATATATAAATTAGTTGGGCATAGTGGTGTGCACCTGTGGTCCCAGCTACTCGGGAGGCTGAGGTGGGAGGATTGCTTAGTAGTAAGCTATGATCTGTACCACTGCACTCCAGCCTGGACTGCAGAGTGAGATTCTGTCTCAAAGAAAAAAAAATAACTTGCTTAGTTTCATATGTGCAAATAGAAACCTATGGAAACATCTCATTTACCTTCCAACAATATGTGTTTACTTTCAGCAAGAGAATGAACATGTTTTACCTACTCTTGAAACACTCTGAGAATAAGTCCAACCTGGTTCACTAATTAAAATATTAACAGCATAGCAGCCAAAAACTAGTCAAATGAGGCATCTGGAGGGTGGCATTTTGACCAACTCTACCAGGGAAGTGATATTGAGAACTCTAATTCCAATTTAAAAAAAAAAAAAAGAATTCTGTCTTTTGTGGTATGGATTCCAGGACAATGTCGAGCAGTATTTTCCAAACCTGATAACTCTGAAAGTTGTCAGAATCAAAATGGAATCACTTTTATTAAAAGCAAAAACAAAAACAAAACCAAAAAAACCCTGGCAACTGGAGCAGGGAAGGCCACGGAGAGTGCATCCTGAGGCTTGTTCACCCAACAACAAAAACTGTCACAGGAGACTGCAAACCCACGCTTGCTCATAGGACATCACAACCTTACACAAAAAATACTTCCTTGAGGACATCTGCCCAGCAGGCCTGTCCAACCTCGGACTGACGTCACCCTTGTTATTGATCCTAGGATCCAGAGCCAAGGATAATTCTCTCAAAACAATGACATAATCCTCATTTTTTTTTCTCTAAAAACCTTTCTCTTTGTTTGCCTGCCTGAATCCTCACATAGTTTACCATGGCGCACATATTCCCATTGAAATCCCCTATTCCCCAGTACATGCCTTTGTTTTGTTTTGTTTTGTTTTGTTTTAAGACAGACTCTCTCTTTTTGATGTTTAGGTTGGCATGATGCAGCATAGTCACCTGAGGAGCTTATTAAACTAGAGTCCTGTGCTCCGCCTGGACTAGCGGAGCCACTGGCGGGAGAGCTGGTGATGGGGATGGCCTGGGTGGTGGTGAGGTCTGGCGGTAGAGTCCCTTGTGTGTGCATGTTTCAAGACATTCTCAGATTGTGATTGTGCGGCTGTTCCTACCCTAGCAGAGGACTTGTGTTTGGTCACTGTTCACTGTTTAGATAGTCTCTCAATGAGAAATTTCTATAAGTTGGACTATATTTTTTTAAAGAATAACATTAGATCTGTTAACAGTCAAACACGATTTTTCAGATAAGACTTTTCTGAGTGTAACTTACCTTCTAAGAAGCAGTGTCTCAGCCGGGCCACTTTAATCTTGTAAAGGAGCGGACTGGATGCAGACATAGGTGGGTGGCTCCTCAGACAGGAGCCCTACAGGTGCTTTCATGTACTGTGAGGTTCTCGCCTTAGCAGAGCATCCTGAAACATGAGGGGGTAAAACGGTTCCTTCATTCTCGGGAATTTACACACAAAGGAAAAGGGAGTGTGGATGCAGGATAGTAAAGTGTGTCCGTGAGCCCTGGGCTGGCTGTGCAGAGACAAAGAATCTTTCAACGCTGCTGACTAGTCTCAGCACACTGAGAGTAATCATGAAAAAGCTCATTTTCCGGACAGTGCAAAAGCATGTGGGAGAAAAATAACCAAATTAAATAGAGACCAAAGCAATTTAACCCAAAGTTGCCCATGCTACAATGGCCATGAGATCATGCCTTTGTGCTGCTCACTTTGTGCATAAAGCAAAAAAAGAAGAAAAAAAAAAGAAAAGGGCACAACCCAGCAAATACCAGGAGTAGCTTTTGAGGAAGCAGGCTTTGTAGTTACTGCTGAGGGGCAGCTGAGGATGACAGTCAGAAGGCTTCTAGCCAAGCATCTGTCCTCTCCTGTCAGCTGCATTTGCATTTTTAACCAGAAGAGATGTTTGTAATGAGACATGAATACGGACAAATCCCTCTGCCACATATTCTGTTCAAGGATAGAGTCTTTTCAGAAATTTAAAACAAAAATGTTTCTGCAAAGAACCTCTACTTACACAGAAAGTTCACCTGTAGTATTTTAAATGATGATAATGAGAATACCAGCTTTTTCTGTGGGTCATTTTATCATCTGCATGGTCCTTTCATATTACAGCATAGCAAACCATCCTCACAGCAGCCCGCAAAGACAGAAGTGACAGGTTCTTATTATTCCCAGAAAACAGACAGGGAGAGGATTCACCCAAGAACACCGAGTCTGGGAATGACAGAGCATAGGTTTGCACCAGCATCTCTGACTACTGGCCTTCACTCCTTCCAGAAGGCCCCGTTGGCTGAAGAGCAGGCACATTACAAAGCCAGAAGAGTCCAGGAGGGCATTGTCTGACCGTGAAGGCACAGTCTGTCTCCAGCAGACATCGCAGTGGCAGCGAGGGACAGGAGACCTAGGATGCGGAACATTCCGACAGAGGTCAATTCTGCACTCAATTCTGATCGCTTTGCCTTGAACACACACACCTTCTGCTGATGGGTACAACGGAGAGGACTTCCCAATCTGTAAAAAACAATTTTTACTTGAACTTTGAAATTTAGCTACGCTAATGATTTTAAAGAAAACCCTCGCCTACTGTGGACATTGTTTCTGCATACAAATGGAACCTTTGTGGAGGGTTCAGCTCTTCCTCCGCCCTTGGATGTCCACGCCAGACGAGGACATGGTGCTGGCAGCATGTGGGCTTGAAGTGGCCACATCGCAGGCGCTTATTAGCCCATGGTTCGTGCTCCTTTAAAATAGCCACTCTTGCATGTCAACACCTCCTCTTCGGCCATCTTCCAAGCAGTTATTACCTCAAAGACTCGGAGTAAGTAAGAGCGTCTGTCAGTCACAAGAAACAAAGCAGCAAACATGTTTGTCTGTGTGTGCTAAATGGTATCTTATTTTGTTGTGCTTTTTTTCTACATGGTATATTAGTATCACTTTTCTCCTACTGTGAATACTACATATGCAGTTGTGGTTCCTCACCCTTCTCTTATTAAGGTCTGATGTTCCTGCCACAGTTTAGCAACAGAAACGTGCACATGAATCCGTTTCTCGAAGGTGTTAGGTTTTCATAGAGATAAAAATTTAAGTGAAAAATAGCAAGCACATTAATGAAAGTGCTAGTACCTACATGGAAGTCTTATAAAAGTAAAATAATTTTAAATTGTCATAAAAACATTTAAACTTATTCACATAATTAACTCTTATTTATATGTGCATTTTATGAGCTTCTCAATTTCTTTATGGGTGTAGATAGCACATAATTACAAACCAGTCAATTATTAATTAACTATGGTATTTCCTGCCATTCATTATTCTGAGAAATGCTTTCTTAAATATTGTTCTAGTCAATCCAGCCCATAATGATCCGGTCAGAATAAATGTTACCCAGTGTTGAAGGTACTCTACACAGCAAAAAATCTGTTCTTTAACTCCTTATTAGTAAAATACACACAAAAAATTCACCATTTTGATATGTGGAGTTCAGTGGCATTTTGTATATTCATGATGTTGTGCAATCTTCACTACTATCTAGTTTCAGAATTTCCAAGAGAAAACTCTGAACCCATTCATGGTCACTCCCCACCTTCCCCAGCCCTGGTCGCCACAGGGTTGCTTTCTTTCACTATGGATTTGCCCATTCTGGACTTTTCACGTGAATGGAACTGTATAATATGTGGTCTTTCATGTCTGGCTTCTTTGACTTAATATAATGTTTTCAAGGTTCATCCACGTTGTAGCATGTTTCAGAACATTACATTAACTTTGCAATGAAATTGTCCAGACATATAGAGAGCCTTTCTGCCTATCTACCTACCTATCTTCCTGCCAATCTATTAATAATTACCTACCTGACTACCTACCTGCCTACCTATCTACCTACCTACCATACCTTCTACCTACCTGCCTACCTACCTAGCTACCTACGTACCTGCCTATCTGTACACTTACCTACCTGCCTCTCTACCTGCATACCTATCTAGCCACCTACCTATCTACTTGCCTACTTACCTACCTGCCTATAAAACTGCCTACCTACTTACCTACCTATCTACCTACCTGCTTATCTACCTACCTATCTGTATATCTACCTACCTGCTTATCTACCTACCTATCTATCTACTTACCTATCATGCTGTTTATCTACCTACCTACCTATCTGTTGTCTACCTACCTATCTACCTATCTGCCTGCCTACCTACTTATCTACCATACCTATTTACCTACCTGCCTACCTATCTACCTACATACCTCCTACCTACCTGACTACCAGATTATCTGCCTACCTACCTGCCTATCTACCTACCTAGCTACCAACCTATCTACCTACCTACCTGCCTGTCTACCCACCTATCTACCTACTTGCCTATCTACCTACCTAACTCCCTATCTACCTACCTACCATACGTACCATGCCTACCTATCTACCTACCTATCTGCTGCCTGCCTATCTACCTACCTACCTACCTATCTGCTGCTTGCCTATCTACCTACCTACCTACCTACCTACCTATGTACCTACTTACTTGCCTGTGCATCTACCTACCTACTCACCTACCAGTCTGTCTACTCACCTGACTACCTATCTACTACTTACCTACCTACCTATCTACCTACCTACCTGTCTACCTGCCAAGCTACCTACCTACCTACTTGCCTATCTACCCACCCTCCTACCTACTTACCTACCTACTTACCTGCTTGTCTACTTACCTGCCTGCCTACCTACCCACCTGCCTATCTACTTGCCTATCTATCTAGCTTCTTACCTATCTACTCACCTAGCACCTACCCATCTACTACCTGTCTACCTGCCTATCTACCTTCCTACCTGCTTTCCTATCTACCTACCTACCTGTCTACCTGCCTATCTACCTACCTACCTGCTTTCCTATCTACCTACCTACCTGTGTACCTGACTATCTACCTACCTACCTGCCTGCCTTCTTATTTACCTACCTACTTACCTGCCTGCCTATCTACCTACTTACCTCCCTGCCTGCCATCTAGCCACCTACCTACCTACTTACCTATCTACCTGCCTACCATCTAGCCACCTACCTATCTACCTGCTACCTACTTATCTACCTGCTTACATATCTAGCCACCTACCTATATACCCACCTAGCTAACTACCTATCTACCTACCTGCCTACCTGCCTATCTACCTCCCTACCTGCCTATCTATCTACCTATCTACCTACTTATGTACCTACCTGCCTACCTATCTACCTACCTACCTGCCTACGTGCCTGCCTACTTGCCTGCTTACTTATCTGTCTACCCATCTAGCCACCTACCTATCCACCTGCCTACCTACTTACTTACCTATCTACCTGCCTACCTAATTAGTAAAATAGAATTCAGTTTATTTTATTTCTGAATGGCTAACCACATATCCCCAAACTACTGAGCCATCCGTTGCCCCTCCAGTGATTAGAACTGATGTTTTATCTCGTACTCAATTCCTTCATGCACTTGGGAGTGTTTCTTTGATGCCTGTTAACTGAATCCATTCAGAGATCCTAGGCCATCCCTAAATCCACATGGGATGCTTCGCTGGAGGCCATGTCCTTACTCACAGCTTCCCCCTCCTTTGCCCCATCATGGCCCTTCCTCTGCTGGGCTCCCTGCAGCTCATGAAGAAGCCGCCCCTGCAGGTTGGGTCTTCCCTCCATGGGCTCTGCATAGCTTCTCTCTGTCCCTGTCCCATCCAGCCTCAGGCATCAGGGCAGAGGCCTCCGAGCCTGGAGGATGTGGACGGAGGGGCCGGTGCCCTCGTGGCTCCCTGCTAGGACCCCTTGTCGCAGTCCCGGCTCAGTGCTCCGGAGGAACGTCCCTCGTGGCCTCTCCAGGTGATGTCGTCTTGTGGGTTCTGTTGTATGGAGGCGCCTGTGGCTTAGTGAGGGCCACAGGACACCTCCTCTCTCTGGCCTTGTGTGAGGTTGGTGCCCTGACCTGGGAAGACCAGCACCCACTGGTCTGGGTCCTCCAGGCACCGCGTCCCCACGCTTCTGCTCTGCGTCTGACTCATGTGGGAAAACATAGTTCTCTCAACCCTCTTCCCTAAAATGACATATCTCTCCAAAGCCTTCTGGCTCCTTCTGCAAATGGATTTCTGACAAACCCAGAATTGTCTTCAATCGACACTGAGCAGGCTTCAAGCCCAAGCTGGATCCCTCCCCTCCTTTGGTCTGCACATTGCAGACACACTACAAAACGCATATCTCAGAGAAGTTGACATAATGCAATATATTTGCACACACTGAATTCTCCATGATAGTGCTTAAAGTTTTCATGATATGAATTTGGCATCATGATTATTGGCAATGCTCAAAATGGATGTTTCATTTCAGATTGTACCATACAGATCGGTGACTGAAAGTGTCTCATTCAGTGCAGTGGTGGGACTGAGCTAAGCAAAGGAGAGTTAAGAGGACTATGTGTCCAAATTGGAACAATTGTGTGGATCAAAGGAAAGGTGTCCTAGTTCAAGCTGTGGAGACATTAAAAATGGAACACACAGAAGCTCTCCTACTAAAATTATATTTAAATTATTAATACATTATTAAACCGAATTAACACATTATGATTACACTTGGATTTTAAACAGATAAAGAAAAGTTTTAAATGTCTCATGGCTACAACTTAATGTAGCTAGGACCACACTTCACGCATAGCTCCTGAACTCTGCCCAGTGTTTTTTCCTGGAAATATATTACCTCTGTATCACTCTCATCTAGTGATAATAAAAATAACTAGAATTATTTGATAAGAGATTAGTGTGTTGGAGTCTGATAAATTAATGTTAACACACTCTGGTAAATTTGAAATAACGATTTTGTTCCTAGGAAGCTGTATTGAGAAACTGTTGAATGAAGCACTTCCTTCATTGTATCCCACGGAACACCAGCCCCATGAAATGCTTTGGGGAAAAACGTGAAAGGCCCTTGTGGCCGGGGACACCTGGTGACTGCCTACTGAGTGTCCTCATGGGTCCCTGCACATGAACACAGCGGATGCCTTCAGAAGTCCTGAAATAGTGTTATCTCACTCGGCGGTACCCAAACTCAACTGACTGTAGAAAATATTGCTTTAATATCTATTAAGCATCTATAAATTAATATTTTTAAAATCCCACTTTTATCAAGTCTGCTTCATCTTCTAAGTCTGCAGGAATGAGAGAGACCGACACCAGCTCGAGCTCCAGGCGACCCCACATTCACAGACTTCATTAGCGCTGGTCCCTGGGCTGGGCTCTGGGTTCAATTCCTCCTGATGAGATTGGCAGACACAAACTGACTTTATTCAGACAGGTTTTGTATGTAGGCACTGCTTTTTTAGGCATAATTGTGATTACTACTTTTCACATTTTAAATCTTGGTTTTCATATGGAATCAGTGATGTGTATTGTCATGTACGTGAAAGAACAGGCACAGATGTTTGTTTTGGTATTCAAGTTTTCTGTATTTCTTTCAAATGCTTCAATTTTCAAATATGATCGATAAACATAGGAATTAAAAGAGTAGACAGTGACTCAATAAAAGGACAGTCTTTTTTTTCTTTCTAGAATAATTTTCTAACAGATTTACCAGAATCATATGAATTATATAAGAAATATTTATTTTCATTTTAAAAGATGTCTGGCTATAAAATAGGAAAGCCAAACATGCTTGGCTATATAAACAAAGCGTACTTAGATTCAAATTTGTAACATTTCTTTTAAAGAAGTACCAAGCGAGGCTGTCTGCCTTGAGCCAATGGACTGGAGAATCTGTCCCTCTTCTCTTTTTTCCCCATCATCTCATTCCTCTGAATGCACCCTTGTTTGCCACTGGAGACTTAGTTCTGTTTCTCAGATGGAGTTTCCTCTGGCTCCAGATGCGTCAGGCATGCTTGGCAGGGCTGCGAGGCTCATCCTCCTAGTGGGGAAGGCCGGGCCAGGAGGCAACCAAGCACCCGCCTGTCTCTGATGTTCCCGCATGTTGCTGGCTGTCCAGGGGCCAGGGCTGCTCTCTGGGGCATCACTGTTCTCTTGCCTGAACTTCAGTCAAGAAACTTGTATCAGTCCCGATGTCAACGCACACAGACCGCGTGGTGATGGAGGCAGTTCTCCATAGGAAAGGGTAATCAACACAGCGGATCCGACGGTGGCTGGGTCACAGAGGCACGGGCTGTCTTCAGGCTCCCGCCCGAGGGCCGCCTCGGACGCTCCTCCCCGGGGTGGATTTGCCCCAAGCTCTTGAAGCTGGAGCTCTGAGCCCCTCACCTTCAGGGGCTGTGCCTGTGTTGTTTTGCTGAATTCTTCTTCTTCTTTCTTTGCATTTTATTATGTATTTATTTTTTATTTGTATAAATGTAGGGGGTGCAAGTGCAGTTACTTGCACATATTGCACAGCGATGAAGTCTCCGGTGTCACCATCACGCAAATAATGAACATTCTACCCTTAAGTAATCCTCCCCCTCACCTCCCCACCCTCCTCCCCTTCTGAGCCTCCAATGACTGTTATTCCATGCTCTGCGTCTCCAGGCTCACATTATCTAACTGGCACGCAAGAGTGAGGACGTGTGAATTCTTAAAGAGGCTCCTGCCCTGGCTCAGCCCCCAGCCCCACAGAGCCTGGATCCACCCTCTTCCCAGCTCTGCGACTGCCTGTGGTGAGGGAGACCCACAGTTCCCTTCCAGGCGGTTCGGTTCTGTGAATTCCCTAAACAACTCCACGTCTTCCGTCTTCCGGGAGAGAGTGTGTTATCGTGCCCCTGGAATCCACGCACAGCTCATTTATCAGCTACTGCTGAAACCCTGTCCTGTGAGGCTCAAACCCAAGCTGCAGATGACCTGGTGGAATGTGAGCCTCGGCTGTGGGGTGATTTCACTTAATTTCTCCTTAAATTGAAAGATTTCACTATCACCCACCAGCAACGGGCAGCACCTAAAGTAGGTCATCCATGCGGAGGACACTGGTGATCAAGACAAACTTGATCTGGGATGTAAGATAAAGCTCCTTGCCGCTACCACTTTCTGTCTGGCACACTGAAGGAGGATAATTAGATTTGCAGAGATTTGACGACTTGATAGAAAATACCAGCCCCTGGTAGCTGACACAGGGAGAGGAGCAGTAGAATGTACGCGGGTCTTAGAGGGTCACTGACGTGCATGCAGCACGCTTGACAGGCAGCCGGGACACACAGACCTGCTCTGCGGCTGCCCTGGAATGACCCACGCTGGCCAGGAAGGCCACAGCTGTTCCTTCACACGTCAGCCCCACCTTGTACCCCTCAGCCCTTGGTCTCCCCTAGCTGTCCCAATTTGTAGGCAAAACCACATTTTTGGACTGACCTGTGGCCACTGAGATGATCGGAATTGTCATGAATGCCCCGTAGTGGGAGCAATGGCCTTCAGAGCAGGGAACTTTCTTGTATTGATTGTTGATGATCCCCCATAGTAGCCAGGGCTCTCAGAGAAGCAGAGCCAATGGGATGTGGAGGGATAAAGGGATGTATTGCAAGGGACTGGCTCACCTGACCATGGAGGGTGGGAGACCCCTTGATCTGGTGTCTGCAGCTGGAGCCCCTGGAGAGCCGGTGGGGTTGGCCCAGGGCCTGAGAACCAGAGAGCTGAGGATGGGAGAAGATGGGGGGTGGGGGAGGCCAGCTCAGCAGTCTGGCGGTCACCCAGCCCTCCTCCACCTCTGTGTTCTATTCAGGCCCTCAGCGGCTTGGATGGTGCCATCTGCACGGGGGAGGGTGGGTCTGCTCTCCTCCGTCCACAGGTTCCAGCGCTGAGCTATTCTGGAAACTCGGAGCCCCACCAAGTTGACTTGTAAAATTTACATCACCGCAAGCTTCACATAGACATATTTTTATTATCCTCTCTCTCTTGTTAGCCACCCCTGTTGAACTGTCCAGGAGATTTCCTCAACTGTATCCTCTAACCACTCCACTCTATTTTCGGCTGCTGTGGGTTTAATTTTTGTGGGTTTCTCCTACCATCTGACAAGCTACTGAGCATGACCCGCTGATCCCTCCCTCGGCAGCACTCACCCTTGTCCCTGGCTCCCCTTTCCGGGGCCCCACACCTCAGCATTGCTGGCGGATCACTGGGCCCCTTTCCCACTGTTGAGCAATGCTGAAGCGTCTTCCCCATTTCCATCACAGCCTCCAGACCCCATAAACCTGTGGGAGCAGCATGGGCTTGGGGTCAGGGTGCAGAGCCCCACATCTGGCCCTCGTTCCTGCATCTGAGGGATGCTGGGGCCCCCGGCTCTCCGCAGTGTGGTCTTGGAATTCCGAGCACATGGAAGTGTCTGGTTGGCAGAAAAGTGAGTCACTGACACCTGTAACGTCCACCTGGGTGAGGCAGGAAGGCTGAGCAGTCGGAACGGAATCAGAACCCTCAGCAGCAGCAACAGGGGCTGGGAAACACTGGGAAAAAGATCTCGCGAGGGAAAAGGATTTACACAATGATCCCCCAAATGGAAACGTCACACACAAATCAGTATTTTGTATATAGTTTATATTCGTTTCACTTAACAGACAATCATATAGCACTGACTCTGGACCAGGCAGAGTTCTAGCGTCTTCACAAATACTGAGTCATGTCATCATCATTTTACGAATAAGGAAACTGAGTCAGAGAGCAAGTCACTTGCCCTATCTCAGACGACCATGAGTGGCTGAGCTGGGGGAAGGCCAGTGGGTCTCAGACCCCTTTGCCCACATCAGACTAAGGGTCTGGACCTGCCAGGCAGGATGAGGATGCGGGGAGGAAGTGAATTCCCAGGAACCAGGGATAACAGAGCAGCCAGAGGCTGGGCAGAGAACGAGCAGGAGCTCTGGGGTCCTGTAGAATAGCTGGGTTTGAGTCTCAGCCCTGCCATTAAATTAGCTCTGTGACTTCAGGCCAGTTGCCTAACTTCTCTGGGCCTCACTTCTCTGCTGTGTGAAATGCCTGGGTATGCAAAATGGTCATTAGGAGATCCTGTCTATAATACTCCATTTTTTAAAAAAGAACATTTTGGCCTGTTTCACATGCTGCTGGGTTACTGTCCTTGGTGAGGCATTTCATGGAAGCTTCCCTAACCAGCACCTGCCAGGAGCTCCTAACCTTCCATTTCTGGATGCAGCTGGGCTACGAAAATCTTCTCATTAGTCTTTTTCCCAATTGTTTCAGCAAGAAAGTAAGGAAACTCTAGTCAGTGCCTGGGCATCATCTCTTACACCCAGCAATGTCCGTTTCCGTAGAAAGAACCGGCCGCCAAAATCCCGTGAGCCTCCCACCCCTTCTGGGCCTAGTGCTCCCACGTGCATTTCCCCGAGGAAATAATTGTCTGGCACTGGGCAGGCCCTACAGGGGACATGCTGCCATTTTCCGTACCTCATAGTCTGTGGCAGCTTCCACCTAAAAGACCCACGTTTTAATGTTTAATGAAAATTTCAAATATTAAAAAAGTTTTTTTCTGATTATAAAAGTATAATATGATCATTGTAGAAAGTTTGAAACACACAGCAAAGCAGTTTTAAAAAGTAAAACTTACCCATCTCTAGCAAACCCAGATATGACTGTAAATGTTTCTGTGACTCTTGGATAACTGCCTGACAGCGCTCGGGAAATTTCGGATCAACTTTTTCCTCCTCAGAATGTACAGTGGATGAAATGTTTGAATGTGGCTATTTTTCGGGGTGTCATAATAATTTTTTTAAACGTCACACTGGAAACAATGACGTTTGTTTTTCTTTTATTTCTTTTCTCATGACTAATGATCTTAAATATTATTCTACGCATTTATTGAAAATTTATATTTTTTTCTTTGTGAAATGCCAGTTTATGTCCTTGCTCATATTTTTTTTTATTTGGTCCTGAGATTATTCTTGGGAACAGCATGCCAAGGCCCGACATAAAGTTTCTCTCATCCTAACCAACATACAAACTCTTCCCAAGCAACAGTCTACACAGAGACCCGTTCTTCTCACATCCTGGCTCTCTCTCTCTCCCTCTGCGAGTCCTCCTCTTCTTTTGACACCACTCACATAAGCAGTTCACACTTGTGCCTGCTTCTCCATGAGGATTTCCACTCTCTAAGGAGGTAGAGGAGTGCAGAGATTTATTTGCTGGGGTCACATGCAGAGGGCGTCGGAGAAGGCAGCCAGGACAACGGCCAATGTCATTGTTCAGCCGTCATTGGGACTGACATTGGAGACAGCGTCTTGGGCTCTGGAAGGAAGGGAGCGTTGACAACTGTCATTATTTCTAGTCTCCCCAGGGCATGCAGAACATTACATGCACCTTGCTAATGGCCTGCAATGATAAGATATGTATCAGTGTGAATAATCTTGCTTAGTGAGAGTAATGGGCTGGGTGACGGGGTCTGTCTGTCTCATTTCTATTGGCATAAATAGATCTGGGCACTATGACTTCCACAGAGGAGTGGAATTACAGAGTCACTGAGGGCCTAACTTTAGTTTTGGAAAGAGCAGAACTCTGGAGACAAGGCTGAGCTCAGGAGTGTTGTGTATGTTTGTGTTTCTAGCTGTCATAGTCTGAATGCTGGGTCCCCCAAGTTTATCTGTTGAAATCCAAATCCCCGAGGTGCTGATACTAGGACCAGGGGCTTTGGGAGGTGATTACGCCCTGAGAATGGAGCCCCGATGAGTGGGATTGGAGGCCAAGGGAGCTTTTTGGCCTGTCCCCCTTAAGAAGTAAGAAGGTGTCTTCCGTGAACCAGGAAGCAATCCCCGCCCCCGCCCCCACCCACCCCTCACCAGACACCGAATCCCTCAGGGCTTTGATCTTGCACTTCCAGCCTCCAGAACTGTGAGAAATCAATGCATGCACAAGTCACCCAGGTTATGGCTGAATGTTACAGCAATGAATGGACTAAGACAGTGCCCATGTGATGCCTGACTTTACTGCAGACACCTGTACTCTCTCCTGCAGCGTCCTCACTGGCACCATCCCCCCAAGGTGGAGTGGAGGAACGTTGTCACCATCTGGCACAGACATTGTCACTGTCATGGATGGGCAGTCGGCCACCAAAGTGTCTGGTGCCAGCAGTTGCACCCCTAAACTCCCCTGATGATGGGGCCGAGGGATGCATCGGGGGCAGTTCTACGGTTAACTAGGCTGGCAGTCTCGGCCCCTCGGCATCTTGGTGCCCATCTCCGTATGTGCTTTTATTTCTATGAGATAAATTATCAGGGGTCAGGTCACGGGTATGAAGGGTATGTCATTTATAATTTTAATATATCTTGCCACACTCTTTTCAAAAGATTGCAAAAATTTGTTTTTTCACAAGGAATGTTTGAGAACTTCCTTTTTCTTTCACGTCTTGCAGCTATATAGGTTACGACACTTCTTAATATTTCTCAACCTGATAGATAATATTTTAATTTGAGTTTTCCCTAAATTCCAGGTAGGATGAACATTTGTTCATATGTTTTATAGGATTATTAGTTGTGTGTTCCTTTCTTTAAATAACCTATGCTTATGCTTTACACATTTTTCTCTTGTTTCTTGACAATTTTGATTTTTGGTCATTTTAAGATATCTTTATATATGGCAGATATTAACCCATGGTGGTCATCAGAATTGCACATTTTCTTCCAAAACGCCAGTCCGTCAGTTGACTCCATTTGACGTGAGGCTTGCACTCTTTAAAAGTTTCACTGCTTTTACTGGAATCACAGTTTAGGATGACAGGGGCCCTTTGCGGATGTCTTGGATCCACCTCTGTCTTCATTGCAGCCGCGTGGCTGCTTCTCCCTGGATTCTTCTCCTTGGTCTGCAACTCGTGTGGCTCCACCCCAGCCTCCTCTCCACTTTCCAGACAGGTCTGAATCATGGGGAACATATTAAGCAATGTTCATTCTCCAATTAATATTAAGTGTCCACAGCTGTGGCCAGGTTCTGTGCAGTGTTGTGAGACCATGACGGAGACGGCCTCTGAGTCTGATGTGCAGTGTTGTGGGACCATGATGGAGGGGGCCTCTGAATGATGGAGATGGCCTCTGAGTCTGATGTGCAATATAGTGTTGTGAGACCATGGTGGAGATGGCCTCTGAGTCTGATGTGCAGTGTTGGGAGACCATGATAGAGACGGCCTCTGAATGACGGAGACGGCCTCTGAATGACGGAGACGGCCTCTGAGTCTGATGTGCAGTGTTGGGAGACCATGATAGAGACGGCCTCTGAGTCTGATGTGCAGTGTTGGGAGACCATGATAGAGACGGCCTCTGAGTCTGATGTGCAGTGTTGGGAGACCATGATAGAGATGGCCTCTGAGTCTGACGTGCAATATAGTGTTGTGAGACCATGGTGGAGATGGCCTCTGAGTCTGATGTGCAGTGTTGGGAGACCATGATAGAGACGGCCTCTGAGTCTGATGTGCAGTGTTGGGAGACCATGATAGAGATGGCCTCTGAGTCTGATGTGCAATATAGTGTTGTGAGACCATGGTGGAGATGGCCTCTGAGTCTGATGTGCAGTGTTGGGAGACCATGATAGAGACGGCCTCTGAGTCTGATGTGCAGTGTTGGGAGACCATGATAGAGACGGCCTCTGAGTCTGATGTGCAGTGTTGGGAGACCATGATAGAGATGGCCTCTGAGTCTGATGTGCAATATAGTGTTGTGAGACCATGGTGGAGACAGCCTCTGAGTCTGATGTGCAGTGTCGTGAGACCATGACGGAGACGGCCTCTGAGTCTGAGTCTCCGGGGGTAGAGAGGACTCATCGTGGTGCACACATGGTGAGGGGCGGAAACCCTCACAGAACACAGCCCAGGGGAAGAGCTGCACAGTTTTCCAGTAAATGTCTGATGAGCATTTTGCCCATTGATCTGTCAATGGACACTTAGATTGTGTCCGTATCCTGGCCACTGTGATGAGTGCTGCAGTCAACACCGGGCTGTGGACATCTCTTCTGAGGACAGATTTCCTTCCTTCTGGTCCACACACAACGGAGCACTCTTCCGCCTTAGAATAAGGAAGTCCTGCCATTTGCACAAACATAGATGAGCCTGGAGGACATGATGCTGAGTGGAATAAGCCAGACACAGAGAGACAAACTCCGCCTGATCTCACGCAGATGGACGCCCCAAGTCTACAAAAGCTCAGTTATAAGATAAATAAATCCTGGAGACCTGATGTGTGTAGCGTGGTGTTGATAGCTAATAACACTGTATTATATACTTGAAATTTGCTGAGAGAGATCTTAAATGTCCTCACTTTCTCCCATCCGCAGCACACACACAGGTAACTACATGGGAAGATGGGTGTTAATTTGCTTGACTGTGGCAAACGGTTCACTACATGTATGTAAATCAAAACATCACCTTGTACACCTTAAATCTATACAATGCTTATTAAGGAATAAAAAATTTAATTAAAAAATTAAAAATAAATAAATGTTTAATGAACTAATATCAAATCTACATCCTTTAGGGGGAAATTGGAGTGCAGCACAGACCATGTGCGTGGAGCAGTTGCACAGACGCCTTCAGAGCCCAGCCTGAGTCCTGTTGGCTCCATGAGGCCAGGAGCCTGAAGCCACAAACAGCATTTGCTGCACAACTGTTAACTTTATATCCACATGAGAGTCATCTGGACAACCACAGATAAAAGTGTTAGGCTGGGCATGGCAGCTCACATCTGTAATCCCAGCACTTTGAGAGGCTGAGGTGAGCAGACTGATTGAGCCCAGGAGTTCAAGCCCAGCCTCGACAACATAACGAGACCCTGTCTCTATAAAAAATACAAAAATTAGCTGAGTGTGGTGGTGTACATCTGTGGTCTCAGCTACTTGGAAGGCTGAGGTAGGAGTTTCACCTGAGCCCAGGAGGCCGAGGCTGCAGTGAGCCAAGATCGTGCCACTGCATTCCAGCCTGGGTGACAGAGCAAGACCCTGTCCAAAAAAAAAAAAAAAAAAATGAGAGAACTGCCCTGTCCAAAGCATGTGATCAGCACTGTTATTGTTTGAGATAATTTAGAAATGTGACACATTTAATGGAGGTGAATATCAGTGTGAAAAATGAGACAAAGAAGAGAGGGGCCTGGACTTGCAGGGCTGGAGAATGTTGCAGATCCAATCATGAAGCTGGCAGGAGAGTCGGGCGAAGAGTGGTTTAATTAAATCACTGTCTCTCCGTTTAAGAACCTGCATGGAGCCAGGCCACTGTCAGCACTGAACCCTCAGGAGCGAGGTTCGCCGGGAAGGCCACTCTCACTCAGCTTCCTTCCTGTGCCCAGATTCCCTCGAGCTGTGTGTCGGGAACGTCAGTAATGCGTGACATCAAGGTGGGGAGTTTGGCCCAGGGACCCCTGACCGCTGTGCTGACTCTCCATCTCTCTGTCTGAAACAAGGCCTGGAATGGGCTGGGCTTTGAACCAAAGTGTTTTTTAAAAAAGACCTTGAAGACCCCAAATTGTGGAGTCATAAGGAGTGAACGTCCTTTTTGAAGAATACTTGGTCCCACTCTCTGAAAACCCATTAAAACCCAAGGTCATACCAAGGAAGGTGGCAATAGGGAAAGCAAACCCTCTTATTTTGGTTGTCATGGTTTATATGATTACATCTAGTCAAAAAGCACAAAGACAACTCCACAGGAAAACATTCTGTAGATTTCAGAAAAGGATGACCTGCAGGCCCTCGGGAGGGCCCTCTCAGCAGCTCTGCAGCCTCCCCTACTCCCTTCCATCGCTGGGCAGCCCAGCCCCTTCCCAGGTCTCTCCCAAAGCCTCTGCTTCCCTTCCAGGGGAGGGGCCCGCTCAGGACCTGACCTTCCCATGGCGAGAACTCCTCCGACTGCCATCGCTGATGGACGCTAACCCACAGAAGCTGTCTGCGGTCACTCAGGGTCTAGCAGATTCATGAGAGTTTTAGAAAAATGTCATGTGCACGGCTTTGAAAACCAGAAGGACAGAGATTTCATCCTAAGTATCTTGTGGTCTCATTGCCTTGTGGATATTTCAAAATGGCACCCAGTTACCACCAACCATTTTTATGAAATAAAAAATTCCCAATTCTGAGTCATAATGTAGGTCCTATGATATGAATCTAGGGCATTAGAAACACTTCTGAGGGATCCAGCATAAGCATTTATTTCAGAGACTGGAACTCAACTTACCTCTTAAGGTAAATGAAATGGGTTTTATTTGGGAGACATTCCCTACTCCTCATGTTTTCACAGTGGAGAGGACAGTCCCAGTTTATTTCTTGTCTCGGTCCATTCAAGCTGCTACACCACAGCGTTCCAGACTAGGGGCTCATCAGCAGCACACATTTGTTCCTCACAGTTCTGGAGGCTGGAAGTCCAAAACCTTTGCATGGCAGATTTGGCTTCCAGTGAGGGCTGCTTTCTGGTTCCCCTGGTTCCTAGATGGGGCTGTGTCCTTGCATGGTGGGAAGGCCAGGGGAGCTCTCTGGGGGATCTTGCATAAGGGCCCTAATCCTAGTCACAGGCTCCACCTTCAGGACCTCATCACCTCCCAAAAGCCCCACCTCCTCACGCCATCACCCTGGGGGTTAGGATTTCAACGTAGGCATCTTGGGGACACAGACATCGGGACCACCGCAATCCCACAGAGTAAGATGTGGGAGAGAAACACCCCAGGCCCTTCATTCCTCACTGACCCCGCGCCGGGTGGTGAACTCAACAGTGCCATTAGTCCCTGCTTCAGTCTCAGGGTCCCCTGCTCCCCAACGTGTGTAGCTTCTCTGCACGGAGCAAGCTGGTCGGAGCAGGGGTAGGAGTGGGTGTGCCTCCTGGGGAACGGGATCTGTGCTCACTCTAGTGCATCTGTTGGTGGGGTGGGGAAAGCCCATTTTTCCTCTGGACCAATATGGCCTTCTCAGCTGTGAGGCTGACGTCAGGGTCTCCTTTCACCTGCCCTCCTATTATTATGAGCTCCTGCTTCAGAGGAGGGAGAAGAGTTATTCATTTCTTCCCTCAAAGCCCTGAAAGGTCCCATGGGGTGTGCCTGCCAATTTGGGAAAGAGTGAATGAGTACAAGACATAAATAATTGTAAGAAATAATGCCTTACTTCGAGGGTGGTCGGTGCCTACCGAATGCTTCAGTGAAATGTGTTTCCATTACACCCAGGAAAGGCTGTGAGGCGCTGTGCATCCACTGCGCACTCTGCCCTGGGCACGCCTAGGAGCCTTCGGTCCCGCAGAGGATGAACCGGCAAGGCCACACTTCCACTGAGGCCCACAGCGCCTGGGCTGGCACCAGCCTAGAAGCAGCTTGTTCCAGAAGTTTCTCGCAGGTTGGGATACATTTTCCCATAGCAGTCATGTAGCACAGGATATCAGATTCCCAGGCCAACCCTAAAGAAATAGGGTTAATCTATTGAAAACGGTGATGAACTCCAGTACTTGTAAGAACCTGAGCTCCTCGGTAAGCCCCACCGGGGACCCGGGGGATCTGGTCATGGGTGGGGCTCAGGCCTGGCCAATTAGCCAACGTGAGCAGGGGCGGCACTGACAGCAGGGGCCTCAGGCATCTTGCATCTTCCCAAAGTCCAGGGTGGGAGACTCACCAGGCCTCCAACATTTAAAGCAGGCAGCCATCCAAACCCCTTCTGGGGCCTCCCGTCACCTGTGAGGTGAACGGCAGGCTCCAGAGCAGCATTTGAGCATCACTGAGATTCGGCCCTGAGCTGCCCAGCTCACCTTTGCTTCCCCAGGCCCGATTCTTCTGGGCTTGCTCCCCAGCCCTGTCATCTTCATCACCCAACTGGCACTTGGGCAGAGCATTCGATTGTTCGAGCTACTGAAACAAAGCACCCAGATGGGCAGCATGAAACACAGCATTTACCGTCTCCCCTCCTGGAGGCTGGAAGTCCCAGATCAAGGTTGGAATCCGACATTTGAAATCCACAGCTGGGCTCTCCTGAGGCCTCTCTTCTTGGCTTGTGGATGGTGACTTCTCCCTGTGTCCTCACATGGCCTTCCCCCATGTGTCTGTCTGTGTCCAAATTTCCCCATTTTACAAGGATAGTTTATTGGATTAGGGCCCAGCCAACTCCAGGATGATCTCGTCTTAACTAATTACATCTGCAATGACCCTATTTCCAAATACAATCACTTTCTGGGGCTCTGGGACTAGGACTTCTGCATATGAATCTAGGAGAGATGTGGTTCAACGCTAACAGACTGTCAGATGTAGTTACCTTTGCCTGCCCTCTCCATGCAGCCTCACAATCTGTAACTCCTAGGGCTGGGCCCACATGAACTCACATCACTGGCTTTCCTCTTCTACCTGAGCATCCCTGGCCTGGGGCTGCCGGCTGCCAGGAGGCAGGGACGTGAAACGCTGGGGTGCAATTTCCACCCATGCTTCTGCTGAAGAAGGAGCTGCCTGCCCAGTTTTAGCCACCCCCTTCAGATACCAAAAAAAGAGAACATCTCAAAGACAAATGGGTGCCCAGGAGTTACCCAGTGTGGTGACTGTCACATAAAGCTAGCTCTCAGCCCAAGCGTACTCGTGTGGAAATTGGATTAACCAGTCCCACGGGTTTGCTTGGAAAAAGGTCAATCTCACGTCTGTTTCATTTGATCATTTGTGTTCAGGGTCTCAGAAATCTGAGAACTCGTCTTGAATGATCATATAACTGAATTTGAGGAACACAGATAAGGAGAGGGATGGGATTCTCCACGGTCAACCAACTGGTTGGGCAGAACCAGGGACGGCAGCTCTCTCGCTCCTACTCGAATCTTCTTCTGTGGCTCCCGAGACCAGCTGCCACCAGGGCTCCTCCTGCACCTTCACGGCTGCTCCTCTTCCCTGCTGTGGCCACGTCCTTTTGTCCTGCGTGTAAACACTGGTGCTCTGCAGAGCTCTGCCTGGGCTGTCATTCTGTGCCTCCTGTCTCCCAAATGGCCTCTCTCCTGCCCTCCCCCCATGATCACGCATATGCTCCCACGGTTGATCCATTCACTGTCAAATCCTAGTGAGTTGCCCAGAGGTGGACACATTTCAGTGTCCAAAACATCCAGTCAATAAAGGTGCTGCACGCCAGATCCCACACTTGGCTCCCATCTCTTTCTTGACCAGCATCTCTGGATGCTCTGCAACAATTTAAGACCCACAGGTCCAGTATCTTTCTATCAAACATAGGTCCACCTGCGTCCTTCCTAGTTTCCGCTGGTCACCAAAGTCCTGTTTACTCCTGACTCTCACCAGACTTGAGATCCAGTGAACTGAGATCCAGTGCACAAGGTGAGGCCTGTGGCCATTTTCCTTCTCGCCAGCTCTTCCCAGTTCACGGTGCTCTGAGCCCTGGTCCTTCAAGCCTAGGCTGCAGACTCTCTCCTTCCAGCCAGACATCCTCACTCCTGGACAGCAGGTTGCAAGCTCAGTTTCCCTGAAACACGGCCCTGAACTTGCCATATCCTACTAGGAAGCCTGAAGTGCCACTGCTTTGCCCAGAATATTAACCCAGACCTGGCACTGGGCCCCTCCCCAGTGCTGTGCCCCCTGAACTCTCGGCCAGGTCCCTCCCACTGCCTGCACCTGTCCTGGGCAGAATCCAGGGCCCTCGGCCTCCAACACACTCCTGCTGCCCCATGTGCTCCTCCTGCCTGCCTTGCCACCTTCTGACCTGGCACCTGGCAAGGAGTTTCAAATCTACCTTGCAGAAACAACTCTGTAGTTTCCTTGTGGGTCAAAAAGGCCAAACACTGGCTGTTGCATGAGAATCAGCCCAACACCTTCACGGTCCCTTTTAAACACTGACTCCTCTGGGAAGCCATCCCTCCCAGCCCCAAATGTGCATGTGAGCTCTTCCTCCCAGTGAACCCTCTTGACCTTGTTTTCCTTTCAACTTTGCATTGTCCTAGTCTCTGGGCTTACATTCTTCCTTTCCCAAACCATGAAGTCCTCGAAGAAGTGACTGGGGTTTACTCATCCTTTACATTGCAAGCAATTGCTTTAAATCCTCATTGAATTCAGTGGTATTTCCTTGGAGGAAAGCCCCTAACCCCAGGTGTGAACTTGTCCTGCCTGTGCTCTTGGGAAATACTACAACGTGAAACTCATCTTTTTTCATATCCTATACACCACTGTTTATTGCATTGCTCAGATTTCCAATCTGCTACGTAGAACGGAAAACAGGATTCTTTCCTGGCACGCTGTGAGGTAACTTTTTCAATTGCTCTATAACGAAGCCTTTTCCTTGTTATTTGAGATTTTCTCCTGAGACAGCTTTAACAGTAAATAGTTCACATTTTTACATTTGCCTGCATCAGTTGTACTTCCTGGCAAGCCCTTCCAGCCAGAATCCTTTCAACACAGACGCACAGTGGCCACGGCTTTACAGCCTCAGGCTGTGATCTTGCGTATCTTAAAATAATGGTGATCCCCCCGCCCCATTTAACGTCTGCCATGAACCCTTTCAGGAAAGCGGGTTGTGCTGTCAGGAACATTCAGTTAAGGATTCCATCCTTGTTCCTGGTCCTGTTTTCAGCAGCCGCTAGTGAGTGACTGCGGAGGACGTTGAGGATGTTTATGTTTCCTTGAAGAGTCTAGGCCTTTTCCCCAAAATCTTTAGAATTAAAACATGGTTAAATAAGCGTGTAAACAGTCCTCTGACATTCCTCAATAAGCCAGTCAGCCCTCTGCTACAGGATGCATATCTCACAGAACGCACAGTTAGTTCTCAACACCCTCCCGTCTACGGCACGCAGCCCGGGCAAATCACAGGCCTGATGGGGACTGGGATATTCTCTTCCACGTCTTTCTCCTTGGCCCAGACACCACCTGCGTGAATCCCCTGCTCACAGTGGTGGTCACTGGCCTCTGTTTTGGCTCATGTCCAACCTGCCTTGAAACCAAGGGCATAGACGCCTTTGCTTTCATGAGCCTCGGAAGGCCCATGGCTGCTGTCTGGTTAGCAAAGCTCCATGATTAATGAGAACTACAAAGCTCATCAGAAAACTCCAAGAGGACGGCAGTAGTTTAATGCCCAAGACATCAGCAGTGAGAAGAGTGTGTTTTATGCTAGTCCTCAAACAAAAGCTTCACGGCATTTTGGATTGGCCCACATAAAATTATAGCATTTTTTCCCATTACTCCGTGTAGATCTTTCCTCACACATTCAAAAAGTTCTTGGGAGTATGCTTTGATGTTCTCCTGCAGAAAGAGCTTTTTATTATGTAAGACTGGTGTTGTGACCGTGATGAAATATGACAGCATTGCTAAGTGCCTGACAGCCAGATAGGAGCATTACACTGTAGCAGGGTACGTTCCCATTTTATGAGAAACCAAGCAATCAATCACCCGATTTGTGTACGGCTGGGAAGGTCATTCGCAGAAACACAGCATCGCTGGACTCACTGGTGAGAGTGATTTAAAGTTAGAAGAAGCGCAGTGAAAATAGGGTTCTCAGGTTAGACCCCTGCACTGCCACCTTCTAGCCATAGAAAATCACCAAAGTACGGCCCACCAGCTTTCCGTAAAACAACCTAGGGCTATGACAGCAAATCACTCAAAACCGGAGGCTAAAAGAACAGAGCTTTACCCTCTCAGAGTTCTGGGGGCCAGAAGCCTGAAATCAGGGTGGAGACAGGGCCGCCCTCCCTCCAGGGACACCCTGAAATCAGGGTGGGAACAGGGCCGCCCTCCCTCCAGGGACACCCTGAAATCAGGGTGGGGACAGGGCCGCCCTCCCTCCAGGGACTCCCAGGGAGCATCCTTCCTGCCCCTTCCAGTGTCTGGGGGCTCCAGGCCTCCCCTGGCTTGTGGCCACATCACTCCCATCTCTGTCTGTCTTCACAAGGCCTTCTCTCACCTCTGTTACTCTGTAAGGACAGGTGCCATTGGATTTAGGGCCCAACCAGATAATCCAGGATGATCTCAGGTTGAGATGCTTGACCGACTCACATCTGCAAAGACCCTTTTTCAATATAGGGTCACATTCACCGGAACCGAGCTTCAGGACTAGACATATTTCGGGAGCCACAATTTAGCTTGCCACACCTAACTCTGTACATAAAATGTCTGCCTTTGTGCCAAGCACTTAAGAGAGACATACATAAAAGTTACTTTAATTAGAATTTTTAGAAACTTTTAACTGAAGTATAATGCACCACAGAAAAGGGCAAGTATCATAAGGTCCAGCTCGATGAATTTTAGCAAACCAAACATACCCCTGTAGTCAACACCCAGATCATGATTAGCATTTCTCTTCATCAATACCTGATGATCGAATATGGTGCCATTACTAGATTTAGGCATGAGAATTTATGTTGAGTTTAGTCCCAAGGGAAGGTGACCTTCGACCAGCAATTTCAGGTTAACGCAGCTGGATTACAAGCTTTATGCAGAAATGCCTTCATTTAGCTTCTGTCCCATTCTTCCTGTTAGAAGTAAGCACCATAACTGGACATAAATGTCAAGTGCTCATAAGGGGGTCGGGGAGGGTCCTGACAGCAGTAAGGACACTGGAAAGTCAGACCCACAAAGGAAAATGCAGCTTGACATTGAGCCCCTCTTCCAACGTTGAGGCCTTTCTGCCACCATAGGTCTCAAGGCAGTGACCCAGCCCCCACGCCCCAAACACACTCCCCTTTCCAGCTGGACCACCCCATCCCCTGGCCTGCACGCCCCTCCTGGGATCACTGGTCTCCCACTCTTCATGGCCCCTGCCTCTCTTTAAAGACCCTCTCCAGCCCGACCTCCTCCATGAAGGTTTTCCTCATTGGTCTCCTTTCTTCCAAAAGCTCTCGTTCTGGCATTAGCCACCCTCCATCCTCCATATCCCCCCTAACCCCGGGTTCTTGGTAAAGATTATTGCCGATCGTTGGTTTTCTTTGCCCACGTAGTTTTTTCTCCACTGTGGAGCACAAGCTCACTGGGATTAGGACACGAACTTGCGTCCCTGAGCCCTGGAGCCAAACAGCGCTGAGCAGGAAGCCGACCCTTGGTAGACATCTCTGATTGACTGCAAGTCTGTAGATCATTTATCTTAAGCAGAAATATTTAGTTTCTCTCTGCATTATACAAAAAAAGTCACAGGAGGTTGTGAGCAAATATTTTCTGTTTTCATGAGAAGCGAGCAAGAAAACATTGGCTTGATTTGCAGTGAAAATAATCTGATGATACAAACAGAGAATTGTAGTACAAGAACAATTTATTTAGACTTACAGAATGTCTGTGTGACAAAGATTGGAACATGTTTCCTTTTGTCAGCTTCCAAGTAATGCTGGATACTGCATCACCAGGGGAGAAATCCGTAACAACAGAACACTGAGTCAGGAACCAAACAGAACGTGTCGGCGGAGGGGTAGCAGGTGGCTCACTGAGCCAGTGCGACCCCTGGCCAAAGCTCAACCACCTGGAATCAGAATTTAGCTCTGCCACAGATCAGCTATGACCTTGGACAAATTATATAACCATTGTGGCCTGTTTTCCTGGTCTGGAAAGAGGGATAAGAGCAGTTCTCACTTCATGAGGATCATAATGGAGATTAACATGAGTTGGTCCAATGCACTTAGCACATCTCCTGCAATGCAGTGATTGCTGCACCCAGAGCCTGTTCCTCTCCCAACTCCTTGAAATTCTCAGCTCCTTCCTCAAGTCCCTGCTCCTATGAATTGGTTACACCTCCATCATGCTGCAAAAATTAATTTTGTTATACACCTGTGTCATTCAGTAAGTCAAATAAGTTGGTATAACTTTTATAACAAAAAACAACCCCACCCCTCCACACTGCTAACTGATGCGTTTGCTCCAGAGGCAACCGTTTCAAATTTTATCTGTTTTTCAGTGTTTACCTCTAAACTTTTAAAGACCATGGGTTTACTACTCTTTGATTTTTTTCTTTTTAAACGTTATCAATGCCTTTCCAAGTTCTAAGGATTATCTTTTTTATCGCTTCTTCTTTCTTTGTTGTTAACACACATACATCCCCCTCATCCAAATAAAACATATGTAATAATTTTTACATCAATCTTCAATGTTTATATTACTATCTTATAAATATTATTTACATCCGAGCCACAGATTCAAGCTAATATATTTATATTTCCTTTACTGGGTGACATTTTGCTTGATGGGTAGTCAATAATTATCTTTTTTGTTGTTGTTTAGTTGTCCGTGTATCCACGAATAATTTATCCCTGAACTCTGCCACGTATGTGAACATAATCTTGATAAGGTCAAATGCATCAGGTAATCTATCTGCTTGATTATTTCCTAGGAGCTACCATTCCTGAAGCTTTTGGTCCTGCTCCAACAGTGGCGTTTGCAATCCAGGACTGTCATGCAGGTATATTGTACAAGTGTGCGAGTGGTGTGCTGTGTGGGTGTACTGTGCTGGTGTTCTATGCAGGTGTATTATGCATGTGTGCTGTGAAAGTGTATTGTGGGGGTATATTATGTAGGTGTGCCATGCAGGTGTGTTGTACAGGTGTGCTGTATAGGGGTGGTATGCAGGTATATTGTGCAGGTGTGCTGTGTAGGTGTATTATATGGGCATGCAGTACAGGTGTGCAGCATCTGAGCTCCGTCTTCACCTTAATCCTGAACACTCTTTTCACCTCTCACCTGCACTGCAGTGCTGTTTCCTGGATCACTTCTTTTTGTTTGTTTGTTAAATTCCTCCAGGAGAATGAGTGCATAGGAAATAAGGATTTCTCTTCACATTTTACTTGACTAACAGTTTCTCTGGTTATAGAATATATTTTGGATTTAAAGCTGTCTCTGAATTTTGAAAACACTGTTTCATTTTCCGCTTGCCTCCTATGTTGTTCTAGAGAAGCTCAATCGCAATCTCGTCCCCCATCCTCAAGCGATACACTTCTTTTTTCTTTATTATCTTGAAGCATTCAGGGTCTTTTCTTCATTTTTGGCTTTCTGAAATTGCAGGACAATATGATGTAGGTTCATTTTTATCTCTGTGCTAGCTCTTTTCATTTGGAAACGTGTTGCATTCTGAATGCTATGGTCTGAAAGTGTACCTTCAAATTCATATGTTCACACTTAATGGCCAATGTGATAGTATTGAGAGGTGGGGCCTGAAGGACGTGGTTAAGTCACAAGGGCAGAGCCTTCACAGTGGGATCAGTGCCCTTAAGGAAGGGCTGAGGGCCTGGGTTTGCCTTTTTACCTTTTCACCTCCTGCCGCGTGAGGGCCCAGCCACAAGCTACCATCTGGGAAGCAGAGTCCCAACCCTTGCCAGACACTGAGCCCACTGGTGCTTTATCTTGGACTCCCAGCCTCCAGAACTGTGAGAGATAAATTTCTGTTTTTTATAAAGTACTCAGTCTCCTGTATTTTGTTGGAGCAGTACAAATGGAGTAAAACACTAAGACATTTTCTGGAATTCTTTGATTGATAATTTTTTTTCTCAGTCTTTTATCTTGTCTCTTCCTTGAACCCATTATTTCTGGTGTTGAACGTTCCAGACCACTTCTCCAATTTTCTTACACTTTTTTCTCTTATTTTTCACCTTTTAGATCTCTTTTTGTTGTTGATTTACTTTCTGTGAGGTTTACCAACTTTATCTAGTACAAGTTTTATGGAATTTAAAAATTGTTTCAGAGTTTAAGTTCCCAGATCCTCTTTTTTTAACTGTTCATTTTTCATGACTTCCAGTTCTTTAGTGGTGACGTATCTTTTCTCTCTGAAGACAGTATTTACAGTTACTGGAATTCCTTCCTGCTCTCCACCTGTCTTTGGTCTGTTTTCCTTTTCCCGTTTTGATCTCTGTCCTTCATGGTGCATCCTCCTGTTGACTCCTGACCATCTGTTCACATGGGGCTGCTGTGGGGTGACCGGGCCACGCAGCCTCCCTTGGCAGCTCTCAGCTCTCTGTATCCGTCAGCATTTTCTCTTGGTCTGGTCAGGTTTTCCCAGAGGGGACAGTCCGTTCTCCAGCCTGGGACAGAGGTCAGGGACACATGTGCTCCCTCCCTGGGTTGGCTCTTTATATGGTGAGTGGCAACTGGTTTTGGACCTCTCTCTTGCAGGCTGGGTCTGTGGGATGTAATTAGAAAGCAACTTTATTTCTATTCACTTACATTTATTCATTGGAGGAGGAGTTTCTCTTTCCTAGGGTACACGTGGACATGCCTATGACTTTTCTGCTTTGTCTTATGTTTAAAAATGTCCTTCAGTCATTGCAGGTCACAAGCAGGCTATCAGCTCAGTAATTAAAATAATTCAGTTCTTCATAGTGAATGTAATTCTAAATTAGATTTTACGTTGTAACTCCCTGCTTCAGCAATGGTGATGGGGCCCAGAAACCAGAGCACCTGAGCTCCATCCTACAGGGGGCCATGCCGGGATCTTTCCATTTTCAGAGTCTTCTCTCTGACAGTGAAGTGTGATGACAGACTTGGGGGCAGGGCAATGGCTAGCTTCTGAAAGGCGCTGGCACTTTAGTGAGAAATGTAAATTAAGTGACGGGTAGTGAGGTGTTTGTCAAGGGAAGTGCCGTCCAAATGCTAAATACTGATTATTTCTTTAGCAGTGACTGCAATACCTCACTCAATCTCTGTCTTTCTTGAAGAAGTCATAAATAAACACAATGAATCTATGTAGAAGCGGTAAGTCAGAAAGATCTGTGTGTTTCATTACATAAACAGCGGTTTATCGTTAATTGACAGGCTTGGATTGGGAGTTGTTACTGAAACTGATGAGATGTTGGACAGATGAGCTCCCTCCTATTTCGAAGAGCTTATCTAGGGCTGAGTCATGGGACCTGATAGTGTCTTGTGGTGCTGTGTTCTTGTAGATATATCCGTGTTTTAGAGGATTTCGTTTTTTAAAATTTCTCTTAGAATGTGAATTTTACAAAAAAGGACTTCCCAAATGGATGATTATTTGAAAAATGAATTGTTAGACAAAACTGACACATCAGTTATGGAGAAAACCCTTCAAGAACTGGCTTTAAATGTGTTTTAGTGGGAGCCACAGTGTGGAGAGAAACAGAAGAGGGAGGAGAGGGTGCCCCTTGTTTCTTCTCTCCACAGCCAGGCCTTCGCCACCTTTCTCAGTGTCTTCAAGAATAAAATGCTTCCATTGTTGGTTTTAGCTGCTTTTCTCCCTCGGGGTAGGCAAAGTGGTTCCAAAACTACAAGCATCTTGTAAAGTCGGAAGAGCTGTGTCAACATTAAGCTGCTTGACTTTGGCTATGAGGGAAAAAAGGCTGGTGAGTGCAGAGAAGACAGAGCTGCGGCAGGGCTCCTCCCGCCAAGTCGCCATGGAGAGGAGCTGTGAGGTGTCCTTAAACGGCCTGGTCTCCAGGGTGACTCAGGAAGGGCTGAGAATGGTCAGCTCCCTCACCTGCTAAACCCGCACCGCCCCGCTCAGCACACACCCTCCACTCTCCAACCTTGCCCAAGTGCTGGTCCGTCACGGCACCGGGACAGGGCATGGAGACTTGGGCTGATTCTTTTCTCTCCCTTCCTCCCTTATTTTTTTCTTCTCTCACTCCTCCTTTTCCTTTCCTGCTGTTTCCTGCTCTCCTGTTTCTGTCCTGCAGTGTCTGGGGCTCCGGAGAGGCTGGCCCTGGGGTGGGGTCCACATGGACATGGGCATAGGCAGGTTCGATGGCCAGAGTTCTTTCAGCTCACAGTAAGTTTTGTTTTGTTTTGTTTTGTTTTGTTTTAGATGGAGTCTTGCTTTGTCGCCCAGGCTGTAGTGCAGTGGCGTGATCTTGGCTCACTGCAGCCTCCACCTTAGAGCAATCCTCTTGCCTCATCCTCCCGGGTAGTTGGGACTACATGTGCACGCCACAGGCCTGGCTAATTTTTGTATTTTTAGTAGAGACACAGTTTCACCATGTTGGCCAGGCTGGTCTCCAACTCCTGACCTCAGGTGATCCATCCGCCTCAGCCTCCCAAAGTGCCGGGATTACAGGTATGAGCCACTGCACCTGGCCTCAGCTGACAGTAGGTTCTAGAGCCAGATATTTACACACTAACTTGCCAGAAACATATATGACTTTATTATTCTAATTGATTTTAAGAGATATTATGAACTCAAATCCAAAGTTACGTCCCACCTATCATGACAATTTCATTAAGGAAAAAGTCAAACCACTTTGGAAATGATTTAAGTGAGCAACTTGGAAAAATTTCCTACATTCCTAACTTACTTTCCAGGGGATTGTTCCTGACTTAACATCTATCAGGTGTCTTAGCTTAGCTCTCTTTTTACTTCAGGTTTTTCTTGCTTCCTCAGTGTGCTGGGAGTCCCACTCCACTCAAATGCCCTCAGGTCTAATAATTAACTTCATTGCGGGCTCCTGGAAGGCCTGGGTGGGCGGCAGCTGCATTGTGCTCCTGAAGAAGATTTAAGTTGGGTTTGGTGAACTGGTAGAATTTGCATTTTGCTGTTTCTTTCCCTCTCCCAGAATTGGTACCTTTAAATAGGTTTTTTAGTGTCATTAAGTATATCAAAAGGAAACCCAGTGGGGCAAAGTGGCCGGGCTCCATAGAGGTGGCCTTGTCTAAGCCTTTCATCTTATCGATAAGGAAAGACAGGTCCAGAGAAGTCGCCGACTGTCCCTGGTCCCACTGCTTGGTTTGGGGCAATTTCCTGAAAATAATATCCAAGATGCAAGGCATATGGCTCTGGTGAGATGTGTGTGAGGAGCTGAGAATGAGACGGCTGAGTGTCGGGGGCAGATCACGAAGGGCTGTGCTCACCATCAGGAGGTCTGGACTTCGCTGTGAAAGACACAGACCCTCATGTACGTCCAGGATGCGGTGACAGTGAGGCTTGCAGGAGACAGGTCCCTGCTGTGTGGGGGTGAGGCTGGAGGCAAGATGATGCCTGGAGCTAAGAGATGGTCACAGGAAATCTGGCAAGAATTAACAAGGACTGGACAGTGACAGGCAGGCCAAAGAGTGAGAGGAACTTCACTGGCAAGAGCCAACAGGGCTTGTTGATTTAGGAGAGGAGACAAAGGACTGAGGGGTTTCTGGGCTGGGGGGCTGGGGCCTGGGAGGGTGGAGAAGCCACTGTCTGCATTATGGGATGCAGGAGGAGAAGCATTCAGTTTTCCACACAATGAGTTCCCTGAGAGGTGTCTCAGTGGGATCGTGGTGCAGTTGGAAATGTTCAAGAGAAAGATGAGAAGCGGCACCAGCAGCAAACATCCAGGAACCCAGAAACCATCAGCACAGGTGCCTGCTGAGTCCCATAGACCCACCATGGCCCACCAGGACCAACCAGGAAGCAAGTGTGGAGCTGGGAGTGAGGGAGCTGGGTGTGGAGATCAGGGGGAAGACTGTCATCCAAAGGGCGAGAGTGGGAAGGATGGAGTCATCTGTAGCTAAAGGGAACCACCATTAGTCAGTCCTTGTGATGAAGGTGCAGGATGTTCCTGCTTCCGTGCACGTCGCTCTTGGGCTGTGGGCAAGTTTGGAACTGCTGTTGTTCCCCAGCATAGTCTCAAGCGAGTGGAATGACGGTTTCCTATAGAAGCACAGTTCCTACAGGAAAGAAGGCGTGGTTAAGAGCATGAGGGCCAAGGAAAAGGAGGGGATTAGAGATAGCCAGCAGTGAGGGAGACGGTTCCAGATACGAGCCGAGTGGGCAAAGCAGGGAATTCAAGAGAGAGAGGAGCATATATTATGCAAATTTTAAATTTTTTGGTAGCAAGCAACCTAGCAAATCTAGCTGAATCCAAAGGGGATTTATTGGCTCACATCATAAAAATCTAGTGAAAGATTCTAGCTGAAGTCATAACTAGATATACGAGTTTAAATAATTTTGTGAGAAACTGTTTCTTTGCTGTTCATCCACCTATCCATCCACCCATCTATCCAACCCTCCCTCCCTCCATCCACCCCTCCACCCACCTACTCACTCACCCGTGTCTTTATCCATTGATCCACATGCACATCCATCCTTTCATCTCTCCTTTCCTCCCTCCCCCATCCCTCCACCCCCTGTTCACCCACCCATTCATCCATCCCTGCATCTTTCCGTCCACTTCTCTGTCTTCTTGTCTCTGCTTCTCTTTGTATTTTGTTCTCACTATTCTCTATTTCATAAGGCTTCCTGAAAGCGGCATCCATTTATTCCTTGTAGCAAGATCCCTAGAGAAAGACTCATAATTTATCTCTCAGTGTTCATAAACTCTCAGGGCAAATTTTATTTGGCCTGACTTGGATCACCTGCCAATATCTGAACGGATTGCATACCCAGGTAATGGAGTATTTTAATCACTGCAGAACCCCCACCCTCACCTGACCAGTGCCCCACAGCAGGACCACGAGCAGGGCCAAGGTGTCTCCAAGGTGCTGAGGAGCTGAGCGCTCAGCCAGCCCACGGCCACGATGGTGTGCCGCCGAAGCCACGCGGCTTACTTCACAGCCAGGATCCGGGATCAGGCTATGTCCCATGCAGCCTGATGAAGGGTAAAAAAGAGCCCAATGCAGAGTGCTGGGGAAGCATAGAGAGAGCCGGGGCACCTGACCCAGCCTGGGACAGTCAAGGGTGACTGCCGTGCAGGAGGTGGCATCTGAGCTGTTCCTTAATTAGAAAGCCTGGCACAGAATGAAGAATGCATTCCTCAAACTGAGTCAGGGTGCAGGGATCCACATGACCGTGCTCCTCTTATCCTTAGGAAGGGACAAGAGACTTCTATCCTTTGGCCTGCAGCTGCTGAAATGACCCTTGCAAGTACTGAATCATCTTTAATGAAAAAATACACTAATATGCTGCAAATTTGGAGCTTATCCTTTCAGCCCAATCCATGGGGAAGGTGTGAATTAAAGACCCTGTGCGTGTGCTGGAGGCATCGTGGACTTTTGTTCACGATTTCCTTTCCTTTTGATGCTTCAGTTATGGTGGTTGCAGCTCTATAAGCTGTGTGATATGGGCAATTCCTCTCACCTTTTGACCACTATTTTTCTTACTAATGAAATGAATACATACAAGAATACTTGAAGATTAAATAATGAAACATCTGATACTCACAGGCACTACAGTATTGGCTGAATTCTTAAGTGACTATAGGACACCTTTAAGCATGTTCTAGGGCAGGATAACCAAGGACACCATCTCACGTGCCAGGAAATGAGGGGCCTGTGTCCAATAAGTCCCTGGCTCCACGTAGCTCTGCTGTTGCCCACTTCTCTTGGACCCTGGTTGTGGTCTTGCCTTGCCACGGGGCCTTTGCTGGTGATACTCCCTCTGCCTGGAGTACCTCCATAATGTCCACTGCTGGGGCCTTGCCCATATTCTCTACACGTGGCACTGCAGTGCCCCCCCAGCCAGCTCCCAGGGGCCAGTGCCCCAGTTCCTTGTCCAAGGTCTTTGTCCCGCAGCTAAAACCCAATCTGCTGCCACCGGCTCCATCCACAGGCAAAAGTTCCAGGGAATAAATGCGTCAGGGCACAGCCCTCAGGAGACCTTGGTTACGGACATCTATCCGGCTCCTCGCCCTCTGGGGTGAATACATCTCAGGTGCATTCTTTTGGGTGTTTGTTTTTGCTTTTGTTGTTTGCATTGGCTCCCAGAGTCTGACAGTGGCAGAAGGCTGCAGCTGCCCACAGTGGTGACTGGTTTTAAGCGTACCCTTTGTTGGCCATCTTCCTCTCTCCTGGAAATAAACAGCCTGCACTCCAATCCTTGTCACAGGGTCAGCTCCTGAGGGATCTTCTTGGCCTTGCTAATGCTGGCTTATCCTTCAGAATTTAGCTTCCATTTTCACTTCTTCATGGGAGTCTTCTTGAGTATAGTCTCCTCATCATGTCTGCCGCGTCTTCCTGAGTCAGGGAATATCTCTTAGGCCATATCTATTATAGTCGTGGTCTGACTTATATTTGTGGTCAATTTTTTTCTCTTAATTTTTCGTAGAGACGGGGTCTCACTATGTTGCCCAGGCTGGTCTCAAACTCTAAGTGATCCTCCTGCCTCAGCCTCCCAAACTGCTGGGATTACAGGCTTGAGCCACCAAGCCTGGCCTATGTTTGTGGTCTCTTTGACTAAAAATGATCTTTTCTTCTAACCTGAAATCTCCTGAGGGATGAAACTTTGTGTCTCTTTGGTTTATCCCAGCATATAAGTAGTTACACTTTTTTGAATTAACAAATGAGCACAAATTTGTATCAAATTATTATCTAGGACAAGCAGTGGAAAAGAATTCTGTAAAGGGCCGGTAACTGTTTTAAGCTTTATGGGCCATGCAGTTTCTGTTGCAGTTACCAACTCTGCTGTTGAAGGGTGAAGATGTGGGTAGGTAATATATAAAGGAATGAGCATGTCTGGATGTTCCAATAAAATTTTATTTTCAAAAATAAGCAGCAGAGGAGAGCTTCTGGAATGGTGGTGTGAGGAGCTTGGAAGGGCCTCTATCCAGGGAAATAACCATTTAACCGCCGAACATTCATTTTTTTAAAACTAGAAATTATCCTAAAGGCATACAGCAGGTGGATAAATATTTACTCAAAGAAATAATCAAATCTCAGTAAGAACGGTAAGGATCAGTGGTATCAGAGCCACAATCCACCGCTCCCCACCCTTAAAGCGCATTGTGATGAAAGCTCTGCTCCAGGAAGGTCCAGCTAACAAGATGCTGTGGTCTGTCTTCCTGGCTCCTGGTCTAGGGATGTGGTTTCACCCCAGGAAGGCAGGCCACCTGCATCTCTCATCCCTCTCAGTTTGCACTGCAGAAGCACCATTCCAGGAAGTTGCAACTGAGAGGACTAGGGCTCCCCTGCTTCAGCCTGTGCTTGTCCTCAGAGGGTGGGAGCCCCATCCCAGGTGTGGCAGACTGAGCACATCTGCCTGGATTGCCCCACACCAAGTCACTCACAGTGTGGAGGTTCCATGTCTGGAGGGGCAAGCTAGGAGGACAAGAGGCTACCATGCCCACCCAGCTACTGGCTCATGCAGCAAGGGTGTCACTCTGGTGGAACTGGATCACGGTCCCCAGGAGCAGAGGAGACCTAAGAGCAGAGCATGTCCCTGAGGTGACAGACTTTACTTGGAGAACAGCATGCGGAAGTTCAAGCCCAAGGAAATTGGCAAAAATAGTGGAGATTTTGTTGATGAACAATTAAGAGTGGGTGAAATGGTAGACTAGATAGAAATTAAACAGAGGGAACAAGGAAGAGAGATTGTTGAGAAGAGCACCAGGGGTCTGAGCAGACTTGAAAAGCTGGCAACACTCTGCCCCTGCAAAAGGACCTGATGTTCACTGGATGAGTCTATGGAGCAACGTGTGCCCCAGGCACCATAAAAAATGATAGAGCACTTGCATTTAGTGGATGTTAACAGCTGTGTGTGACACCAAAGAGAGACAGACCTGCGGAAGCTTAACAGAGAGCCCAGAGAAAACCATAGATACCACAGGTGGTCGGAGAGACTGTGTGCTAGTCCAAGGCTGTGCCCTCTGAGGAGCAATATCAGAGCTACGTCCCTAATCAAACAAGCAAGCAAGCAATCAAACAGAAATAGCAGCCCCTGGGGGTCGGGGTCAGAATCCAGATTTGCTATGATATATTACCTAAAATGCCAGTTTCCACAAAAATGCAAGAAAACAGGAAAGTGCGACCCATGCTCAGGAAAACAGAAGGCAACAGAAACTATGACAAATTCCAGACATCGGATTAACAGACAAAGTCAGCCAGTGTCAAAACAGCCACAGAAACATATTCAAGTTACTAAAGGAGACCATGTTAAAAGAATTAAAAGAAATTATGATGACAGTGTCCCATCTAATAAGGAATATCAATAAAGAAATAAAAATTATTTTAAAAAACAAAAAATTGTGGAGTTGAAAAGAACAATAACTGAAATGAAAAGTTCACTCAGGGGCCCAGCAGTAAATTGGAGCAGTCAGAAGAAAGAACCAGCAGACTTGAAGTTATGTCAATAGAGATTATACAACCTGAAAAACAGAGAGGGAAAAATAATTAAGAAAAATGAATAGAAGCGTGGGACACCCTTAATGAGAGTACCAGAGGAGATGTGAGAGAGAAAGAAGCAGAAAAAAAGTTCCAAGCAGAAAAAATGTCCAAGAAATAATAGCTGAAAAGCTCCCAAATTTGCTGAAAAATGTTAACCTACACATTCAAGGAGCCCAAAAAACTCTACACAAAGAGACACACCTAGACACACACACCTGGCCACACACACCTAGACACACACACCTGGACACAAACACCTAGACACACACACCTGGACACACACACCTAGACGCACACACCTGGACGCACACACCTAGACAAACACACCTAGACACACACACCTGGACACAAACACCTAGACACACACACCTGGACACACACACCTAGACGTACACACCTGGATGCACACACCTGGACGCAAACACCTAGACAAACACACCTGGACACACACACCTAGACACACACACCTAGACACACACACCTGGACACACACACCTAGACACACACACCTGGACACACACACCTGGACACACACACGTAGACACACACACCTGGACACACACACCTGGACACACACACCTGGACACACACACCTAGACACACCAGAATCAAAATGTTCAAGACAAAGACAAGGAGAAACCTTGAAAGGAACAGAATAAAATGGCTCGCCTCAAAGAAGGGAACCCAGTAGGATTAACACTTGATCTGTCTGTAAAAGGATGGAGGCCAGAAGGCAGTGGGATAACATATTCAAAGTGCTCAGAGGAAGAAACTATTAATCCACAATCCTATATCCAGCAAGGCCATCTGTCAGACATGAAGGTGAAATAAAGAAATTTCAAGATAAGCAAAAACGGAGAGAATTTCTTGCTAGCTGAACTGCTTTATGAGATATTAAAGGAATTCTTCAGGCTGAAAACAAGTGAACTCATACGATTTTCAAATCCACACAAAAAAACAAAGGGCAGTAGTAAAGGTAATTATGTACTTTTTAAAAAAAGTATAAATGCATATATTTTCTCCTGTTTTCAAAAGCAACTGCATAGAACAATAAGTATGGAATTGTATTATTGGACGCATAACATACAGAAATGTAATATACTTGACAATAACAGTACAAAGGAGGCAAATGGGAAAAACTGTACTGGAGTAAGGAAATGGCCACATACTGTATAATCCCATTGATAAGAAATGTCCAGAATAGGCAAATCCACAGAAGTAGAACGTAGATTCATGGTTGCCTGGGCTTGCGATGTGGGTGCAAGAAAGAAGGAAATGAGTACTAATGAGCATGTTTCCCTTAGGGAATGACAAAAATGTGATGATTTCACAGCTCTATGAACGTACTAAAAACCATCGTAGTATTAAAAAAAAAAGAACAAAAGAAAAGAAGAGTAGAATTTTGGGTACATAATTGTAAAATCAGTCTTTAGTGGAAAGCTCTGTTATCCAGAAACTCAAAATTAGCTACATAACTTCCCCAGAAATATTCATCCGCAGCAAATATTCATCAGAGACAGAATCCAAACCCAGGTCTGTGTGAATCTAAAGTTTATTTTCCTCCACCTGCCTTAACAACAAATTATTGAATGACTCAAGGACGCAATACCTCGAAAGAGTCTGAAACATTTCTGTGATGAATTTACTTATGAATCCCAATACTCTTGATTCTAGATGATGTGTTTTGCTCAGCATCTGTTTCAGTCATATCAAGTAAAACCACTTCCCCCAGGTCATATAGTTTTCCTTTTTACTTTTTCCCTTGGCCTCAGCATTTACAGCCCCGTGCAGACTGTTTTAACAAACGCGTTGGTGAGGTGTGGTAGAATCACAGGCAAAGGCGTGCTTTGCTGTGCTGTGTAGGTACATATCAAACGCTCACCAAGAAATTATAAAATATTATTCATAGCAGTTTTTTCTTCAGTATTTTATGGGCTAAGTGCAATCTGGCTTTTGATAACAACGGCTGAATAATAAATTTGAGTTTGCCAGCTGAAATGTCCTAAATATCTTATTGATTCATTTATTGCTTCTTCAAATAATAAGGCAACAAGACAGTGTCAGAATGCTCAGTGTTTTTACTTTTTTGTCTATCATGGGATGGTGTCAGTTTCAGGAAAAACGATGCCTCTTGTTTTGGTCCACATTGTAGGAATCTCACCAGTGACACGCGTTCATGAAAAGCTGTGAATATTCAGTGCCACAGGGTTAAACCTCGGTACAGAAGTGAGACCCTGCTGGACAGAGAAAGGGTGACCTGGAAGGTGTGTGAGGGCCCCGCCCACGGGCCCCTGTGATGGTCATGGCCTCAAGAATCACAGTCCAGGTGAGGCCCTGAATCTCCACAGCCAGGACCAGTTCCCTCTGCACTTGGGTGCCGAGGCCAGCGTCAGCCAGGAGAGGCCTGCAGAATCAGCCTGTGCACCTCTGTGACGATAAGCAGAGATGCTGGTTTAGAGACTTGCTACTCACGGGGCAGTCCTGGGGCCTCCTGTACTCACATTACCTGGAACTTCTTGGAAATTCAGAATCTCAGGCCCCAACCCAGACGGACTGAATCAAAATCTTCATTGTGGTTAAGACCCTCGGAGACACACAGGCCTGGGAAGCACAGGTTAGCGTGTCACCTTGGGCAAAACTCTCAGCATTGTGAGCCTCTGTTTTCTACTCTGTAAAGGAGGCATCAATATCTACATCATAAGTTTGCCATGAGTATTGACAAATAATGTCTTAGAAGCACAGGGCAGAGCCTGGCATGTAGTTTGTGCTCAGTGCACAGCAGACAAGAAACCACATGCACCAGACCCGGGCGGCCGTCGGCAGCCCACGCTGAGCAACCATGGGTGGCCCTCTTGTCCCTCGGGACAAGAAATGCTTCTTTAGAAGTGCTTCTTTCCTTTCTAAAATGAAAGTTTTGGACAGTATTTCCTTTCACTTAAAAATTTCATCTGTGCATTTGATGGCCTCTGTCGTTTCTTTCCTGAAACTCCTGCTAACATACTGGGAGCTGAAGAAGGGCTCCGTGAAGGCGAGTAGGGGTGCCTGTCCCTCCCAGGGAGGAGCTTCCCTCCTCTCACCTGCTGCACGAGCCCTAGTGCTTCACCAACTCCAGCCTCAGTGCCCTGACACTGGGGGAGGGAAAGGAAGCGCACGCACCAGCCGTTCCACCCACCGAAGTTGTTTGGTCCCAATCTGCAAAATCAGTTAAACGTCTTCCTGCCTGGCAGCAGATCAAAGGGTGAGGGGTCTGGGACAGACAGAGACAGCTAGAGAATGGATGGTGAAGTGCTCAGAGGCCCTGTGGGCTATCCCACACTCGGCGGAAGACAGCAACACCATCAAATCTCCACCCTTTGTTATCCATGACTTAAAGAAAAGTGAACAGGGAGGTGGACAACTGTGCAAAGACTGGCTGGAGTCAAATCCTGGGCATAGGTGAAGCATCGAGAATGCTTGTCACACGTTTGAATGTGCAGGGGGACTCTGACTGGAAGCTCCTAGCAGAGGCTGAAGACACTGGTTAGGTCCTGGTGCGTGCCTTGGGATGCATCCCAGGCAACGGGCCCAGGAGCTTGAGGTCATGTCCACCTGGCTCACCAGGGAGTCCTGCACCATTCTTCAAACCTAACTGGAAGAGACACTGATCCTCCCACCTAAGGGCTCCCAGAGCCACAGGTCTCTGCCTCTCCTGCAACATCTCCTGCGACCTGTTCCCACCGCCCATGATTCACTCAGTCACCATCCTCAGCAGCACCCGACAGCCTCTGTGTGTCTGTGTCACTCACCATTACCAGCCCCCTCGGTGCCCAATGCATGTATGTTAGATGGAACAAATGCACGGCGGCCTTCAGCAGCACCGACCGCGTCGACCCCTCTCTGTGCTCACACCAGGAGTGATCAGTGCACACGCCCTCCCACAGGATGGGAGAAGGTGATAACACAGCTGAGCTGGGTGTCCAGAAGCCAGCCCCACCCCACAGCCACTACTGAGAGGTTATGAGATCATGGCCTTATCCCGAGTAATGCTGCTGCAGCGAACTGGGTCTTTTTTCCTCTGAATTCGAAGGTGGGGCAGTCTAGGCACCTGGATGCACGGTCTGCTCTGTCCCGGCCTGGTGGCTGCTCACTGTGGGATGCTGTGCGATTAGACAGTTACTATCTTTCCCTGGTTGACGGATTAGAGTTTCCCTTTTCTGAGCATCTTGTTTTGAAGTGATCCGAGGTGTTCAGGATTAAAGAGCGTGATTTTCCCAAACTGTCCAAAAAATAGAAGCAGGTCTGCAAGAGGGGGGTGCCCAGGACCTTGAGATGGAAGCGAGATGGGGTGAGACCTGGGGAGCTCTCCAGGCCGCCGGGAAGCTGCACGTCATCCTCTGGACCTCTTTGCTGACTGTGTGCTGTCACCACAGCAGCCGCCTTCTCTCATCAGTAAACAGGATTTTACGTAACTTTCCATACACTTGGTTGTTGACAATTAAGTAGATTGTTTTTAAAGATACTTGAAATGATATCAGAATTTCCTAAATATATCATTAAAACAGGAAACTTAGTTACCTACGCACTCGAATCACTAGAGAATACCAAATAGGAATAGGAAAATAACACACTGGTAAGAAAAATGTCCAAGGCCAATCACAGGAGTCAAAGCTCGTGATCAAATCAGCTCTGCCTGGGGAGGCCATGCTCATGGCACCATTTAGTGACAAGTGGGTGACTCTGGGGCGAGTTCCAGGGGTGTCACCCCCAAGGCAGCAGCTCAGGTGCAGCCACCATGGAGGCAGTTTCACTGAGGGGCCCTCTGAGGCCCCTACTCTGAGATTCTAAGACAGGGTTTGAAGAATGTTCCAGCATTTGAACAAATGAACCCTATGATGGCCTGCTGTGGGAGAGAACAATGTCCCAATTTTGCCCAGGTGATTTGAACATCTCGGTATGGATCTGTTATGGGTTGGATTTTCTCCTGCCCAAATTCTTATGTTGAAGTCCTTACCCCTGATGGGACTAGATTTGGAGACAGGGCCTTTAGGGAGGTGATTAGCATAAAGTGAGGTCACCAGGTTGGCCCTGATGCAATCTGGCATCCTCCTAAGAGGACATGAGGACACAGACACATACAGAGGGATGATCGTGTGAAGACACAGGGAGAGGATGGCATCTGCATGCCAAGGAGAGAGGCCTCAGGAGGAACCAGCCCTGCCCACACCTTGATCTGGGACTTCCAGCCTCCAGGGTTGTGAGAGAGAAATGTCTGTTGTTTAAGCCATGCAGTCTATGGTGCTTTGTTATGGCAGCTCCAGCAAGCTAACCTGGGATCTAAAATGGTACTTAAACTGGTTCAGTCTGAGTCTAGGATCCTTCCACCAAGAAAGTACCCTAAAAACTGTCCTAACATCCAGGAGTTGAAATCCCACTGGCGGTTGGTCCAGCCCTACATAGATAAATATGTCACAAAGTGTTAACTTCTCTGCTTTTCAGCCTCTGGTGTTTATCTACTTATAGTCTATGTATATTTATGGTTGTATAAATACAGGATGCAGCACCTATGTTTATATTTTCAGATATTGTCTGCATGATAGCGTATACCTTATGCATTAAGTTTATAATCTGCTCTCTATCTAAAATGGTTACTGTGTCCTTGTATCTCCCTCCCATCACAGCGTAGGTGGGCTTCCCTGGGGCCTGTTCCTGGGGAATGCCACCTTCTCTGTCCCCATGGCCCTGTGGCCCCATTGCCTAGATGCTTTGTCTCACCTCCTGCCTTTGTCCTAAGCACCTGCCCCTCTCCTGGCCTCCCTCATCTCCTTTGCCTTCAAAGTTGCCCGTTTTTCAGACCGGCTGCATGTGACCTCCAGAGATCCCACCTGTCTAGCCCTCCTGTCACCTGTGGTGGCTGGTGTGTGAAGCCTGAGGACAGGGACAGCTCAGCGTCCACCTGCAGCCACACCCCCAGGGTGTCTAGTGCTGGAGGTGTGTGTGCAGATGAGTGCACCACGGCCCCTCTGCAAACTCCAAGTGTTTCTTTAGCTGTAGATGGAAACCTGGGGCCTCCCAGCAGGTGAACCCTAAAACACTTTTCCTCTCTCAGCAGTTCAGGGCTCCGTCAGTGTCTGTACCAGTGGATCTAGGCCAGGCTCCCTCCCTCTGAGCAGATGTTGGTCCCTTTGCAGGCCTGCTGTGTGTGATGATTGCTAACCAGGTTATGACAGTGATCTTTAAGTAAGTGGGAATCTTGTGAGTTTTGAGGTTTTTTTTTTTTAATGAAATCTACATGGGATGTTTCAAAGAGAAATAGCAGCCTCTGTATACATTTGTCAAGCAGGAAGCTGGGACTGCGGGGAGTAGGGTGGGGCTGGTTCTCCCACACTCTTGCCCCTCTCAGGTCCTTGCCTTGCATGGGCTGCGGTGGTTCTGCCAGAGTGGATTCGAACCGATAGG
This sequence comes from Homo sapiens, assembly GCF_000001405.40. Taxonomy (NCBI): domain Eukaryota; kingdom Metazoa; phylum Chordata; class Mammalia; order Primates; family Hominidae; genus Homo; species Homo sapiens. The sequence continues at coordinate 314,223 of NC_000008.11, read as the reverse complement.
TTTCGCTGTACCTTGATCAGCATCCTGCTGCTGAGAAAGCCAAAAAGGCCTGGAGCAACCCTCCCGTGTGCCATGTGAGCCTGTTTCCTTTCTGCAGTCACCAGTTCACGCAGCAAGTGTCAGAGCATTCCCGTAAGGCCCGGCTCTCCACAGCTGCCAGGGGAACTTTCTCTGGCAGGGTCTTCTTCACTGTGTGTAGGATACCGCAGCCTTCGAGGCTGGGGAACTGAAGTTTTCATTTTATTCTATTTTAATTAATTTAAATTACAATAAGTATTATCACTAAGTTTATGCAAACACGTGAGGGAATGCTGATTTAGAGCTGGTGGCGTAAGGTCACAGAGCTCCCACGAATCTCACGTGGAAGCCTTGTTTCTCCAGGTTTTTTGTAGTTTGTACTGAATCACACACCATGCTGCTTCCATGTTTTTTCAGGGATTTCCAACACAGATTTTCCTGAGTACCCTGGATTAATCTCCTTTTGGATAGGTCCATGGGGGCCCTGCTGCTTTTTCCCCTTAGCCCTGGGCGAGGTCATCATAGAGGGGGAGTGGCAATGGCTCACAAGGTACTAGTGGAACCCCAGTAAGTTATCTCAGAGCCCGCTTAGAACGCAAGCGCTATGTCCCCCAAAAGCTTTGCAGTGAGCATCTGATGGGAACAAACTCAGTCAAGGACAGGCCCGGGTTGGGGCTTGCAGGCTGCAGATTCAGAATTGTTTATGAGATGGGAGCCATACTTTCTAACAACAAGACCTGAATTTCTCAATTTAATCCAAGTCGTGACTTAAGCTAGCGCCCTTCCGTTCCTCTATTACATTTCTGTTCGGCATGGATCAAATTGTCTACAAGGTAGAACAGATTTGAACTGCAATCTCTGAACCAGAAAATTCACTTATTCTCATGAAAGTTTGTAATCTTTGGAGAGCTGCTTAAAGAAACACTTAAAACCATCTTTCCTCTTTCTATACTCCAAACTTACCTGCTGCAATTTCTTGCTAAGAAGCGAAGTGCTATTTGCCTATTCCTATCTCTCTTTACCTTCAGACACTCCTAAGTTAAGAGCTAGATAATTCGCTCAGCCTCGGGCCAGGCCGAGCCTCACTCTAGAAGTCACATTCCTGAAGTGTAGGGGGTCAAAATGCCTCTCACTGTTCAGAACCAGGTGAGGGGCCAGCCAGGGCACGTCCTGCTCTCCAGGCTTGGTTCAGATAACTGTCAGCCCGGTTTTCAAGAGCACACACCAAAAATGCACCAAAGCTTACATCCATACAAACACCCGCACATGGATGTTTATGGAAGCTTATTTGTTTTTATTCATAATCACCCAAACTCAGAATCAACCAAGATGTCCTTCAGTAGATGAATGGATAAACTGTGGTGTGTCCAGGCAGTGGAATATTATTCAACGCAAAAAGAAATGAGCTATCAAGGCATGAAAAAATATGGGGGAAATTTAAATGCATAAATGAGTGAAAGAAGCCAGTCTGAGAAGGCTACACCCCGTGTGCTTCCAACTACAGGACATCCTGGAAAAAGCAGAATTACCAACACAGTGAAAGATAAGGCCTGGTGGTGTGGGGAAGGATGAACAGGTGGAGCACAGGGATCTTTAAGGCAGACGATCTACTCTGTGTGATACTGCAATGATGAGTTCATGCCACTATATATTTTCCCAAACCTATAGAATGTACAGCACCAGTGGTGAGCCCTGATGTGAGCTGTGGACTCTGGGTGACAATAGTGTGTCAATGGAGGTTCATGGACTGTAACAAATGCATCACTCTGGTGGGGGATGTTGATAATGGGGGAGGCTATGCATGCGGGGAGGTGGGTACGTGGGAAATCTCTGTACTTTCTGCTCAGCTTTGCTCTGAATCTAAAACTGCTCTAAAAATCATTTATTTAAAAATACACCAAAGCAGTGAGGCCGGGCATGCATACAGCCAAAGCCAAATGACATTTGTGTGAGTCAGGTAAATTTGAGATCTGAAAAATGATCACTCCAGGGAGGCTGAGCTGTCAAGGGGCACTTATTGAGAACTTACTTTATGCCCATCTGGTGCTTAGAATTACGAATTAGCTATTATTATTACTAAACAATTCAAAACAAAGTCACTTATCTCAGGGCGCCTTCAATCTTGTTGCCATCGAATCTGACAAAAGTGGAAACAGAACAAAGCTACATACGGCACATTTCCCAGAACATGCCTGGTGGAGCCTGGCCCTGTTGATTGTGTGTGGCGGTCACTTGCAGGAGGGTTCCATGGACAAGTGAGTTTGGGAAATGCTGGGTTGGGCAAATATCAACAGGCTTCCTTACTGCAAGATTTCTCATAGTCAAAACATACTTTAAATCTCCAAGAGGAAGATACAGAGAGCCATGTTTCCCATAATTAGTTGGCCCCAGAAACAGTTTCTTCTGGGAACATTTTGTAAGATTAGTGCTGCTTGAAACATACTGAGGGAGAGGCTAAACTGAGTGGTAGAGATTCATAGACTATTTGGATTCTGGCCCCAGAGTATAAAAGGCCAGGGGGAAAGGACTGTGTTCCTGAGATGGTGAGGTGGAGAAGGGGACGTGTTTCTCCACCACCCACAGAAAGGGCTGAGAAGCCCTGGCACACGGGCTGAATCTGGGAGGTCAGAAGGTGAGGTGAGAGGACAGGAAGACAGCCCATGAGACTTCCAAAGGAAATGGTGAGTCTTACCATGGCTCTCTGGGCTGATGGCAGGGCCTGGAACAAGGTAGGAACTGAGTGTGAGTGCGGGAGGCACCCAGGTCTGAAATGCTCAGGAAGGACCCTAGGACATGAGCAACCTGGGCTGGTCACTCATGGAACCTGAATGATGGAAAGAAGGAAGGGTGATCCTGCTAAGACAGGGTGTTGTGAAGATTTCCTTTCCCTCCGAACTAACATCTCACTCACTTCTCTCAGTTTCCATCGTTATCTTCTGTGGAGTTCTTCATTCCCACATCTGTGGACCTTAAAATCCTACGGTTGAGTGCCTGCCTTGGATCAGCAGTCGGTTCGTTACCTTGGTTCTCAGACGATGCTTGCAACAACGCCATGCGATTCGCCCACTCTTGGGTAGGTGGAGACATTGGGCCTCAGGTGTGGGTAAGTGATTGTGTGACTCCTTGTTAAGCGGCAGAACCGGGACTCAAATTCACACAGATCTGATTCCAAACCCTGTGGCCCTAAGCACAGTGTTATTAGACCATAAGCCCTCTGCAGGGAGATTTCCAGTGCTGATGGCAGGGTCTGTCATGAAGGAGGACTCTGCTGAATTTTTCTTTGAACCCCAGGAAGTGCCTGGCACAGTTCTCTGAAGAAATTAGAATGTAGCTAGTGGTTACAAAAGAAATGAATAAGTCAAGTAAATGGACAGAGCTGTGTGCTAAGAGTTCTTTTGGGACTACAGAAATGGGTCAGAATTGGAAATGTCCAGAAAATACTCTTGGATAATTATGAAAGCCACATATAGGAGCTCAGGTTTAACTCCATACGAAATGAAGAGTCACAAAAGAAAAGGAGGAGGAGCATGTTCAGGCAGAACCTCAAGCTTGAGAGTGCTATGAAATATGTTTGAGACTCAGAAAATAGTTCCTGAAAGAAATGACACATTAATGAATGAAGGTATAGTTATTTGGAGAAAATGAACCTGGATATAAGAGTAACCATATCAAAATGTGTTTCTTTAACTGCAGTCTTCAGAACCTATGAGGTTCGTTGGTATATTCTTGGGAACTATGTGTGTTTGAGAAACATATTTCTGCTGCCAAACTGACAGTCACCTCAAATCCATCACAGCACTTATGACGAATTCTTTTCAAATTAAATGCTGTAAATAAAATACTTCTCTTTTTTACTGTTAAGTCACAATTTAAAAGTGTTTTCTTACTGAACTACATGTTGGTCCCTCAGGTAAAGATTTCTTGAGTCTCAGGTCTTTGGGGTCTTTGAGGAGTGTGACTTCTCAGATTGGATGACACTGATCTAACTGGCTGTAGTATCCATTCAAGCATGAGGGAGGTCAGATCCTGGGAAAGCTCAGGTCCAAACAGCTCTTGAAAGAGGACGTTGCAGGGCAGGCAGGCTGCTTTGCACAAAGGGACCTGTAGACACTGAGAACATCAGTATACCAGGAACCAGCCCACCCTTTCACTCTGCCAGACACGAGGCTGTGGGCTACCCATCTTTCCCTGTCTCCTGAACTCATAGCAAAAACAAAAAACTTCACTTGTTTGTTAACACATATAGTTCAAGACGGAAAGGCTTACACTGAGGCAGAAAGGGTTGAGGTTTATCAGCATCTTCGCTTTGAGGCCTCATAATGTACTTCCCATGGACTAAAGTTGTTCACTTTCTTTAGAGGATATTAGCTAAAGATGTGGTAAAACCACGTTTTTGCAGAAAAGTGAATATTCAAAAACAAATGTATATGGTGATTATTTAATAGTTTTCACTCCACTTCGCAACTCAACTTTTGGTTGATGCAAGAGGGATGCGAAGGGAGAATTGTGCTTATAATTCCAGCATTGTGGTGGAATAAAAGAGCACAGCATTGCAGCTGTTGAATATAGTTTTTTTCTTTTTATAGGCAGTTTTAAGAAGAATGCATTGATTCTACAACATGCTATTGTGAAGCCATCCGGGACTGTTCACTCACTGATTTAAGAAAGGTGTATTTTCCACTTGAGGTGTGAGAGAAAGTGTGGTGTTCACTCATTGCTCTTCCTTCTGGCTTTTATTTTTCTTACTTTTAGAGAAAATAAGAGAAGTATCCCTGAAGGATGAAATATCCTCAAATATGAAAAGGTCTGCTCTCTGAAGACCAACTGTCTCAGTCTGCTTTTTGCTGCTGTAACAGAATACCACAGACTTGGTAATTTATAAACAGTAGAAGTCCATGTGGCTTATGCTTCTGGAGGCTGGGAAGTCCCAGATTAAGGGCTGCATCGGTAAGGGCTTCTCGCTGCCTTATCACATGGCAGAAGGCACCATGTGGTGAGACAGTGAGGAAGGGCTGATTTCACTTTCACAACAAACCCACTCCCATGATAATGGCATTAATCCATTCAGCAGGGCAGAGCCTTTGTGACCCCATCACTTCTTAAGGCTCCCGCTCAGCATGGTTGCACTGGGGTTAAATTTCTAACACCTGAACTTTGGGGACATGTTCAAACCGTAGCCAGGGCCCTGAGAAACCCATTTCCACTGACTTCAAAATAGTTCATGAAAATGGAGTGCTGAGAGAGCAGCAGGGCATTCACAAGAATGGTTTTGAGAGGCCTCACTGTGCCAGGCATAGCCCTCAGGGCAGGCAGCTCTGCACAGCCCTCCATGGCAGCAGCTGGTCAGGCTGCCCAAACTCACCACTTTGGAATCACTTCAGCACCAGCTATCTTCCCTTGAAATCAATTGTCTGCAGCTTTTAAACTCGTTTCTATGTGCCCAGTAGGCAGAGAAGCCTTCAGAGAAGGATCCTGACTCGGTGGTTTGTGCAGTGACATTTGGCAGTGTTTGCTCGGCAAGAGAGCCTTTGAGGCTGCCCTCATGCTGCTCAGTGGGCACACCAAGAACAAGAGCTGGCCAGGGATGACGGACGCATCTAGGCCTTCTCGGCCTAAGGGCAAGTCCCATTCTTCCTTGATAGGTCTTTAGATGTACCAGTCAGCAAATGTCATCCCCCTCTGCATTCACGTCATGCTGTGCAGGGAATGCTAAACAGAGGTAGATCTAAACTTAGGAGTTAGGCTTCTTCTCCATGGAGATGTGGATCTGCACAGACAAAGTGTCCAAGTGGGATTTTCCTGCTATTTCAAAGACTGCTGCTGCACCCTGCTGGCTCTTCCTGCACTCCCTGCCTCCAGGAATGACTGTGTCTCTTTGAATTAGTGAAGTCATCAACTTTTATTTTAATCTCTTTTTATTATTATTATTATTATACTTTAAGTTTTAGGGTACATGTGCACATTGTGCAAGTTAGTTACATATGTATACATGTGCCATGCAGGTGCGCTGCACCCACTAACTCATCATCTAGCATTAGGTATATCTCCCAGTGCTGTCCCTCCCCCCTCCGCCCACCCCACAACAGTCCCCAGAGTGTGATGTTCCCCTTCCTGTGTCCACGTGTTCTCATTGTTCAATTCCCACCTATGAGTGAGAATATGTGGTGTTTGGTTTTTTGTTCTTGCGATAGTTTACTGAGAATGATGATTTCCAATTTCATCCATGTCCCTACAAAGGATATGAACTCATCATTTTTTATGGCTGCATAGTATTCCATGGTGTATATGTGCCACATTTTCTTAATCCCGTCTATCATTGTTGGACATTTGGGTTGGTTCCAAGTCTTTGCTATTGTGAATAATGCCACAATAAACATACGTGTGCATGTGTCTTTATAGCAGCATGATTTATAGTCCTTTGGGTATATACCCAGTAATGGGATGGCTGGGTCAAATGGTATTTCTAGTTCTAGATCCCTCATCAACCTTTTTAAAAAGCATTTAGGAGCTGCTGGTTGTAAATGATCACTGAGAAATAGTATTTCCCTCACTTGTAGCCATCTGCTTCTCTTTTTGGTTCTGGAACATTCTAGAACCTTGGAAGGTGGCTGGGGCTGAGTCTCAGCCAGCAGGGTTGCCCAGTGCCCCTTGTCACCCCCCGAGCAACACAAGCCAGGCTGCGGTTACTCTGGGTCTGTGCATCTGGGATCATAGTTTTTAAATCTGCCCCAGGGTCCTCCAGTCCCAGCTGTGGAAAGTCACCCTCAGAGGGTGAGGCGGGTGGCGCGCCTCTGTGTGAGTGGCCCCATCCTTCACAGCGAGTTTGTGTCTACTGAATCGCAGACTCTTGGAGGCTGAAGGGTTACAGGAGGTCGTGTGTCTCACGTCGCCACTTCACGGTTGAGGACCTCGTGACCCGCTTTGCTCAGTGGCTGCGCAAGATGAGTAATGACCTGAAACAGGGAAAATGTCTTGGATACATCTTGCGTAATGAGGAGAAAAATGCAGCCATGTTGCAGCCTGATGAAATACTCTGCCAGTATCCTGCCATAAAATGACAGGCGAATTTTCAGTAACAGATTCTCTAATAGTTCTATGGTCTTCTAGATGCTAAACTGTTTAAGTATCTACATTTTCTAAGCCCGCCTAATGGAAATATTCTCAAAAAACATAAACCCTTCATTCTTTCTCAAATAGGTTACATTAGTTATAATATACACTCTGGAGGTGACTTGACCCATCATTGTGAACAACTATTGCTCTTGGACGACCCAGGACTTAGGCCAGCCAGTACGTACCCCAGTGTGTTGGAGAATCGCGCTCGGCTTCTTCCTCTGTGCTGAGTCATGAAAGTTGCCGGAGCAGGTGCAGTTACACAACCTCCAGGCAACATCACATGATCGTTCAAAAAATAATCATCAAGTCCAGGATGCAGCATCTGTCTCAGTTTTGGGCATAGGATGACAGTCTGAAATACACTTACTGAATTTGAATAAGAACGGGCTCAGGTCAGTGATTATCGCTAGTGCCTTATCAACGCCCCGTGGCTTTTCAGCATTAGTCCCCATATCCTCGTCCGGTGTGGCACTGAGAGCAGCTAACTGTTACCCTCGTTGGTTCCCAGTTGGCTTCCGTGACTGGTCAGGGTCAGGTCCACTGCCAACAGGCTGGTGTTGAATCCCTTGGAGAAACACAGACATTCTGACCCTAAATTATGCTTTCAATGCCATGTGTTTTCTTATCACAAAAATCCTTGTTCTCAAGTTTTTTCTTTCTTTATTTTTATTTCATTTCATTTTTTAGCATTCCTCCACAATTCATTGCCCAAATCTACTTTTTACTCAATTTACTTGCTTTGGTCATTTTTCAATATAGCACTTTAATTTCTTAGGCAAATATTTTCAACATTCTCCTGTTTTCTCAAGGATGTATGTTTTCTCCCCAAGTATGATCCTGTTTAAGGACTGGATTTAGGATAACTACTTAGAGGTTAAAAGTCACAAGGGTGTATGGATGAGGCTGGAGTGATCTGGGACCAAAGGTATGGGTGATAAAGCAGAGTATCTAAGCAGCTCCTGGGATTGGTGTCTTTAAAAAAATAATAATGCATTTGCTTATTTTAGAGACAGGGTCTCACTATGTTGCCCAGGCTAGACTTGAACTCCTGGGCTCAAGGGATCCTCCCACCTCAGCCTCCTAAGTAGCTGAAACTGCAGGCATGAGCCACCACACTCAACTCGGTATCTTTTTTTTTTTTTTTTTTTGGAGATGGAGTCTCGCTTTGTCCGCCAGGCTGGAGTGCAGTGCTGTGATCTCAGCTCACTGCAATCTCCACCTCCCGGGTTCTAGCTATTCTTCTGCCTCAGCCTCCTGAGTAGGTAGGATTACAGGCGTGCGCCACCATGCCCGCCTAATTTTTGTATTTTCAGTAGAGACGCGGTTTCGCCATCTTGGCCAGGCTGGTCTTGAACTCCTGACCTCAAGTGATCTGCCCGCCTCGGCCTCCCAAAGTGCTGGGATTACAGGCATGAGCCACTGTGCCCTGCCTAGCTCACTATCTTTTAATCAGTAGAGATTCTTTAGTTATTTTTTAACTCCATGGATCCCAAGCTTTGATTTTTGTTTTCCAAACAAATTGCATTTATAAATAATAATTTTTATTTATAATCAACAGACATCTAGGCTTGCTGTCAAGGCTTCTGATCAACATGAGATGACCGCCGTGTGGTAAACTGATGAACCCCGACCCTGATCAACGTGAGATGACCGCCGTGTGGTAAACTGATGAACCCCGACCCTGATGAACATGAGATGACCGCCGTGTGGTAAACTGATGAACCCCGACCCTGATCAACATGAGATGACCGCCGTGTGGTAAACTGATGAACCCCGACCCTGATCAACATGAGATGACCGCCGTGTGGTAAACTGATGAACCCCGACCCTGATGAACGTGAGATGACCGCCGTGTCGTAAACTGATGAACCCCGACCCTGATGAACGTGAGATGGCCGCCGTGTGGTAAACTGATGAACCCCGACCCTGATGAACGTGAGATGGCCGCCGTGTGGTAAACTGATGAACCCCGACCCTGATGAACGTGAGATGGCCGCCGTGTGGTAAACTGATGAACCCCGACCCTGATGAACGTGAGATGACCGCCGTGTGGTAAACTGATGAACCCCGACCCTGATGAACGTGAGATGGCCGCCGTGTGGTAAACTGATGAACCCCGACCCTGATCAACGTGAGATGGCCGCCGTGTGGTAAACTGATGAACCCCGACCCTGATGAACATGAGATGGCCGCCGTGTGGTAAACTGATGAACCCCGACCCTGATGAACGTGAGATGACCGCCGTGTGGTAAACTGATGAACCCCGACCCTGATGAACGTGAGATGACCGCCGTGTGGTAAACTGATGAACCCCGACCCTGATCAACGTGAGATGGCCGCCGTGTGGTAAACTGATGAACCCCGACCCTGATGAACGTGAGATGGCCGCCGTGTGGTAAACTGATGAACCCCGACCCTGATGAACGTGAGATGGCCGCCGTGTGGTAAACTGATGAACCCCGACCCTGATGAACGTGAGATGGCCGCCGTGTGGTAAACTGATGAACCCCGACCCTGATCAACGTGAGATGGCCGCCGTGTGGTAAACTGATGAACCCCGACCCTGATGAACGTGAGATGGCCGCCGTGTGGTAAACTGATGAACCCCGACCCTGATGAACGTGAGATGGCCGCCGTGTGGTAAACTGATGAACCCCGACCCTGATCAACGTGAGATGGCCGCCGTGTGGTAAACTGATGAACCCCGACCCTGATGAACGTGAGATGGCCGCCGTGTGGTAAACTGATGAACCCCGACCCTGATGAACGTGAGATGGCCGCCGTGTGGTAAACTGATGAACCCCGACCCTGATGAACGTGAGATGGCCGCCGTGTGGTAAACTGATGAACCCCGACCCTGATGAACGTGAGATGGCCGCCGTGTGGTAAACTGATGAACCCCGACCCTGATGAACGTGAGATGGCCGCCGTGTGGTAAACTGATGAACCCCGACCCTGATCAACGTGAGATGACCGCCGTGTGGTAAACTGATGAACCCCGACCCTGATCAACGTGAGATGACCGCCGTGTGGTAAACTGATGAACCCCGACCCTGATCAACGTGAGATGGCCGCCGTGTGGTAAACTGATGAACCCCGACCCTGATGAACGTGAGATGGCCGCCGTGTGGTAAACTGATGAACCCCGACCCTGATCAACATGAGATGACCGCCGTGTGGTAAACTGATGAACCCCGACCCTGATGAACATGAGATGGCTGCCGTGTGGTAAACTGATGAACCCCGACCCTGATGAACATGAGATGACCGCCGTGTGGTAAACTGATGAACCCCGACCCTGATGAACATGAGATGGCCGCCGTGTGGTAAACTGATGAACCCCGACCCTGATGAACGTGAGATGGCCGCCGTGTGGTAAACTGATGAACCCCGACCCTGATCAACATGAGATGACTGCCGTGTGGTAAACTGATGAACCCCGACACTGATCAACATGAGATGGCCGCTGTGTGGTAAACTGATGAACCCTGGCCCATTAGGCTTTGGCTACAGAATGTGGAAATAAGTTGTGTTACTACATGTGTGTAATCCTAGGGTTCAGGACACAGGCTGGGAGGTTCCATAGAGTGATGGGTTGTGCAGGTAACTCATCCTCTAGTCCTCTGTAAGCTCCTAGAAGGAAGAAATTATGTCCTTTAGACTAATAAAATTCCTCCAAACCAAATACAGCACCTACTGTGAAGACACAAAGATACTTTTAGAATAGTAAAAACTTTATCCATTGAGAAATTCCTTAATGAAACAGTATCCAAGAAGTCATTTGCCAGCAGATTTCTTAGAGGTGCGATAAAGAAGAGGACATTGCCAGTCGTCACAGCAGCTGCAATAGCTCCTCTCTATTGTTAAACAGTGGGATATCTTGTACAGGTTTTCAGTTGACAATCAATTTTAAAGATTAGTTTCAGTCCCCATCAATCAATTATTTATTAACCCATCAATAAAAATTTAAATGCTCTGTGAGGTACAATAGCTATTAAAAGAGACAGAGGCACTTTCTGTGTCCAGAGGGGCTTTTAGTCTGCTCTGGAAAGCAAGATGTGTGCAGATGAGTGATGCAGTGCATCGTGTGGATGCAAAGGGAGGGACTCACATGGGAACCAGAGGAGCTATGAAGGGAGGCAGCGGGGACTGGTGGGTCGAGACCTGGAAATAACACATGAATAGGCAACAAAGGTTTCCGTTCCTCTTCCATGCACTTCAGTCCTTGAAAAATGTCTTACCACAGAATTCCACAGCGTACCAAGCGATTCCACAGCTTGATGGCACACTGTCCTTTCTCAGCATTCTTGAAAATGGCATGTGAGCCAAGCCATCTTACTGAGAAATTACCTTAAACCATTTGATGAACCAAAAATATTTTGTAATACCCATCTCTGACATTAGGTAGGCAAATCACACAGAAACAGTGAGGTCTTCTGAGTCATATTTATCTGAAAAATCACAGCTTGGGTGCATGTGAAGCCAGAGGGGCAGTCCTGGGGCCTGCGGTGCCATCGCTCAGCTCCCCTGGGCTTCACATGGCCATGGAGCATCCAGCAAGTGCAGGCTCTGAGCCTTCAGGGAGGGGCGGCATCAGCCAGCACCATCGTCTCCTGGGTCTTGTGCCTCTTCCTTGGTTGCGGTGTTGTCAGGGCCAGAATGGGGCAGTTCCGGGTGACATCCAGGTGTGGTTGCTGATACGGAGCACAGGTGAGGTTCACTGGGTTAAGTGGGCCATGGCCTTGGGCTTCTAGTGCAGAGCACACCATCCACTCAGCATGTGAACCCAGCTCCAAAGTGTATGTGTGCATGTGTGTACCTGTGCACATTGCGCATGTCTCTGTGTATGCATGTGCTTTGATGCATGTTGATGTACAGGTGTATCTGTGTATTGTGTACGCACACATACAAGCATATGTTTGTGTACATGAATTTGTATTGCACATGTGTTTAATGTGAACACGTATGTGTTGTCATGTGTATGTGTTCACATGCATGTGTGTCTGTGTGTGTATTGTGTGCAACAATGTGTGCATGTGTGTATATGTGGGTTTGTGTTTGTACAGTGTGTGTAGTGTGTGTACACATATACACCTGTGTGCATATGTACATGGTATTTAAGCATGTTTGCATGTGTGTTTGTGCTTGCATGTGCTGCGTGTTTGTGTTGGTGGGATGTGGGGAGGCTGCTGTGGAGACAAAAGCTGGAGAGAACTTGGTAGAGTAACCCAGGTCGGGAAATGGCACCTGCAAAGGAAGGCTGGAGTACCTGGGATTCACGTTGAAATGGCCAATCCATCAGCTGGGCTGGACACAGCCATCACACTGGGCAGCTGTGAGGTTAAAACAGAAAGTCTGGGCTGTGGGGAGGCTGAGAATTGAGACGCATGTATGAGATGAGTCACGAGGGCCAAGTGGTGTGTGTGAGAAAGCAGGCACAGCACCACTAAACACTAAGGAGATTTCAGGGGAGTTACGGGTGGAGGGAGGACATCAGATCTACCCTGGAAGTTAAACGTGTTTCGAGTGCATTAAATACTATGGGCCGCAGACGCCTTGTCTCCATATCTACTCTTTTATAAATGAAGTAAAGTTCTTGGGAAATACTTTTCTCACTGTAAAGCTCACAATCTATCTTGCAAAAAATATTTTAAATTCCATCTCAAATAAGCCAGGGTGAAAAGGGAGCCTGTGCACCAGACACTGCCAGCCTTGCCTGGTTCTCGCCTTCTTGCTCTTCCTTCCCCAGCTGCTGGGGATTTTCTTAACGATGGAGATGGGTTTGGGTTTGTCCTGCTGTGCTCTGCTCCCCATTCCCGGATCCAAGGTCATGCCTCTGTCCTGTCCCCTGAGCCACCTCAGGGATACAGGGTCCCCCACCTGGTCAAGTGCCCAGTGCTGTGCTGTCATTTGCAATTTCTTCCTGTGACTGAACTCCAAATGGCACTGGGACTGCTGACTCCACCCATTGGACACCCCGTGTTCTTGCTTTTGGGGTTTCTGAAACAGCCCCAAGACTCTGGGCATCTTGATTTTGCTCCCATTGCTTCTCAGGACGCCCTCCTCCTGTGGTTTGCAGCCCCGGCCTTCTCTTCGAGGACGCCTCTGCTCTTCTGCCTCACACTCGGATTGTACCTTCTTCAGCACAGCCAGTGGCCGAGGCTTCCTCCCTGGGGCTCAGTGGAGCAGGACAGATGCTGCATCCAAACTCTTCCATTGGGTTCCAGTCTGTTCCAGTCATGCCCTTGAGACTCTAAAGCTCCTAGGTAAGAGACGTAGCAGCTGACAGCACTTCCCACTCGATTTGGGTGGACTCCAGCCTCCCCAGCAACAATAAGAGATCAAAGGCATCGTCGAGGAAGCAGCTTGCTGAAACGCTGAGTGCCCGCCACTCTCAGGTCAGGTGGGACCAGCAGGCCAGCGTGAGTTCCTGAACACTTGGTTCTCAATACTGGCCACAGCCACACTGTAAGGGGAAACAAGAGGGCACTGTATGCAAACATCTCTTGAACTCTGGAGTCTGCTCACCTTCCTGCCTCAAGCCCCTCTCCCACGTGGTCCAGTCACCATTCTCCACAGAGACTACCCTAAAACCCAGCGACTCTCGTGTGCCTGCAGAATGGCGCAGCCCGTTCTCATAGCAGCACTCCTGTTTAATCAGAGGGATGTTAACGACCAAGTCATATTTGCTCGATTTGTGTTCAATATATTTCATTTCTACTGATAAAACTTAAAAATATCCCCACACATGCATTGCCTGTTAAAGAGTATCTTCCAGGTACACCTCCCTTACACATCAGTTAACTTGATAATTTCTTCCCATTCTTGTACAATAAATTTCCTTCCTGATCAGCTCTGTCCAGCAGCAACAACAATCCACGTAGAGACATGCAAACTAAAAGTCCGTTAGTGGAGGCACGAAGCTGATGAGGCTTGGAAAAAAATGACCGATTTGATTAAAATTAGGACCCATGGGAGTGGAGCTCTGCCTATTTTAGAGGCAAAGTAAATGCCTGGGAGTCCAATCACCGACATTCTGTTTGAGGTTTCTAATCACAAGGAAGATGGAGAAAATGCAGAACAAGTGGTCAAGAACAGGGAGATAATAAATAGAATATTTATGGGCTGAGGAAAACAATTACCAGGGGAAAGCCCAAGAAGCAAAGATGAACAGAGAACGTGCTGACTGCGCTCGTTTGGAAAGGCCTCATGGCCAAAGGAGGAGAGGCATTATGAGGAGCAGTGACCGAGTGGGCAGGACCCCCGGGGATCAGGAAAGGTGCACGGGGGGAGATGAGAGGCCTGAGCGGCTTCCCAGCGAAGGTTTTTGAAGCACGGTTTGATTTTCTCTCTCCCCCTCACCATCCCCAGATTTTAGTTGTGACTATCTCCAGGTACATGGCTTGCGACAGGCGGTGTATAAAAACTAATGTGAGTTTAATTTTAAAACCTTAGCCATTTTCTGGAACTTAAATATCAAAGAGAAAATGTCCACATATGATGTTAATTGAGGTTTGTCTCACTGGTGATTTGTGCTGATTCAATTCCTGTTTCTTTTTTTTTTTCTTAAGGGGTCAGTTTTAGAATTGGGAGATAGGTGTATAACATATGACTATACAGCGCAGGTTGGTTTTTTAACATAGAAATATCTGCCTTTAAATGAGAACTGAAAACGGAGCTTCTTGGAGGCCACCTGCTGGTGGCAGTGATCTGACCGCTGTTTAAGCTTTCTTTGAACTCCTTTTTGTAAAACAGCCTCCATAATCAATGGTGTACGATCTACTCTCTGGTGGTAAAACTTACTCAGTGAAGAGTGTGTTTTATTTTCTGAGGAGCTGAACTGTTCCAACCTGAGTATTCTGAATAAGGACAGTGGTCGAGCATGAGTGATGCCATCTGGGCTTAGAAATAAGTGGGCCTAAAATCTGATTGTTTTCATACATTGTTCAGATATTGACTTAAATAGCAATTTATTTTTTAAAAAATGATTGGTATCCGGAACTTGCAACAGCTGTGTGTGGCTTGAAGGGAGAAGAAGTGGTGAAGGCCTGGTTTCCACCGAAGCTCTCACAGCCCAGCCTTTCACTGTGTGGCCGGGGGAAGGGTGCTCCGGGTGGGGGACGGGAATGGTGGGACTGGGGATGCCACGGGACAAGGCTGCTGGCCTGGAAGGTGGTCCCGTGGAGAACCGCAGGAGATGAGATTGGAAAGTAGTAATAAGCCATGTGGATAAGAACAGAGGAGCGGGTTTTAAGGGGGACGTCCTGAAATGCTGCTCATGTCGTTTCAGTTCCATAGACCACAGGAAATGCAGGTGAGAGGGCAGCCCGGTGGGAAGGAAGGAAGAGGGTGGTGGTGAGCCAGGTGAGTGTGGAGCCGCCCAGGGCACCGTGCTGTGCTATAGCTCAGGCATCGGGTGCTTCTGCCAAACCCTTCAGCACCTGGTTTGGGGCCAACTTCCTTCCTGTGTGAGAGAAGGCAGAGCCTAGGCAGCATTCCAAACCCCATCCAGATGGGAGGCTGAGTGCAGAGCAAACGGAGCCCAGCACTCCAGAGCCGTGTCCCTTCACTGCCACGATCACATCACAAACAGCGAGGCTTGGAGAGGACTTGAGAGCTCCTTCAATGCCATCTTCCATCCACTGCGTGAGCCAGAATAGAAAAAAAGGAATAAGAAGAGGTCGGTTAAGTTCTCTATTAAGTTGAGAAAATGGGAACTTCAGGTGATCATGTGAGATATTCAAGTTAAAAAAATTATTTAAAAAGCACATTCTTATTATTAAAATTTTAGAAAGTACAGAGAAAGAAATTTTAATAACCTACATCTAGAACACTAAGATACCGGTAACTTAGAAAAATGTGTAGTTAATGCCCTGATGGATTCTTTTCTATTTTTTTCTCTAGCAATATTTATGTCTATCCACAGAAAGCATACACTCATGTATTTGCATGGCTAATATATTTTATGTAAAGTTCTATATATTTCTCAACATTTCACTTAATATTTCTTTATAAACATTTTTCCAGTGGATAAAAATTTTTCAAAACAGTAATTTTAATGACTATATAACATTTCATTGCATTTATATATCATTTGTTATTTAACTACTTCATCATTTTGGATTCACATATTTTCAATAATTTCCATTATAATAATACTGTCATGAATACCTTTGTACAAGAATATTTATATTTCTAATTATTTCCTTAGTCTAGTATCCTAAAAACTAAAATTCCTACATCAAAAGTTCAATGTGTATCATAGCTCTTGATTGACATATTGATTTCCATGAAGCTTTCATCAATTAACCCATGGATAGTGTCTGCAAGTGCCCCTCTCCCCGTACCTTCAACAATGTGGACTCTTATTGGAAGTATCTAAATTTCACTTCAGAATTGCAACCCTGAGTTATTAAACACACCTCTACTACACCTATGAAATTGTCTACAAATTGTCTTAGTTCCTTTTCAGCTTTGATTTCTAGAATTGTATGACATTGAAGACAAATGATATAATACCCATAAAGAAGGTTTTATGACCTCTTTCATTATCTCCAACAATCAGAAAGGCAAATTCACAGTAGAGGGCTGAGAAATCTTATCTGAAAATTAACTAAAATGCTGCTTTTCTCAACAGAATAACTTGGGCTTCATTTCATTCCACAATTTCCTGTGTACTGTTTATTACAAGAAGAAAAAATTTCCTGCCATACAAAATGCTCCATGCAGGTAGAACCAGGAATCTAAAGAAACCTGAGGAAGGTGCTAGAATCATCACTACCATCTTTTTTTTTTTTTTTTTTTAATGGAGACAGGGTCTTGCTCTTCACCCAGGCTGCAGTGCAGTTGTACAACCTTGGCTCACTACAACCTCCACCTCCAGGGGCTCAAGCGATCCTCCCACCTCAGCTTCCTGAGTAGCTGGGACCACAGGCAAACGCCCCTGTGCCCAGCTAATTTTTAAACTTTTTTGTAGCAACAAGTTCTCACTATGTTGCCCAGGCTGGTCTTGGACTCCTGGGCTCAAACAATCCTCCTGCCTTGGCCTCCCAAAATGCTGGGATTCCAGGCAGGAGCCACTGTACCTGGCCCCACCTTCTTTTTGCTGTAGGCTGAGCACAGGAGAAGTTGAATTTATCAGGGAACCTAAAGACATGCCCTTCTTTGAAGGCAGAAGTCCTGTCCACGTCAAATGCCCTCCCTGCATCCCTCCCAGCTCCCCAGTCATCCTTCCTATTCTAGGCTCCAGGAGCGAGACCTCCTCCCTGTGCCTGCTAACGTCAGTGCCACAGGCCCTCTTTGGTTCTCCTGCCCACCTTCTCTGACTCTGCCCAACACCCACGGGCCAGAGGCCCTTTTCCTTCTTGGCACTTCTCGGTGGTGTAGCAGGATGAGCCACGGACAAAACCCCTCAGGCGCCGGGTTAAGGAATGATTTGGTTTTATTCGGCCAGGAGCTTCAGCGGACTCAAGTCTCAAGAACCGAACTCTCTGAAGACAGAGCTCCTGGCCCTTTTAAGGGTTTGCAACTCTAAGGGGTTCCACGTGAAAGGGTCGTGATAGATTGAGAGCACATGCGTTTAGAGTGGGGTTGGGGGTTAATCTTTTAACCTCAGGCCTGATCATCAGGGGCACCAGCTGGTCTTGCCACTGACTTCATTCCTGTTGTTTTTCAACTTTTACTTCCTGCTCCTCTTCAGACAGGAGACAGTAAGAGAAATGGCCTGTCTCCTCAGCGGCACAATGGACTTTAGACATCGCGCCTGTTTTGTACTCTCCAAGCCGGACTTCTCTACTCGCTGGCCTGGCGCTGATGCCCAGAGGCCCCCTGTGCTTGTGGTCGTGGCCTTAGACAGTTCCCTGCCCTTTGTAAGTACTAACTTAACTCTTGAATGTGGACGTTTTAAGCTGACTTTTCTTCTCAGCCCTCTGTAAGAGTTTCTAATCTCCCCATAGCAATCAATGTAATTGTTTTCACCCAGGGTGCTGGTCCTGGCTGCTTCGATTTTAAAGTAATCTCTCATTTTGCTGAGGAGAATTTATTAGAGTAAATGACTGTTTTCACCTGTCATGTCACATTAAAATGTGGAGAGAACTGGTTGTAGGGGCAGTCAAACTGGCTGTGAGACCCTTCGAGCAGCCATGCATCTCCTGGACAGCTCGAACACTGATCAGGGAGGAGATACTGAAAATAAGAAATAAGAATTGCCTTTATATGTGTGTATGAGTATAGACACATACATCATGTACATGTATGTATGTGCATATGTGTGCATGTGAAGATGGATAGATGATAGATACATAGGTGATTTATGTATAGGTAGATGACAGATATTGGTAATTAATTGATAGATAGTAGATAGGTTGATAGTATATAGATGATTGATAGATGGTTGATAGATCATTGATAGATGATAGGTAGATAGTAGATAGAGGATAGATAGATAATGATAGATGATAGGTAGATAGTAGATAGATGTGATAGGTAGATGGTAGATAGAGATGATGATAGTTGGATGATGGATGGATGGATGATAGGTGATTGATAGATGGTAGATAGGTGGATGGTAGATAGAGATGGTAGATAAATAGATGGATGATGGATGGATGATAGATAGCTGATAGTAGATAAGGTAGATAGTAGATAGATGGATGGATGATAGATGATTGATAGAGAGATAGAGAGAGAGAGAAGGATGATAGACTGAGCATCATAACTTCACTGAATGCTACCAGTTGGATTCAAAAGTCAGCAAACTGAAACGTCGAATTTCAGCCAGCTATCAGAAATATTGTAATCTGACAACAAAAGATAAACAAGGGGACATGGAAATGGCAGCTCTTCCAGAAGCTGCACCTCTCAGCATGGGCACAGAGCCGCAGAAGTGGAGCCAGAGTCCTCTCCACATCTCCTCTGGGTCGGCGTTATCATTGTCACAATGGCTGGAGGCCGGACCTTGTGAAGGCAAAGGCATACGATGCTTTCTTGCTTCTGCTGTTTGGTGACTCCCTTACTCATTCCCTCTGCGGTGGCTGAGGGGCTGATGATCAGTTCCTCTGCCCAGAATGCCCTGACCATGCTGGGTGTCTGTCCTCCCTAGACCTGGGTCTGCAGGATGACAAGGACCCTGCAGCAGAAACTCCTCTGTCTCTTCCCTGAGCACCGTCTTCCATGCTGCCTGACTATGGTGCTGGTTCCCCTCTGATATGGAGATTCGTGGAGAATGACCAGGGTATTTTATGTGGCAATGGGGGTTGAAGCCCAGTTCAAAATGGCTTAGTATAAGTAACCAAAAGTCCCAGTGTGAGCATCAGGCATGGCTGGATCCAGGTGCTCAGCACCATCTGGACGTTTGTCTCCATCTTTGACTCTGCTGTCTCTGTGTTGGCTTCATTTCTAAGATGGTTTTCTCTGCACAGCTGTAACAAAGCTCAGGGCTTGCATGATGCTTTGCAGCCAGTACATCAGAGAGGACTTTCCCTCAAGACTTCTGGCAAAAGTTGGGGTAACTTGCTGTTCTTGCTGGGGTCAGGAGCCGTCTTGCACCAATCTCAGAGGCCAGGGGATGGAGAACTCTCCTAGGGTAGTCCCAGGTTCTGTGCCTCCCCTGAAAACACAAGGTCGGAGCCTCCCCATCCAAATTAATGCTCAGACTGTCAGGGAGGAATGACTTCCAAAGAAAAACCAAGGGCCCTTATGAAGAAAAGGAAGGGGTGCACCTACAGTTGCCACTTCTGTTTGGAAGTGAGGGAGGGGAGGGCAGATTCCCTTGGCTTGTTCCCTAGGACAGCTGTACTTAGGTTTTACTACACAGTCCCCTGAAAATGCTTCTCTCATTAGTGTTGTGCCTCTCTCATGCCTCTTTCCTTGGATAAAGAGCAACCACATTACGAGCCACACTTGGTGCTGGTGCTGTGGCATGCAACACTACCTAATGCGAGAGAAAGATGTGAGCAAATATCTGGAATATACAAATATAATACAAAAATACAAATATAATCAGTTATACAGCAAACAGCTGTGGGAACAGCAGCTCTGCTTGCAGGGTTGGGTAGTGGAAGGTTGAGTTGATAGCATTTGGATTGGGCTTTGAAGTATGACTAGGAGCTTACCAGATAGAGAAGTGGTGTTTGGACATTGTATGAGAAGGAAACACAATCTGAGAAGGTGTACCATCCTAAGTGAATCTGTCACAGAAGCGAGAAGATGCTGTGTAAACCGGAATAATGCTTGTGAGCATGGATCTTGATCCCTTCGTGAGCAATAAATGATTTTGTGAATAAATTGAAAAATGCTAAATTAGATCATAGGATGTGTTTGCAGGGGTGGGGAGAGAGGAGAGCGTCGAAACTGGGGAAGTGGGGAACCAGAGATGGCAAAGCCTGGGACTTCCAGCTTCACCCACAGGACGCGAGGAGCCTCATCAGTATCACCCGCACAAGCAAGCTCCCATGAAGGCAGCGGTGTCCAGGCTCTGTCGCGTCCTTTCTTTGCAGCCTGGGCCTTGGTTTCTTGCAGGTGCTATGCCCAAAGGTTAGATTGACAGATGTGGCCGTGTCTATCAGGGAACATGGACTGAGGTCGGTGCTTTCAAGCACACTCACTTTTCACTGTGTTCAGAGGGGGTGGGAAACCTCCCCTAAGGAGGAGATATGACGTGTGCAGATTGAGAGCTGGGGCCACACGGATTCCTCCAGGGGCAAGGGCTGGTGACCTTGCAGTAACTTCCAGAGGCCTCAGCACCCTCCTCTGCACAATGGTGTTGGGCTAGCCAGGGCACCACAGAAAGGGTCAGCAAGGCACACCCTCGTCTATTGCCCAGGCACACATGGGCATCCATGACAGCCATGCACGTGTTAGAGCCTGACCAGAGCTGCAGCCTCCTTTGGCTGAGGTTGGAAAAGCGGAGATGTGTTCACAGTTGGAGAATTGGTATGCCTTAGCCAAGTGACATCCCTGTCCTTGGAAACTTATTCTGGGGTCACAGAATTAATTCCCCAGGATTGGGTGTCACGAGGAGGTGGTTCCTGTGGCTGAAAACCACCAACACCTCCTTTCCTGGAACATTTCCCTCCTGGCATAGGGCAGTTCTCATGCCAGAACATCTTGGGCCACAAAGAACCTTTAGGACTGAGTATGTCCTTCTGTTTGCTTTAAGCTTTTAAGAAAAAGAATATGCAGAGGCTGACTGAGGCAAAAATACAGGCTATTTCTGACGTTCATTCAGAATGCCACCTACCTAGGCCAGTTATTGGACTGTATGCCAGCCTCTTTCTGCGGGATGTAATCTCAATGTCTTTAAGTTCAGTCAGTCCTATAAATTGCTATCCCTATTCACGCAGTGTGTTTTCCCCTGTGTGAGGCATTTGTGAGTTCCATTAGCACTGATGGGACTTTTAAATGCAGAAGCAGCAGTGAAGGGAAGGGCATTTCCCAGCTGTAGGGCACGGGCCTTCTTTGAGATAAAAACCCACCCTGGCATCGATGACATGGGACCTATTCTGTGTCTTTTCACCCGAGAGCTCTTCAATCAACTGATGATCGCACCTGCATAACTGCTACCAGACCTGCTAAGGGGGAGCCTGGCCCAGCCATCTCTTCTTTGTGGTCACAAGCATGAATGGCCCTGGGACATCCTCTTTCCTCACTGTCCCCTCACAGCATTTCCTGACCACTGTGGCCTTGGTCCCACCACCCACCTGTGTGGCTCATCTGGCCATGCACCTCTCCAGCTCACAACTCTGTTTTCTCCCTGTTGTTTCTATGAAACCAGGTTCCAGCCCCGCCACACAGTCTGCACGGCCTCCACCACAGCTCTGGTGAGCCTCTTGGCCAGCTCCTGGTGACAGCGTGCACCTCCCTGCTCTGAGAAGGTCTCCCTCTCCTCTCTGCCCACCCTGTACAGAGACATCTTTCAAGACCATCCCAGAGGAGAGTGGCCTCTCTCCTCCACCCCAAGAGGATGGCCTCTCCTGTGGCTGTCACTCATCTGACCCCTACCACAGACCTGAGGGCAAGTGGTGCTCACGGGCCCACATCTGCCAGCCTGCGCCTGGTTGGAGACGCCTCCCTCTCATTTGTCCTTGCTTGCTGCGTGACTTTGGCAAGTGCTTGCCTCTTTGAGACCCTCAGTTTTCACACCTGAGAAGTAGAAAGGCGGTGCCTGCCCCAGCTGCCCCGCAGAAGAGTTTAGGTGGCATGTGAGAAAATGCCTTATGAACTACGATGTGAGCAACTGCAGCATGCTGTGAACACCGCTTTCATGAGCTCCTCGGGGGCAGGGTAACACCCAAGTATTCTTACACCTCCCACCGGGCTTGTCACGACCGTATGCAAATGAAGGCCATCAAGCGTGTTTGATCAGTGATGTATTTCTTTATTTTTAGTTTTAGGATATGACAACTCTATTTTTAGCAGCTACAGCGGCCAAAACTTTGTTACCTCTCAGCAGTTGTGTGTTCTTCGAGAGTAGGTTTTGTGCTTTCAAAATATCTGAATCCTCTACCATTTACAGGTGTTCTGTACATATTTGGTGTATGAGTTGCTCAGGAAGGAAGAAAAATGTGCCCTGTTTATCTTTTAAAAAGATGGCTTGGCTTGGTACTCCTTTGCCTGCATTCCTTCTCTGTATTTAGAAACGAACCCACACAAGTGAAGGTAAACGAAGTCTCTTGAAAGATAAGGCAGGAAAAATGAGGATAGAAAACAAAATCCCTTTAGAGAGTTTACTTGGAGGCTACCACTGGCATCGCTGCTCTGCAGTCTATCAGCCAGAGGCCCCTGGTGCTGCAGCACGGCCTTGGCAGCTTCACCAACAGGAATGTGTTCTCCTAGGGTACTGGCGGGTGGCAGTCCCAGAGCAAGGTGTGGCAGGGCTGGTCCTCCTGAGGCCTCTCCCTGGCTTGCAGACGACATCTTCTCCCATGTTCTCATGTGGTCCTCCCTCTGCACACGCATATCTGACATCCTCCCATGTCCTCACACGTTCCTCTCTCTGCACTCGAAGCCCGGACATCCTCCTATGTCCTCACATGGTCCTCCCCCTGCACTCACATCCCTGACGTCCTCCCGTGCCCTCACGTGGTCCTCCCTCTGCACTCACATCCCTGACGTCCTCCCGAGCCCTCACGTGGTCCTCCCTCCGCACTCACATCCCTGACGTCCTCCCATGCCCTCACGTGGTCTTCCCCCTGCACTTGCATCCATGACGTCCTCCCATGCCCTCACGTGGTCCTCTCTCTACACTCACATCCCTGACATCCTCATGTGCCCTCACGTGGTCCTCTCTCTGCACTCACATCCTGACGTCCTCCTGTGCCCTCACGTGGTCCTCTCTCTACACTCACATCCCTGACATCCTCATGTGCCCTCACGTGGTCCTCTCTCTGCACTCACATCCCTGACATCCTCCTATGTCCTCACGTGGTCCTCCCCCTGCATTTGTATCCCTGATGTCCTCCCGTGCTCTCACGTAGTCCTCCCTCTACACGCACATCCATGATGTCCTCCCGAGCCCTCACGTGGTCTTCCCTCTACACGCGCATCCCTGACGTCCTCCCAAGCCCTCACGTGGTCCTCCCTCTACACGCGCATCCCTGACATCCCTTCGCCTTCTCCTGGGGACATCACTCCCATTGGCTCAGGACCCTCCCTTGTGGTCTCACCTAACCTTCATCACCTGTTTGAAGACCCCATTTCCAAAGACAGCCACATTAAGGGTTAGGGCTTCAACATAGGGCTTTGGCAGGACACAATTCAGCTGATTGCAGAGTCCAAATATCTCAGGCTTCTAAACATGAGTATGACATTGTGGACCTCTATCAGCAGAGACACTTTCGAGAGAATCTGGCTGAACTGTGGTGTCCACATGTCGATATTCTATTAGGTTCACAACAGGGAGTCCTCCATTTCAGAAGGATACGAGCCTTTCTGATGTTGACGTGTGGCTGGCCATCTGCTCTGGGGGTGGCAAGGCCGCTCTGCATGGGTGCCCATCCTCTTGTGGATGTCCTAGGAGTGCTTGTGTGCACCTGTGTGTGTGTTTGTGTGCACGTGTGTGTGTGCACACATGAGTGGGATGGGGACCCTGGGGACAAGAGTCAGAAAAGGAAAGGAAGAGGGAAGAAGGAGGGATTAGTATTAGCCCTCGTTATCATTACCATGGATACACCCTAATTACAGCAACTGCTGATTCAGAGCCGTGTGCCTTGAATGCCAATCTCTAGAGGAAAATAATGGAGACTCTGAAAGAGGGAGGAGAAATGAGGACAGAACTTCAGAGGGGGCAAGATGTATAATACACAGACGTTAACGCCCATTTGGTCGATTCAAGTAATTGTAGAAATGAACTCATTTTCATTCTTGTGTCATTATCTTAGGTATCCTGAAAACAATGTGCTTTCATTTTCTCATTTAAATTTGCACTTGTCTTTCTCAGGTTTTTGTGTCTGTTTCTGCTGTAAAACTTAAAATATATCCTAAATTACCTGGTCCTCCTCTTATTTTCCATTTTTCCTGCTATTTTATTGGCTTCAAAGTTTCTCTCACACTGAACTATATTCTCCTTTGTTTAGCACTAGATGAAAAAGCATACTATTAAGGCTTTGGCCTTGCATTCTCTTTTTAATACCTCTGGCTCTAACGTTAGGGCTTTAGTGCTCCAACCTCTGTTGTACGCACTTGAGGGAAATATGTCTCCGTGTCTGCACATCATGTGGTGGTTTCTCCTCCTGAGAAGAGGACGCTGTCGGGTGCCACATGCAGGAATCTCAAGTGTTTGAGGACAGGAGACGAGACTCATGTGTGGTGCCTTTTAGACTTCCAAGTCGGTGCTCACTCTCAGACATGAAGCTGCCCTCCTTTTGGTCTTCTAGGTACCATCAACTGGGGATAAAACACAAATACACAGACTAGAAATTCCTTGGAAGT
The DNA here is from genome assembly GCF_000001405.40 of Homo sapiens. Classification (NCBI taxonomy): domain Eukaryota; kingdom Metazoa; phylum Chordata; class Mammalia; order Primates; family Hominidae; genus Homo; species Homo sapiens. The sequence continues at coordinate 289,161 of NC_000008.11, read as the reverse complement.
TGAGCTTTAATTTCTCTCTAGAGTTCTTTTTTCACAAGCCACCCTTTCAGAACTTGGAGCCAAATGGCTGTGATTGCAGTGCAGTTTGAGGCCAAGAGTGTGTCCAGCTACAGAAATCTGAACTCCGCCACTGGGGTTCCTGTTCACAGGGAGGTACAACAGCTGCCTGTGCCACTCCTCCTCCTGCCCCCTCTCGGGACACAGGGAATTGAAGACAGAGCACCTGCCCCATCAGATTGGGTCTGCATGCCCCAAGAGCAAACAACACTTTCCTCCAGATGACTCTTGGATGCAGTTTCGCAGCTGACTTGAATTCAAGCTTTGAGCTAGCACAGTGCCAGGCATCGCAGGGTGGGCAGTGGACAAGGCACAGAATTTGCCATCCAGGAGTTTGTACCAAACCCAAGAAGCAAAGGCCCATGTGAGAAATAGTGTAGAATAACACAGTGTTTATAAAACCAGAAGTGTAGCTCATACAACAGTGCTCTAACTCAAACTAGAATAAGCCAGAACGTGTGAAGAGAGGCTTAGAAAAAGGTGACAGTGATGAAAACAACAGCCAGCATTTACTCACTGTCGCGTATGACTAGGTATTCCATATTCATTAATGAGATCTTTTCATAACTCAGAGTTATCAACCCATCAATATGCAAATATGCTACTCTCCATCCAAAACCAAAGCAAACAAACATCAGCCAACCAAACAAAAAGCAACAGAAAATCTGACTTTCCTCTCTGGTGCTCATGCACCCACCTCCAGATGCCACCTCCAGATACCAGCCCGTTCTTCTCCTCTGTTACCATAAACCCCCAAGAGAGCTGCCCGTCCTCCTTTCTCCATTTAGCCACTTCTCACTCTCTCTGTTGCCTCCAACTCTAGGGTTCAAGAGGAACTGCTCTTAACAAAGTTTCCATTAATGTCCATTTTGAAAAATCCAACCAAAAACCTCACTCTTCACCTTCTTTGTCCTCTCAACAGTGTTTGGACATTTTTTTTTTTTTTTTTTTTTTTTGAGACAGGGTCTTGCTCTAAAACCGAGGCTGAAGTTCAATGGTGTGATCATAGCTCACTGCAGCCTCAACCTCCCCGGCTCAAGCGATCCTCCCATCTCAGCCTTCTGAGTAGTTGGGACTACAGGCATGCACCCCATTGCCTGGCTTTTTTTTTTTTTTTGTAGAGACGAAGTGTCACTTGGACACTTTTGCTAACCTTTTAGAAACCAACATTTGAAATATCTTTCTGTGAACAGTTTTTTCACTTGGCTTCCAAGGCACCACCTTTCTGACTTTCCTTCTGTCTCCTTGCCACACAGCTGGACCCTTCTCTCCCGGACTGTACATTTTGGAAAGCTCCAGCTTACGGAGCTGCCTTTCCTCCCTCCCTAGGCCATGTCACGCCATCCCAGGAGTCATGATGCCGGTGGATTCACAGATTTATATACTCAGCCCTGTTCTCTGGGCTCACATATCCAACTTCTTGTAGGACATCTCCACTTGGAAGTCTGGTTCAAATCAGAACTTTTGACTTCTCTCCCTGCTCTGTCCCTCACTGTAGAAAGTGACACCACATTTATCGGGCTGCTCACGGCCCAGACTTAGGAACTTTCTTTAAACCTACACCTCCTGACATCTGGTGAGCCTTGATGCCTCTAAACTCAACACAGATTCCAAACTGGACAGGTTGTCGGTCGCCTCATTGCTACACTGGGCCCAGGCATCATTGTCCCTTCCATAGGAGCTTGGCAGCCCCATGCCACCAGGCCTCCTGCTGTCTCCCCTCCTCCACTCTCCACACTGCAGCCTGAGCCTGAGAAAGGTAAATACCGTCATAGCATTCCCTTGCTCAAAACCCAGCAATGAAATCCTGTCACCCTCAGAATCAAGCCCCTGCCCCTAACAGTGGCCCACAGCCCTGCATGGCCTGGCCTCCTGGGTGAGCTCTGCCTTCCTCTCTGCCATCCCTAGCAGCTGAGACCATGTCCAGCATGGAGCAGGCACCAGGGGCATGTCGTCTCTTATATTATGTCCACTCCACTGTCGGGGCAGGTTGAAGCTTGAAGAGCTGAAGTAATGTAAGTGCTTCCACAGTTCTCGTGAGTGGCTGAATTTGAGCCCAGGTCATCTGATTCGAAGGCAGCATAGATGTGCCGCCTGCCTCACGCAGGGCCCCTTTGCAGTGGCTGGGAAACCTGGGCATCTCTTAACTGTTGGAGAAGAAGAGGCTGGCATTCACGTGCAGGGAACTATCAACAGATGTGAAGAGGAAAGAGGCAAAAATGCTCAGTGGAATTAAGAGAAGATGAGCTTTACAGGAGCAGAGCTGGAACACAGTGTGCCGAGCACGGAGCCTGAGGAGCAGAAGGCATCTGTTGGGGGCTACAGGACCGGGACACACCCCAGAGCCCTGGGAAGCTGTGGAAGGCCTGCGGCCAGGGAGCGGCGAGGTGCTCCAAGCTCACCGTTTATTCCATCAACAGGCACACCAGGGGTTTCCACAGAAATAACGGGTCTGCTCTATAAAGTCTGTGGAAAAAGAAAAAAGCTACGTGTTTTTGTGTCTATTGGCAAGGAAATATACTTCATCTCACATTTTAAATTGAAATGTGTGGCACTTAACTTCTTTCTCTTAAAAAACATTCTGTTTTCAAATCAGTAAACATCCTATAACAAGCAATAAGAAATTCTTACTGACTTAACGTTCAATCTGTTTGGATCATTAGGCTTCAGATTACACGACATCCCAAATCCTTCCAACCCAGCATCTGACATGAGAATTGAAGCACAGTACGGAACCAGTTTGAATGAATTTGGAACCGTATTTTCTTTGCTGTGTGTGTGTGTGTGTATTATATATATATGATATATACATTTTATATATTTCTACTTCTTGAGCGATAATATTTTAACAAAGGGGCACATTTTACTCTAGACTCCAATTTCTTTACGAAGAGACTGGAGAATGCCCTCTTTTCCCTGTGGTTTTCATAACCATATTCTGCCTTTAACCTAAAGGAGCCTCTCACAATTGGCCAAAGCTAGAATACTTGGAGCTCGCTGTGTTGTGTCTTCCGTGGAAACTTCTCCTTGCGAATTATCAATGTTTCAGAGGTGACATCACTTTCCATATGAATAGATATGTGTTACATCTTCAATTTACCAGAAAAGTTTAGCTGAAAATCTTCTTTTTTCCTTTAAGAATGTTGGAAACTGAATTGAAATTCATAAAGATGACAGATAAGCATATGAAAAAGATGCTCCACATGATATGTTACCAGGGAAATGCAAATTAAAATGTCAGCCAGACACCACCACGCCCCTATTAGAGGGGCCAGAATCCAGACCCTGACAGCACCAAACCTGGCGAGGATGTGGAGCAGCAGGAACTCTCATCCATTCCAGAGTGGGAATGCAAAACAGCGCAGCCACTTTGGAAGACAGTTTGGCAGTTTCTTATAAAACTAGACATTTTACCACAAAATCCAGCAATCATGCTCCCTGGTATTTACCCAAATAAACTGAAAACATATGTCCATGCAAAAACCTGCACACAGATGTTTACAGCAGCTTTATTCATAACTGCCAAAACTTGGAAACAACCAAGATGCCCTTCAGTAGGAGAACGGATAAACGGTGGCACATCAGACAATGGAATATTATTCACGGCTAAACAGAAATGAGCTGTCAAGCTGTGAAAAGACATGAAGGAAGCTTAAATGCATGTTCTTAAGTGAAAGAAGTCAACCTAAAAAGGGTACATACTTGTATGATTCCAACGATACGACATTCTGGAACAGGCAAAATTACGGTAACGGTAAAAGCACCGGTGGTTGTCAGGGGTTAGCTGGGAGGGAGGGATGAACGGTTGGCACACGGAGGATTTTTAGGGCAGTGAAACCACCCTGCATGGTGCTGTCATGGTGGATATACATCATTAGACTTGTTCAAACCTATAGAAATAACAACATCCAGAGTGAACCCTAATGTAAACTGTGGACTCTTGGTGACAAGGATGTTCACTCAGCTTCATTGACTATCACAAATGCAACGCTCTGTGGGGGACGTTGACTGTGGGGAGGCCGTGTGAGGGGAGGGGATAATGGGAACTTTCCGTACTTTCCACTTAATGTTACTGTTCTAAAAACTAAAGTCTATTTAAAAGAAAAAAATTCCATTAAAAAAGTTATTGATTTATGACAACTGTGCTTTCTTGATCGCTACCAGATATTTCTCCTAAAAGGCAACTGAAAAATACGTTAAAGCTGGAAAATCTCTCCAGGACAGCACTTCAGTGAACCATTTAGTGAACGAAATGCCCCTGGACACAGACAGCTCTGCAGAGGATTCCACGTGCCCCGCGGAATCCTGTTGGCTGTTCCTTGCAGGGCTGGATGTGTCTGCCCTGTACCTGAGGCCCTGCTGCGTCGGCCCGTGGGGAACAGCACAGGTCCCAGCCAGCACCGGGCGTCTTCACCTCTGGGGTTCTCTCCGGGTTTGTCTAAAGTCCTGGTGGCTCTTCTCTATCTGAGGCAGCGTTTGGTATGTGCCTCGCCAACATGAGCTGTTCTTGAGTGCAGCTTTGGGACGTCATCTAGCATGCACTGTGGCCTCGGCCCCTGGCACAGAGTTTAGGGGTAAAATTCAGATCCCAAGAAAGGACTGGAAGAAGCAGCCCAGACAGAAGGATGAGGGGTGCAGCTACCGGCCAGCATCACTGAAGATATCCCTATGGGAGTGTTACAAGTTGAGTTCTGAGTGCGACGTTATTTAAAAGTTTCCAACACCAAGGGAAAGAAAGACAGATGACCTTACAGCTGATGACACGGAAGCTCTGAGACATCAAAGGTCACACTCAGCTGGTGTCAGAGGCAGACCCCGGAGGGGCTGGGGGGAACAAGCAGGAGATGGCAGGTCCAGACCGACCCCTGGGCCTGGGTGGCCTGGAGGGACCTGGGTGCTCTTCAGGGACCCCCCTCTTTTCATGAGACTGGTGTGCTAGGGGTGTCCTGGGTTAACAAACTGTGAGGGCACTGGGAACTCTGGGATTAGGGCCAGCTTCCCACAGTCATTACCTAGCGGGGCAGCTGCGGGGTCTTCCCTAGCTCCTCCCACTGAGGGTTGGTCTGAGCCCATCCACCACGGCTGCTGCTGCTGCCTGGAATTCACCTTGGGGGTGCGTTCTTTTTTTCTTTTCTTTCTTTTTTTGCTTTCTTTCTTTATTTTTGTCATAAGCTTCAGCCTTTTTTAAGACCACTTTATTGGGACATGATTGGCATATAAAAATTTGTACTGGTTAGTCCTGTTGCTACTTCTCAAAGCCACTGTCTTCTCACATGGAAAAGTTTTACGAAATCAGCTGCCTCACTGTATAAATGCATGCCCCAACCCCATGCCACCTGTATAAAGAACGCTGGGACCGCACTGCCTTTCAATTGCTGCTGCAGATCCAGCTTTCAGCACTTTCCTGCTCTGTGGTTCTGCAGAAGACATGATCGAGGTCCCTGATGGCAGAGAGTTGACCAGAACAGAGGAACGCAGGAGGCAGATGAGTCCTGGGAGAAAGTGGTCAGTTGCCAAACTGATTAGAAATTTGCTCTTACGTTAAGTGTGACCCAAGAATGGAGATTCACAGGGCAATCTCTGCAGACCACTTTCCACTGTGAAGTCTGAGATGAAATGAAGATTACTGGACAAAGAAAATTGGAAAATGCCCGATACGCAGCCCGTTTGGAAGGTGCAGAGTTTGGAGATCCCTAGAAACTGGACGATGAGAAGCATGGCTCCTCAGGCAAGGCGCTTCCCCTGCAGCTGCAGTGGGCCTGGCTGCCTGTTTGCTCAGGAGACTGCAGTGACCTCACACCCCACCTCAACACCAGTGTGACCCCACCCAGACCCCCACAGCCTCAGACTCGGAGTGGGGGTTGCAGGGAGGTGTTGGGGCAACAGGGAAGAGGACACATGGCCTGCGCTTGAACGTGGAGTGTGGACTCTGTAACGTGGAGTGTGGACTCTGTAACGTGGAGTGTGGACTCTAACGTGGAGCGTGGACTCTGTAACGTGGAGTGTGGATTCTGTAACGTGGAGTGTGGAATCTGTAACGTGGAGTGTGGACTCTGTAACGTGGAGTGTGGATTCTGTAACGTGGAGTGTGGACTCTGTAACGTGGAGTGTGGACTCTAACGTGGAGTGTGGACTCTGTAACGTGGAGCGTGGATTCTGTAACGTGGAGTGTGGATTCTGTAACATGGAGTGTGGACTCTGTAACGTGGAGTGTGGACTCTGTAACGTGGAGTGTGGATTCTGTAACGTGGAGCGTGGACTCTGTAACGTGGAGTGTGGACTCTAACGTGGAGTGTGGACTCTGTAACGTGGAGTGTGGATTCTGTAACGTGGAGTGTGGATTCTTTAACGTGGAGTGTGGACTCTAACGTGGAGTGTGGACTCTAACGTGGAGTGTGGACTCTGTAATGTGGAGTGTGGACTCTGTAACGTGGAGTGTGGATTCTGTAACGTGGAGTGTGGATTCTGTAATGTGGAGTGTGGACTCTGTAACGTGGAGTGTGGACTCTAACGTGGAGTGTGGACTCTGTAACGTGGAGTGTGGATTCTGTAACGTGGAGTGTGGACTCTGTAACGTGGAGTGTGGACTCTAACGTGGAGTGTGGACTCTAACGTGGAGTGTGGACTCTGTAACGTGGAGTGTGGACTCTAACGTGGAGTGTGGACTCTGTAACGTGGAGTGTGGACTCTGTAACGTGGAGTGTGGACTCTAACGTGGAGTGTGGACTCTAACGTGGAGTGTGGAATCTGTAACGTGGAGTGTGGACTCTGTAACGTGGAGTGTGGACTCTGTAACGTGGAGTGTGGATTCTGTAACGTGGAGTGTGGACTCTGTAACGTGGAGTGTGGACTCTAACGTGGAGTGTGGACTCTGTAACGTGGAGTGTGGTTTCTGTAACGTGGAGTGTGGACTCTGTAACGTGGAGTGTGGACTCTGACGTGGAGTGTGGACTCTGTAACGTGGAGTGTGGACTCTGTAACGTGGAGTGTGGATTCTGTAACGTGGAGTGTGGATTCTGCAACGTGGAGCGTCTCCAATAAGGCCCTTTCCAGCACAAACAGCAAGGCTGGGACAGCTTGTTCTTGTGCCTAACAGAGAACCTTCTGTCTGAAGACTGGAGAAAGAGCTCCAGTGAGATTTCCTGTGAGGTGTTGGTTCACGTGATCGTGAAAGCTGCAATGTCCCACAGCCTGTCATCTGCAAGGCAGAGATCCGGGAAAGCCAGTGGCTTCGTTCAAAGGCCAAAGAGCCAGAAAGCCAAGGGCAAGAGAAGACTGGCGTTCCAGCCCCACCATCAGGCAGAGAGGGAATTCAACCTTCCTCCACCTTTTGCTCTATTCAGGCCTGCAGAGGATTGGATGAGGCCAGCCCATGATCTTCACTCAGTCCACTGATTCAAATGCTCATCTCTTCCAGAAACACCCTCACAGACACACCCAGAAATCATGTTTTAACGGCTATCTGGGCATCTCATGGCCCAGTTAAGTTGACACATAAAATTAACCCTCACATGAGAACACACCTTCAAATTCAGGTTGTTTTTGAATGCCTGAGTATGGTGTTCTAAAAAGCATGTGCATATGAGGTATTAGAATGAATACATGCTTATTTAAATTCCACAATAGAACATGTAAATTAGTATTTTATTTGTCTTAAATATATCTTTAATATAAATATGCCTGTTACATAAAAGTTCCATCATTTCATAGAATTTTGTGGTCTCAATTCAGTCCAACCTAATTTAACTATAAAAATTTTTTTGAAAACTTAAGTTACAGGGAAGGAAAACTAAGACAAATGCAGCCATGACTTGCAACGAGTTTACAAATCAGTATAGGAAGAAACACATGTGCACAGAAGGCCGTGATACGGACAATGCTTGTCAGAGTATTCTGAGGGAGATCTTTCCAAAATAGCTCTGATTATGAATGTCCAAGGTCTCTGCATTGTCTGCAGGAGAAGACCGAACCCCCGTACGGCCTCCTACAGAGACATTCACATCAGAATCCATTTTCCTTCTCCGTCTTCTTTCTTCTCCTCATCTACAGTCAGGACCCTTTAGGTTTTAGCCACACCCAGCTGCTCACAGATCTCTCAAAAATCATGTTCTCCCATTTGTCCTTGTGTGTTTAACAGGATTGCTTTACCCTAGAATTCTTGTCTTCTTTTCTACACTGAGCATGCATCAAAACTTATTTCAGCATTACCCACTTCCCCAGGCAGGGTTTGTCTTTTCCTCTCTGGCACTTCCTAGCCGCATTGTGTGTAACTGTTATAGATTTTCAATATAAAATTACAATGATTCATTTATTCACCTGCTTTCCTTGGCTGAGGAATCCTCGGGCCAGGGCCACTCTACTGACGCTGCAGCTCACTGAGGAGCCTGGGTGCACCCTGAAGATGCAAGGCTGGGGAGTGGGGGTGAGTGCATGGCTGAAAGGGCCTCAGGAGCAACCTTGTTCCTCCTTCTTATGCTGTTCATCATGATGGTGTTCAGAAACCTTTCGTCTTGGCTTCACCTGTCAGAACAGTGCCCTAATCTTGTTCGTTTTTCCTAGAATACTGGTGCACAGAATAATGGCCCCAAAGGTCCCTAATGGCCCCCTACATCCTAATCCCCAGGATCTGTGAATACGCTATCTCACTTGGAAAATGGGCTTTGCAGATATGACTAAGTTAAGGATCTTGAGATGGAGATTATCGGGTTATCTGGGTTTGTCACACGGGTCCATACAGGAGGAGGCAGGAGAAAGGTGTGGGGAGGCAAGCAGAAGTCACAGTTGGTCACTGAAGGTGCTGCCCTGTGGGCCTTGAGGATGGAGGAAGGGCACGAGCCCAGAAAGACGGGCCCCTCTGGAAGCTGGAAAAGGCTGGGAACAGATTTTCCCCCAGAGCCTCCAGAGGAACGCAGTGCTGCTCACACCTTGATTTCAGGACTTTTGGCCTCCAGAACTGTAAGAACACTAAATTGTTTAAACTATGAGTGTGTAGCGACTTTTTACAGCAGCTGCAGGAACTAACCCAGCACCCATGTCTTGCCTCTTCTGAGCTGCTCTCCAGCGTCCCTGCTCTCAGGGTTCCATGGCCGATACCATGCACAGCACTCCTGTGAGGGAGGAGGCATAGTGAACATACTTGCTTTGTGGTTAGAAGAGTTATTTCATAATGTTAGTGGCAAAATAATATCAAAAGTACAGTACAGTCAAGAACTTTTGGAGAAGACGAGATTTCTGGAGAGTTCTGGGTACCAGAAAGTCACACCGAATTTGAGTTGGAGGAATGACTATATTGGACACAATTTACGACGATGTATTATTTTCCTTTGAATGCATGAGAATCTATACTTCGCAGAGTTTTGTAGAGCTAAACATAACATGCATCTGATCTTTTCTACAATTAACCCTGTTCTGAGTTTCCTCAGAGAATTAAAAGCACATTTAAGAGGAATTCTGGGAAGGTGGTAGCAATGTTCTGTTGCTTGCGCATTTCCCCAGATTCTCCCAGAAACATACACAGACTAGATTTTATAGCAAAACTAAGGACCCATTGAAATACCTTCAACAGAACCTGGGACAAAGTACCCTCATGAACCCCACATATGGCAGGGCAGAGACAAACAGTACGGCTCAAAGCTCTGTGTCGAAGAAAGCTGGGAAGGGAAGTATGCTTCTGATGGCCCCACAAACAGAAGCACCTCAAGATGCCAAAAGGAATTCACGGGGAAGTGAGGTATGAGCACAGGGTCTGGCCCAGGAGCTCCTGAAGGACATAATTTGTAGCTTTGCCAAAGGGAGCATGAATGGAATAGGATCCCAGTCACGGAGCCATCTGCTTCCTACAAACTCCTGTACTGAGCACATCCCTGCCCTGCAGAAAAACTGCCAGGAACACACTCAGATCCAAGTCGAGCAGGAGCAGGACAAGCACAACACAGCAAAGGAAGGAAACACCACGCCAGACTGGGGAGCGGGGGAAGGCTGGTTTCTGAACGCACAAGGCCAAGTTGTCCCTGTGGAAACAGCAGAAACTCCGGAGCTGTGGCACTCAGGAAGCTATCCCAGCCTCCTGCCCTGTCTTGCACGCTCAGGAAAGCAGATAACAACCACGGGAAAATCTACACGAGCATTTTCAAATCCCCCCCCACGATAAAAGCAAGTCAGGAAAATATAGATTTTCCTGAATATTAAAAAGAAATCACTATGTTAACAACTATAACAATAATGATGAAAGCAAACAAGTTAAAAAAAACAAACAAACGTTAAGTTAGACCACCTGGAGGCAAGGTGGGCACTTACATGGTGGGTAGTTTAAGTGAGTATTTTACTTTCGCATCATTGAGAATCAAAATTTTTGATATGATTGAAAGGCAATCGTTGTGCAATCGACGAGGTTAACTCGAAACACTGTATTCCTGAATTTGAATCACCCAGTATGAAATGACTAGCTCTAGCTAGAAAAAAAACTAAAAACAGGCATGAAGTCCAGATCAGTGAACACCTCGTGAGTAGACTGTGGTCACTCATGGCCTCTCTCAGCAAATGACCTGTGGCTTCTGGAGAAATGCGTGGTTCCAGGCCTGAACCAAGCGTGTCCCAGCTGTGCCTGCAACAGCACACCACACCTGAAGGAACAGACTTATCAGAGACCGCCGAACTTACCTCCAAAGGCTCAACCCAAATAAGCCCCCATTGGCCAATGCTGCAAGAGTGTGAGCATCAGTAAGGAAAATAAGCACTGTACTGAAACACGTCAACTGTTTAATTTATGAGTTAATGGTGATACTAAAACAAAGTAAAACAAAAAGCCCAAAATATGGACTTGACCTCAAGGTAAACAACTAGTCAATTAGGAATTTTTTCTTTAATAAAAATTTGGAATTGAAATATCATCATTTCATAGCTCCTAATAAATTGGTAAATCTAGGCAATAGTCTTCAGTGGCTGCTGACACCATAGGGAGAGGCCGCCAGACACCATGTGCTGCTGGTGGACCTTGCTTGCCCCGTGCAAGGAGCTCAGTAACAGCCACTCTTGCCACATGTGCAGATACAACATAGGGCTTCATGTGCAAAACCTGTCACAGAGAAGTGATGGATGCTCACTCCTACACAGCATGGGCTGGATGCAGGAGTTTCGGGTGCACCATGGTTGGGAGAGGCACTGGCTGTCGGGCTGGTCTGCGTGAACACCCTTGTAGGGCAGAGCCAGCCCTGCCCATGTCATGTAACATCTTTGTGGGTGAGCCTCAGAGGTGGGAACATTGAGTTTCTCTGCATCATGAGTGATCTGTCCAAGGAGTTCCGGGCCAGGAGCCTGGAGAGGGAACAGACATCTAGAGGAGGGTTTGCTCACCACCACCTGGGCTCCTTTCTCACCATCCTGTGGGCTGCAAGTCTGAGACGAACGAAGATGCCAACAGGCTGGGTTCTGGTGGTGCTGGGTTCATAGATGGCCCTTCTGCCTGTGTCCTCACCAGGAGGACAGAGGGCTGTGGTCTCCTCCTCTTCTTTTGACAGCCATCCCGTTATGGGACCTCATCTAACCCTAGAGACCTCCCAGAGGCCCCACCTCCTAATACCATCCCACTGGGGGTTAGGGCTTCAACATAGAAATTTGCAGGGGAGAAACAAACATTTGGTCCATGACAGGGCCCGGGACAGCTGTGCCCACCTGGGATGCCAACATTACCCAAAGACCCTGAGGTTCCCGAGGGCAGCCGAGTCCAGCTGAGCTTGCTCACTGCTGAGCTCCCAAAAGGAGGAAAGGAGCCGCCACATCCACATGCATCTTCCATCATTTGGCAAGAAATAAAACTAGAAAGTGGGCCTGACACTGGTCAAACCTCTAGATCCAAGTACAGGAGATGGCGAAATGTGTTAAATGGCTCATGGGAATGCTGTGGGAAATTAGATGATTCTGTATCTTGGACAAAAAAGGAGAGGAAGGGTCAACTCTTAGGTTATAAGAAATGCAAGAAACACACCAATTAATCATGGATGAGACCCTCTGATTCAAACCAAAACACTCTAAGTATAATTGGGAGGCATTTGAGGAAACGAGAATGTGGATGTTTTGTTTCTCTGTTGCTGTGTAACATGCCACCCTAAAACCAGTGCCCTAAAATAACATCCATTCTATTTGCTTGCAATTCTGTGAGCCAGGGACTTGTACATTTTATTCTGTCTTTTGTACTATTGGTAAATTTCCATAATAAAAATAAAAAGCAAAATAAAGAAGTACAAAGCCACACATACATACACACATCCGGAAAGGAACAGGAATGGACCCCATCCTACAGGAGTATGAGTGCTGCAGAATCCTTAGCATTCTCACTTGTAGACCAGAACTGGATGTGCATCCTGTGACACTGGGTGTGTGTGCCACTCTGCAGCATCAAAAGCATTCCAAATTGTACCAAAACCCTCACCAAAGAGGCTGTCTTCCTGACTCAACCCTACCCAGAAGATGAGCTGCCAGAGGTATGTGCATTTTCTGCAAGCTCTATCACACCCAGTGCGCTTTATCTATTTTGATTTTAAATATGGAAGAGCCCAAGAGTCCATTTCAGCAAAATGCTCCTGGTGAGAGGGCAGCTATTCACCCCTTGGGGGCAGTGGCTTGTGGCTTCCCGAGGGCATCTGGAGTCCGTCACACAGTAACCATACACAGAGCTAACGGCTCCTGCAGCTGTGTGAGCAATGCTGCTGGCTCTAGGCCCAGCGGCCTCTTCCCTGTCATGCTTCTTCCCGTCTGTTCTGTGCCCATTCTCTGACCCACTCCACTCCTCTCTCCACAGTCAGTGAAGATCAGAGAGTCTGACCTTTGCTCCAGCTAAGGACTAAATCCCTGGGGGAATTTTGCAGCAAAGGTGCAGGTGGGGTTACCCACATCCTCCTCCAGGCATCACTGAAACCAGGTTTGCTTCTGGCCTAGGCTGTCCCATGCTGACAGAAGCATCCAGGGAGCTAGGAAAGCTCTGTTCATGGGTGTTCCTCCTACAGGCGTTGGAATCTGACTCCCCCACTTCCCCTCTCCTTCCCCTAGCCCCAGTATCCAGTCTCAAAGCAGTCCTGTTGATTCTTCTGCCAAAGTCATCTCTCAACTGAACCAGGCCAACACCTTCTGACTGGCCTCTCACTCTCCTCTCTACAAAGGAAATGAGCCCTTAAGGAGGGAGATCGAGGCCAGTCACATCCACATTGAAAAGATGAAAAGAAGCCAAACCCTTCCCTGCAGCTTCCAGTCCTCATCGCTCCCTGGCTCTCAGGGCAGCCTCTCAGGGCTTCTTTCTGAACTTCGAGTGGGGGGCGAGCACACTCCCTCCTGTGTCTCCTTGCTTTTTGCTCTGCCTCACCCCGACCTTCCCATTTTCCCAGCCTCCCCATGACTCTAATGGGCTGGAAGGAGGAGCTCCTGAAGGATGCACTGTGTGTCACAGGCCCATCGCTCCATGAGCTTTTCTGGTCTATATAGTCACCAAGTCAACATTTGTGGTCTTTCTTGCCACTCATATAATTTTTCCTGAAAGCCAGGCCCTTGCCTGTCTCGTGTGCCACATGTCTGAGAGCCCTGGGCCCATGTGGCCAAGGTTAGTGTTCCATAAGCATTTGCTGAATGATCCCAAATCTGACATGGCCCGATTCTGCCGCGGGTGTCTCAGTGGAGCAGGGTTCATGAGTTCCTCTCCTATGTGAGAGTTTGGCAGACTTTGTGAAGGGAGGAAGAGGCTGCAGAGCCTTCCTGGACAGAGGAATGACTCCTGCAGTGTGGGTTTTACGCATGTGCAGGCCGCAAGAACAGGCACTGGGAGGCGGGCAGGCCTCCCTGCAAGCCTCTGCCCCACAGGGGGCACCCAGTCGATGACATAATGAGAGCCCCAGTAGTGAGGGGGCAGAAATGGGTTCGGGCTGTGGGGTCCAGAAGCTGTGTTAAGTCAGGGGCATAGAATGAGGCACACTATCACTTTGAGGAACAGACACCCCACATTTTCACGGGCCACCCGTGGGCAGCCTCCGCCACCAAGATTCATGACCCATGGAACAGCATGTTATCCCTGCTTCTCCTGACCTCTCCGTGAAAGACCAGCTCTCCTGGGTCCTGGGGCAACTGGACCCCAAGGGTACCTCCCTGGGGAATGGATTTATTTTTTACCAGCAGGAATGTAGTGGCTCCCCAGGTTCAGCTGCTGAAGCGATCAAGCATTCCTTCTATGGAAAAACCAAGCCCCAAGAAGTGGCTTTTAGCCCCTGTAGTCATTCCAAACTAAATTTTTAAAGGTGCTCATTGGAAAGAAAAAAAAAGTGCTCATTCATTTAGGTGGATGCTATGTGCTTTAAAATAAGAGCTGGCTGCGTCTCCCAGGAGAAAGTAACTCGCCTCAGTGAGCTCCAGCTCTTGGGTGTGGCGACCGCAGGGCAGCTCCATGCTGAGATCAGCTGCGTTCCAGGTTCGGACTGGGACCTGGAGGCGGCAGATGGGAACCTGTGCTCCCCTGACCTTAAGAGCAGGGAGGTCAGAAGCCCTGTGGGCTGAGTAATCCTCTGAAGCACTTGCTGGCCTGGAAAGAATGTGTTTTTCAGGCTTAATCTGTTATGATATGTTATCGGAAAATGTAATTTGCTGTGTAAACAAGCAGCAGACTGGCCATTCTGCTGGCAGCTGCCGGTGCCCAGGGCCGCCTTCCTGCAGGGCTCCACCCTCTTGTTATCTCAGGCCCTTGACAGATTGCATGCTGGGAAAAGCCTCAAGTCTGCATAGAAAGCGCATTTAATCCTTTTTTAACTGGGTGAGGTTGCCTCTTGGGACCCCCAGTTGATAGATGAGAAGCACCTGACTTTGAAAAGGAACCGAACTCAAGCAGGCTGCATCCTAAGCCCGGTAAGCCTTTCTGAGAGGCTGTTTCACTTCTTTGAATCACATCGGTTCCTGGGAGGGTGCTGGAAATGTGCTTTGAAGCTGGGCCTGTGGGAGTGAAGGAGAGAGCAGAGCTTCCACCTGACACCCCCAACCCCACCCACACCTCCCACCTTGCACCCCACATCCCACACTTCCTACCCCCACCCCACAATCTTCACCCCAACCCCACCCTCTACTCCCACCCCACCGTACAGTCTCCAGCCCAATATCCCACACCTTCCACCTTTACCCTCACCCACCACCTCCCACTTCTCACCCCTCACCCAGTTCCCACCCTATACCTTCCTCGCCCTCCACCCCAAACCCCATACCCCAACCCCTCACCTGTACCCCAACCTCCACCTCCCATCCCCCGCTCCCAACCCCCACCTCCCACCCCTCACCCCTCACCCCCATCCCCCCTCTACACCTTCCACCCCACACCCCCTTCCCCCACCCCTCAGTCCCCCAACCCCCCACTCCTACACCCACAACCTCCCTCCTGTGTGCCTCCCACTTCTGGCTCCCGGGTTTCTTTCCTTCTTCCTCACTGTGGGGCAGGGTCCTGCCCTTGGCCTTCCTGGGCCCTGGTTTATTTACTGCAGCCTCTCCCAGGAGGGTGGCACGGGACAAATCTGACCCAGGGACCGCCCCCCCCATCTTCAGGATCCAGGGCCCTAGAGCTCTGGGTGGGGGGCAGTGCTAAGGAAGTCCAGGGGTCCTGGAAGAAGCATGGTCTTTAGCCTAAACTAAACCTGGGAGTGAATCCCGGCCCTGTCATTTGGGGCTCCCTGAATGCCATATCCCATCTTTCTGAACTCGTTTCTTCACACGTCTTGGGGATGATGCTGACTTTCATGCTGATGCATAGGTGAGGGGATCACCTTGGCTCATAACCCTTAACCTTGTAGCTGAGCAGCTTTGCTTCAAAATGCATTCTGAAACTTTTTTTTGCTTTCTCTTTTCTTACTAGTCTCAAGCAGACTGCAGAAGCCTTTTCCCCTTAACCTTAAAATAGACTCCACATCCCTCCCTCTCCGACTGTAAACCCTTTCCACATTATCTAACTGTGTGCTTACTTAGAAGTTACAGGGGTTAACCTTGAGACAGATCAAACCTGGAGACCCAGCTGCAAAATTTCAAATATCACCTTAAAGCCGTTCGTCCACAACCTGGTCATTGTTGTGGTTATGCCAGTCCACGCTCCAGGAGGACTGTGACCCGAGATAGCCACTGAAAAAAGAGACACAGATGTCACACCCCCATCACTCGCTTACCATTACAATGTGAAATGCCTCCCATATCAAGCTTTCCTTCTTAAACCCCTGCCCTCAGCCAACCTTCAAAGCAGTTTCTCTAGGTGTAAACCTGGCCACTTCCCCCTGTGGCTATGGAAATAAAGTGGCTTTCCATTCACTGCACTTGCTGAGTTTGCACACGGTAAGCAGCCCAGCCTGCACTGGGTCACAACTTCTCAATTGCCTCCTTCTGCGAGAGAGAGTGAGGTGCTCGGCCTCCACAAAAGGCCTCAGAGTAAACAGCATCAAATCTCCCCCTTGGGCAGCCTTCCCCTATTCTCAACCTCTTCAGCACCCTGCCTGCACGGATCACAATGGTTCTCACTACAGATGGAGCATCCCACTCACTGAGGAAGTACCTGCTCAGGAGGGTGTGATGACTGGGGACATGAAACCGGAAGCCAAGGAACACCCACCACACCCCTCCCCATGCTCCGTGCAGGATGTCCTGTGTTCACGCCAGGGCAGGCACAAGGAAAGTCAGCACGGCCCCATGTTCCCAGCAGCTCAGTCTCACCTGTGAGTGGCAGGAGTGCGAGGTGTGAGTTGGATGAGGGCTTTGGACCCCAGCGCTAAGGTGGGCTACGTGGAGCTCCCAGGATGCTGGGGTCACAGGCCCCAGTGAGCCTGCTGAAATTGTAGCAGAGACTGTAATATTTTATCTAGACTACAAGACATAAATTTGCTGTGTGTTCTTGCACTACCAACTTTAATAATAATGTCTTTGCATGCCATCTATTCTCTCATGGGCAATAACACAGATACAAACGGTCCTGAGTGCTCAGCGCTGCTGGGTTTTGGGGTCTGCTTTAGGGGAAACATTTCCAAAACCTGCCATCCGGTGCGTTTGCTCTTCTGAAAAACGTCCCCAGAACCAGCGGCCGCCTGGCCTCTGGGGCGCCCCGCAGGTCGTGTGAATACACATGTGGAGTGACTGAAACGGATGCTTATGGCTACTTTCCCACCCTGGAGGAGACTCTGCCATCTGGGTTTGGGCTAAAGTCGAGGTAGTGTGTGAATCTGATTTCCCCCTTTATGTAATGAGCTGTTTTCCTGATCTGTGGACCTGTTATGTCATGGCTTTGATGAACAAGAATAAAAAAGGTAAGTGAGAAAACAAACAAAATGAATATATCTGTAGGAATTCAGTGCTCTCGAAGAACTGCAACTCACTGCCTTCTCAAATCTCAGATACCACTATTTAAAGAAGATAGGATGTGGTTAAAAATAAGTAACGCAACGATTTCTGAGTGTCCATATTGGGTAACTGTTGACTATAAGCCTCAGGTATTGCTTCTTTTGTGTGTGTCTCCATTGTTGTGTTTAACCCAACTGACCAATTTAGAAAATGTAATATTCTTTTGATATTCCAAAAATTTTTGAAAATTAATTCAAAAATGATTAGGTATGATTTTCACTAGAAGGCAAATAACATCAAAAAGGTATTTTAATGAGAAACGTCATCATTAGATATTCTTTTAGATTTTTTCCTTTGGAATTGCAGATGTTTCTGAAAACAGCAAACTGGTATCATGATTTCAGAGTGAAAATGTGGGGACAGAGGTGGGCGGGAGGAAACAGCCTTGGTAGGAAGTGGACACAGGCCTAGAGCTGGAGCTGGGGAGCCTGCAGGCTCTGGTGTGGGATTTGTTTAGCAGTGCAGGGGCAGGTGCTTCTCACTGCCCCTCCCCTCACTCCACTCTCAGAGCCCCCACTGCAGATCTTTGGTTGGTGCTCTTCAGAACCTGTCACACTTTCCCAGGAAGAATTGGTCTCATTTTCTTAACAGTTTGCACAGGTCTTCCATGCCCTGTTGTGTTCCCCAGTGCGACATTTCTCTCATTGCATGTAGTGATCAGTTTAGGGTTTGTCGTCTGCTCTGTGTGGTGAGGCTGGAGGGCTCGAACTGTGTCTTGTCACTTTCTATATCTCTGGTGCTAAATCTCAAGGAGACGTACAATCTGTCTCTTTTTTAAAATTAATTGTTTGATCCCCTTCGCCCATATGGCCCAAAGTGACCTAGTCCATCATGAATTCCCCCAGGCCTCTGGTTCCTCCTTTTCCATTTACCCAGGTGCTCACCCCACGCACTGTCCTGTCCAGGAACTCTGATCTGCTCCACGTCCTTACTCAAGCCCTGTCACAGTGCCGTCTCTGACTCCCCTGATGTCACCAGTTGTGGTTTCCCTCATCTCCTCGGGTATTTAGGGATCACAGCATTCACTTGTACATTGCACTTGCCCCCCTGCCCTGCCCCCACCAACCGACTTCCTTCTCCAGGAACACAAATCCTACATAGTGAATTGTAAATTTTCAAGTATTACTCTGATCTGTCCTATGTCGGGGAGCTGGCTGGCGCCAGGGGGATGTGTGTCTGGCCCAGCTTTGGCACTGCTCCCTGTGAGTCTGGGTAAGTCCCCTCCCGACTCTGGGCCTTGGTTTAGCCCCTTGAAAATGTTAGGTTGTTTGCTTGATCACATCCGTTCTCTAGAGTTCTGTGTATCTGAAAATCAATGCAGCTGTGTATATTTTTCTTGATAAGCCCCGAGCTTATCCATGGGGCTCTGATCTTGAATAGCGCTTCAGTACAATATTTGATACAAATTTGAGCAAAATCCAGTGAGATATTTTTAAGCTATGTAAGTGTGATTTCTCCTCACTTCAACGAAGCATTATAATTTACATGACTATGTGTACATCTAAAGCGTCTGTCGTGGTTTTGACCTCTGTGACATTGTAGTCTTTACCAGGTGGTCAAAGCCATCCTCAGCTTAATGAAAACCAACTATGTGTTCCTAAAATTATGAAAGTTCAAAATGATAGTGGTCATTTCAGTTGACAGAAAAAACCGTTTGTGTTCAATTTTTTAGTCACCTCAGCAAATACTCTCTCCATTATCACTGCCTTTCTCAAAGCAGATCTTGAAGTGACAGAGCCTACTGTTTTGAATATAGTTGTCTGCCCTAATTTTTAAAAAGTCTCTAGTTGCAAAAATTACATTGTTGTTAAGGTTGAGAATGTATGAACTCAAGGCAGTCTGCAACTGTGGTGCCAAAGCTCCTTACATTGGTATTCAAACAATGTAACTTTGCTGTCAACATGTAGGATAGATACTTTCCCTCCCTCCCTCTCTTTCTTTTTGCTCTTTGTTCAGTGGTGGTGTTATGTGGATAAGGGAACACATTACTCCTTACACATCGTCTTTATACAACATACATTCAGGCTCAGATTCAACGGCTATCCACTGCTTGCTAACACCTTTTTGAGCATATGACATCTATCAGGTAGCTGCATAGGGTTTAGGTCTAGTTATTCATGGATTCTGCATAGGAGCTCAGCCTCTGATAAGATCTGTGACAATGCTCATCACTTACCTGTCTCTTCATATTCCTGTCTTGATATTCCATTTTTACTCTATAATTTTCTATCTTCATTTGGTTTTATGTTATTAAATACTTCATTGTAAACTGTTTCAACTCTTTTCTGGAACAGGGTGGCACAGAAACAAACCTCTAACTCTTCTCATCCTTCTTTTTTTCTTGGGGGAGGGTGGTTATTTCTGAATTTTATTTTTATTTTATTTTATTTTAAGTTATGGGATACATGTATAAGATGTGCAGGTTTGTTACACAGGTAAACGTGTGCCATGGTGGTTTGCTGCACCTATCAACCCATCACTTAGGTATTAAGCCCTGCATCCATTAGCTATTTTTCCTGGTGCTCTCCCTCTCCCCGCTCCACCCCCACAACAGGTCCCAGTGTGTGTTGTTTCCATCCCTGTGTCCATGTGTTCTCATTGTTCAGTTCACACTTGTAAGTGAGACTGCGTGGTGTTGGGTCTTCTGTTTCTGTGTTAGTTTGCTGAGGATAATGGCTTCCGCCTCCATTCATATCCCTGCAAAGGACATGATCACATTCCTTTTATGGCTGCATAGTATTCCCTGGTGTATATGTACCACGTTTTCTTTATCCAGTCTATCATTGATGGGCATTTGGGTTGATTCCATGTCTTTGCTATTGTGAATAGTGCTGCAATGAACACACACGTGCATGTATCTTTATAATAGAATGTTTTATATTCCTTTGAGTATAGACACAGTAATGGGACTGCTGGGTCAAATGGTATTTCTGGTTCTAGGTCTTTGAGGAATCACCACACTGTCTTCCCCTAACCAAATTTAAAACAGTTAACAATTTATAAAATAATGTATTCCTCTTTTCAAATTATCCAAATTCAATGAAACATTTCATGTGGAAACTAAAATTTGCTGGACAAAAATTGTACCTCACAGTTAACAGTCTGTTTCACTAACATTTGTGCATAAAACCTATATATCTGAAGGAAAAAATGCCTAAAAGCAAAGATAATATGAGGGTAGCCATGGGGAAAACAGAAATTGGCACCAAAATCCTTGAAAAGTATCCTAACCCATGCTGTTTCACGTTTACACTTTACTCAATTTACCTTTATCAGAGGGGCCAGAAACAATCAATTCAACTTCATTGACCCTATAATTTACAAAGGAATAGCGTATGTATTGGCTTTGGGGTTTCTAAGAAATAGTAAAAGGATAAATAGTGAATTGGTCACCTAATCGGGAAAGGTGGTTCCTTGGTAAGATGATAATTTCAGGTGTGAATGACCACAGTGTATTCCTCTGCCCACTCCTTCAGCCTCATAGCCTCAGGCAAGGTGGCCACTTCAATAGAACCCTGCAAAGTCAGAGGGCCTGAGTTCAAGCCCTAACGCCTTTGTCTCTCTGATTTACCCACTCTGACACAAGGCAGGCTTCTCACTTCTCAGAGTGTTTCCTCATTAGGAGTCTGATAATAATTCAGATATTACCTCCCAAGGGAAAAGAGGAAATAATATATACAACAATGCTTTATATAGTATACCTTGATATCCCTAAATCATTATATTTCTGGATGCTTTTCCTGAAGCAAATGTTTGGCTGGACTACCAAAGTCAGTAATTTCATAGGCTTTTCTCAAGTATTTGTCGTAACTACTGTCGTCTCCATTTTACCTAAAACATTAATTTTCCCATGAGAATACACCAGAGGTTCTATAATTGTACTGCTAGACTTAATTTCTCACCCTTTCCCCCTTAGTCTTTGAATAAAACAATTTCTATACATTTATTGAAAACTCTAAGTCTGAATTATTTGATAACATTAATGTTGATTTCAGATACAGATAGATATATTTCTTCAGCCAAGTCATGATATTTTGGTGTGGAAAACAATACTCCTAATTCTCTGTTTGTCCTTTCATCCTATGGTGAAAACTTCAAGCACACTATAATTTATTCATGCCTTACCGTAGTCCTTCATGCCTTTATACTCTTATTAAATGTCTTTTAAATTAATTTTTATTACATGGTAATACATGCACATAGAAAAAATTAAGAATTCCAAAGGTTATGAAATGAAATATAAGGTTTTGTGTCCTTCCCCACTCTTCTATTTCTACTCCCACTCTTAGCAGTTGAAGAATCCCTCCACAAAAATATCATGTCTATCTAAGCATGTCCACATGGATTTGGCTTCACATTATGGGCTCTGTCAACTAAAACTGTTCTGTGCTGTGGTCTTCTGGTCTAGCGATTATCCAGGCTGCATTTCCACAGGAGCACAGGAAATCTGCCCCACTCTGCCCAGCCCCCAACCAGGTTGTTCCCAACATCCCACAGAGAGTGCCCCCTACATCCTCCTCCAGGGTCCCCCTGGCCACCCTTGTCCCCAAAGCCCACCTGCCAGTCCTCCCACGTCCCACCCAATCCCCTCCCCCATCTCCCCACATCCCCACACCGCCCCTGTTCCCCAGACATCCCTTCCTGGTGGCCCTATATCCCACTCCAGGGTCCCCCCAACCCTCCCAACCCCTCATGCCCCCATATCCCCTGTGGTCCCCCCACACCCCCGTCTCGGTCCCTTCACATTCCACTGCAGGATCCTCCTAACACTCCCCTGTCCCCTCAGACCCCACTCCCTGCCCCCCCACTTCTCACTTCAGGGTACCCCCAAGCCCCTCTCCCGTCTCCCCACACGCCCCTCCTGGTCCCCTCTCCCCACTCCCAGCGCCTCCTCCGCAGGTGCTCACTGACCCCCGGCCTCGCCCGCTCCTCAGCTGCTCGCTGACCCCCGGCGGCCCCCACACCTCCGCAGGTGCGCACTGACCCCCAGACTGCCCCCTCCCCAGGTGCGCACTGGCCCCCGACTGCCCCCTCCCAGGTGAGCACTGACCCCCGGACCGCACCCTCTGCAGTTGCGCACTGACCCCCTGCCACCCCCTCCGCAGGTGGGCACAGACGCCCGGACTACCCCTTCCGCCAATGCGCACTGACCCCCAGATCGTCCCCTCCCAGGTGCGCACTCACCCTCCGCCACCCCCATCTCCGCAGGTGCGCACTGACCCCGGCCGCCCCCTCTGCAGCTGCACACCGACCCCCGGCCGCCCCCTCCCCAGGTGGGCACTGATCCCCCGACCGCCGCATCCCCGTGTGCGCCCTGACCCCGGGCCTCCCCCTCTTCAGGTGCGCACTGACCGCCGGCCGCCCCCTCCTCAGGTGAAGGCTGACCCCCTGACCCCCCCCCAGGTGGACACGGACCCTGGCTGCCCCCACCTCCTCAGGTGAAGGCTGACCCCCTGACCCCCCCCCAGGTGGACACTGACCCTGGCCGCCCCCACCTCCGCAGGTGAAGGCTGACCCCCTAACCCCCCCCCAGGTGGACACTGACCCTGGCCGCCCCCACCTCCGCAGGTGAAGGCTGACCCCCTGAACCCCCCTCCTCAGGTGGGCACGGACCCTGGCCGCCCCCTCCTCAGGTGAAGGCTGACCCCCTGACCCCCCCTCCCCAGGGGGACACTGACCCTGGCCGCCCCCACCTCCGCAGGTGCGCAGTGACCCCCGGACCCTCCCTCCTCAGGCGCTCGCCGATCCCGGGCCTCCCCCTCCTCAGGTGCGCACTGACCCCTGGCGGCCGCGGGAGGGAACTGCCAGATTTTGTCTTAAGCTCCTGGGCTTGGTCTTTTTTAACACTTTTCCCAACTATTGTTTTTCAGATTTGCCAAGTTGTTTCTCATTAAACCTAAACCAACTCTTCAGCCGCGCCGCCTCGGGGACCGTAAGCCCCGCTCTGGTGGACGCCTGGAGTCGCCGCCTCCCGAGAGTCCACACCCCATCTTGTCTCCAGCCTGCGCTGGGTGGGTATCACAGCGCACTATTGAATAATTGGTTCGGGAGACGCAGAAAAATTGTTCTCTTCTGGGGGTGGATTTGCTGGAAAATGCTTTAAAATATGAATTTTTAATGAGTGTATAAATGCCAGCCTCCCTCATGTCATACAGGAAGAAGCTGAGGTCTGGAGGTCTTCCTCTGAAGGAGCACAGTCCAGGGAGCCACAGAAGGCTGCCTTGAGGAGTGGAACTGCTTCAGGGATCAATGCAAAGTGTCCCCTGTCAGGAGAAAAACCACTCAGAGGAGGTAAAGGCCCATGAGCCATTCCTGAGCTGCTAGAACAAATTTCCTAAGATGGTTGAATAGCAGGAAACAGAGACAAAAACAAAAAACAGAAAACACCAGAGGCAGGTTACACAAGAAAGCTCTCCTTAAGCAGGGAACACAGAAAATAAACATAATTAGCACTACATTCCTGGAGACATATCGTGATTACACAGACATCAAACTCAACTGGGCTTCTTGTGTGGGATGCGCCCTTTTTAAAATTTTGATTGTATTTATGAGACATTTAAAAAGTTAAACCTCTCATAAAATGTTGGAGAAAAAAGATAAGGGCCTTGTGAAAGTTTATTTGAACATGTAAATGCAGCTCTTAACACCTTAAGGTAAATGCCAGTAACTTTAGTTAAGGGTTTGCACTGGGGAGAAGTTATTTCATTTAGTAAAAATAACCACAATCTTTTTCCTAATCTTCACACAATTAAAACAAATACAGCTGCTGCAACACTTTACACAATTCCTACGTACTAGAACAAAAACAAAATCTAAATGCACTTGTATTTATAAACCTTGGGTCAAGCTGTCCATAAAAAAATCCCCCTACTTTTCCCTGTAAGTTTCTAAAATGTCACTTACTATGTCCCAGCATCTGTAGTTATTTTAAAAATTTTAGAAAACTTTTTGTGCATCATCATAATTTCTATTCCCTGGCTCTTTGGCTTAGTGGCAAAAAACCAAAACCATCAAAAATTATGTTTATCTTGAAGTCACCCAGTTTGTCCCAAGGATGTAGACAGCGCTGCATCCACTGGCCCCCGGCAGTAGGGACATGTGAAAGATCGCAGCAGCCATGTGTCTATGCAGTCAAGGTGAAAGAAGTGTTTGCATGGCAGACATCGAATGGGGTCCCCACAAACAAATTCCAGTAAACAGATCACACACTCTGGCATCTCCTCTTCTGATTTATCTCTTCCAGGGTCATAAACTTCTTCAGGCAGACACTGTAGAAGGCTTAGTCTTTGAGCTGTTCTAACTTGTTCTTCTTCAGTCAGCAGTATTGCTAACAGAGGCTGGCCAGGTGCTGGGTGATAGACTGGAACTGGAGCTTGTTCCATATGTGGCAGTAGGGGCCTAAGATCCTGCCCTGTCGACGGTTGCACAATAGTGTCATCTGAGGTGGGGCGTCTCAGGCAGTTTCCCATCTTTGTAGGTGCAGGTGGGTGATCAATGCACTCTCTGACAGAGTTCTCAACGTAGCCTTAACTCACTGCTTTCACCTAAGGTTCAGATAAAAATAAAAAGTAAATTATTTAAACTTTAATTACACGTGACGCTCTCCTTGAAGATCACAGATATAGATATAGATTTACCTAGTTATATACATATCTATTTGTCTAAATAACTCTCCCAATAACCCTGCTGTTGGTGTTATTTTCAGTGTAAGAAGTGAGCTGAATGTGGGCTCAGAAGGCTTTAGTAACATGACAACATTTCAGAGCTCCAAAGTGGGTCCAGTACATCTTTTTCTTTTTCTTTTTTCTTTTTTTTTTTTTTTTTTTTTTTGAGACGGAGTCTCGCTCTGTCGCCCAGGCTGGAGGGCAGTGGCGCGATCTCGGCTCAATGCAAGTTCCACCTCCCGGGTTCACGCCATTCTCCTGCCGAAGCCTCCCGAGTAGCTGGGACTACAGGCGCCCGCCACCACGCCCGGCTAATTTTTTGTGTTTTCAGTAGAGATGGGGTTTCACCGAGTTAGCCAGGATGGTCTCGATCTCCTGACCTCATGATCCACCCGCCTTGGCCTCCCAAAGTGCTGGGATTACAGGCGTGAGCCACCGCGCCCGACCTTTGTTTGTTTTTTTATATGGGATCTCCCTCAGTTGCTCAGGCCGGAGTGCAGTGGTGCAATGATATCTTACTGCAGCCTCCAAATCTTGGGCTCAGACAACCCTCCCATCTCAGTCTCCCTAGCAGCTGGGAGTATAGACCTGTGCCACGTGTCTGGTAAGATTTTAAGTCTAGTCTAATTGTAACACTGCTCACACACTCACATTTCTAAATATGGTCACCTTGAGAAGTACATACTATACCTAGGTTTTACTGTTGATTCCAGATTTTAAAAAATCAGAGGCCACACCCCATAATCATAGCCTTCTCTCCTTTGGGGATGTTCACAGAATCATTTCCAATGTCCACAGTTTTCTACCGCAGGGACCCTAGAGTTAGTTGAACCTAGTTTCTTTCCATTGGCCCTCAAATTTCATCATTTTCACTGCTTAGCTTAATCACCATGACGCTCTTCAATATTGACCAGCAGCATCAAAAATTATCTGTCCATTTGACCTCTTACTACCTCCTACTATCTGATCTTACTCTGGATCTAAACACCAATCTTAGTGGCTTCATATTTTTTCCTATTCGGCAGCCAGTTCTGACAGAGAACATGACTAGGAGATTGATCCTGGCCTAATACGGACACACAATACCCAGTAACTCTCAAATATATCTTGCAATCCCACAGTATCTTGCTATCTAAATTATTCTTTTAGCTCCATGAATACATCAAATCTACTCCATGACTTTTGCATCACGCACATACTTACCTTTATCATACTTTACACAGATGGAATTTCCTCCTCCTACCAAGATGAATTAAATTTTCTCACCAATTACCTTAGCTCACTGCCATGAAGTCTGCAGTTCTACTTTAATCCATACCCATCCATTACTACTTCTTGCCTATAAAACTGAAATATTTTCTTCCCTTGGCATGTTTAATTGATTCAAATTCAAGCTTTATCTCCTGCCCTTAGGAGCTTCATGTTACCACTTATATAGTAAATCTCCTTTACCAGCTCCTTCTACTCTTCCCAATCTATCATCATGAAGCTTTTGAAACAAAAACCACATCTAAACCTATTTTCTCTCTAGTATCTGCTTTCCTGTGCTTTCCCTCATAGTTGAACTGAAAATTGAAAGTCAAAATGGTAACATTTCCTCATCCCCTCTCACCCTTTGACTTACTGAGACCACCAATGGTCTGTTCATTAATATGTCTTGCCAACAACACCAATAATTGTTCCATAAAATACCTAATGGGTGTTCCTTAGTCTTTTACTTGGAACAGAAAAGAACCAAACTATTCTCTCCTTTTCATACTACTGTTTTAAAATTACTCTGTAGTCACTACTCCCCTAAGTTCTCTGCAAATAGCACAAATGATATTATTTAAATGACCCAGAATTCCATCCTAGACTCTCTTCTCTCTTCTTTTTGTACCCTATCTTGGCACTCTCACACATGTATTCAATTGCTTCCATTTCTTCCGTTGCTATCTCCAAACTGACAGTGACAGATTCTTGTCTGGATTCTACTTCTGAGATCATTTACACTTGCATAGTTGCAGTCAATGAAATGTCTGAGGATATTACCTCCTCCACAAAACCATACAAAAATACACCCCCTAGTCTCCGATATTTCTTAATGACAACACCAACGCATCCACGAACCAATCTTTTACAGGGCCCCTAAGAATTGCATAATCAAAATTAAGCATGACTTTATCTGTTCCCTCTTTACTATCAGCCTTCATCCACATATACCTCCACCCCAATACACACAAACACATTTTTTCTTCATTCTCCCTTTCCCACAGTCTAAACTTATATGTCACTCCTCGGAGAACTATTCTCTGGGTCTCAGCTTATTATACTTATTTATGTACTGTATACTTCCACTAATCTAATTGCAGAAAATCAACTTTTTTTTTTTTTTTTTTTGAGACACGGTCTCTCTCTTTACTCTAGGCTGGAGTGCAGTGGCATGATCACAGCTCAGTGTAACCTCCATTTCCTGGGCTCAAGGTAGTCCTCCTGCCTCAGCCTTCCAAGCAGCTAGGACTATAGGCATGAGCCACCACCATGCCCAGGTAACTTTTAAATTATATTTTGTAGAGATGGGACCTCAGTATGTTTGCCATGCTGGTATCCAGCTTCTGGCCTCAAGTGATCCTCCCGACTCAGCCTTCTAAAGTGGCAGGATTACAGGCATGAACCAACATGCCCAGCCCAGAGAAATCAACTCCTGTGTGCCAAGATTAGGTAAGTTTTTCTCTGACCATTACATATGAACTAGAATTCGAGAGAAATTACATGTCCACAGTAACCTAAACTCCTCTCAGAGAGCTTGCCACCAAATACCTGTAGTCCAATTAAACAATAATTTTCACGTTAAAATTTATTGACGAAAATAAATGGGATGCGTCTGCCCTGGTAAAAATTTCTCCAGTACTCACCAGAAACCAAACAGGAAAATCCAATGGAGCCAGGTCTTTATGGAGGTCGCTGTCACCACACTCCGGTGCTCAGAGCTTCTTCCACTCTCCTGGGAAAGCACCATGTGAGTGGTGAGCCCTCTTTTTATGCAGTTGATAACCTCATCAATTATATATGCTAATCAGTCCTATCATCTCATCAACTGTATAATCCAAGGGACCCACCTGAATAACTTGGCTCCTGTTAAGCCAAATCTAATCAAGGCTAGCCTCTTTAGCAAAACATTTCTCCTCAGGTAAATTGTGTAGATCCAATTAAGGAAAGTCAATCATGTCCCCAGATTCTGCACCCAAGTTACTCAGATGTGGTGACAGTGACCTCCATAAAGACCTGGTTCTATTAAATTTTCCTCTGTTTGGTTTCTGGATTTAGGGCCACAGGAAATCTTGGGATTGCAGTTTTGCTTACTGCACGTAAACCTTGAACAAGTCTCCAACTTGTCCATTAGATTTTTGATTGGTAGGATTGGAATGTTGTAGGGAGTAGTGAAGGAATTATAAGTCCTCATTTAATTAATTCCTCTATAATTGGTGAAAGTCCCTGAACTGCCTCCAATTTTAGTGGATATTGGGAAAATTTAGGCAATGGCTTAGAATAGTCTATTTGATATTTTATAGGTTTAATTCTTTTAATAATTTAATTAATAATTTTGTGTTCTGGAGAATCCGGAAATTCCAAGATGATTTCTCCCTTGAAACAGAATGTTATGTGTTCTCTCAACTCAGAAAGTAAATGTCATTCCATCACATTTCCTGGGGCAGTATCACATAGTAGGAAAGCATGTTTTTCTAAAATGATCCAAGCATGATATGGACAGGTTGAGACATGGGGATTCCCTGGATAGGATTTGAAACACCCATCACAGAAGTATTTTTTTACTCAGAGGGATACTTTGATTTATTAGAGTTGTTATTAAAGTGAATACAGTGACTCCAGTGACCACAAATAGTGTACAAGAATCTTCATCATCTTAGTATTAGTTAATAGCTAAGATTCGGAAGCAACCTGTGTCCATCAACAGATGAATGGATAAAGAAAATGTGTTATGTATACACAGTGGAGTACTATTCATCTATAAAAAACTAAGAGATCCAGTCACTTGCAACAATATGGATGGAACTGAAGATCTTTATATTAAGTGGATTAAGCCAGGCACAGAAAGACAAACATCACATGTTCTCACGTATTTGTGGGAACTAAAAATGAAAACAATTGGGCTGGGCGTGGTGGTTCACAACTGTAATCCCAGCACTTTCGGAGGCTAAGGTGGGGGTGGGGGCAGATCACGAGGTCAAGAGTTTGAGACCAGCCTGGCCAACATGGTGAAACCCCATCTCTACTAAAAATACAAAAATTAGCTGGGCATGGTGGCGGGCACCTGTAATCCCAGCTACTTGGGAGGCTGAGGTAGGAGAATTGTTTGAACCCAGGAGGCGGATGTTGCAGTGAGCCAAGTTCACGCCATTGTACTCCAGCCTAGGCAACAGGGTGAGACTCTGTCTCAAAAAAAAAAAAAAAAGAAAGAAAGAAAAGAAAACAATTGAACTCATGGACATAAAGAGTAGAAGGATGGTTACCAGAGGTTGGGAAGGGTAGTGGTAGAAGGGGGAGCTGGCAGGGGGGAGGTGGGAATGATTAATGGGTACAGAAAATAGAATGAATAAGACCTAATATTTCATAGCACAATAGGGTGACTATAGTCAATAATAACTTAATTGTACACTTAAAAGTAATTAGAAGAGTGTAATTGGATTGTTTGTAACTCACAGGATAAATGGTTGAGGGGATGCATTACCCCATTCTCCATGATGTGCTTATTTTACATTGCATATCAGTACCATAACATCTCATGTACCCCATAAGTATATATACCTACTATGTACCCACAATATTTTTTTTAATTTCAAAAAAAAGGTATTACAGGAAGTTCCTCACCAGAGAATTCCTCAGGTCCTCCACCCCTGCAGGGTGGATTGTTGTCAAACCCTCGGGGACTTTCTCTGATGGGAATACTGTGTGGCCCAAAAGGAGCCAGCCTATTAGAGGACTACTCCAAGAGCAGATGACATGTCTTCCAGGGACCTCATTGTTTACAATGAATGCAGCCATCTCGAGGTATAGAGCTTACCCAGGTTTCCTTTGTTTAGGACATATCAGTTTTGAGTTATAACAGATATAAGGAGGTCTGTTCCTGTAGCTTTTGTACTTGTAAAGATATTAGTTTATTAGCCTGTTTATTCTTTCTTTTAGCATTTTTTATGATTCTAAAAGTCTTTCAAAGCGCTTACTCGTAGTGACCAATTGGGTCATATCAATGACTTTCTATCCAATCTTATGTTTTTTAATCTGGTCTCCAAGCTCTGTTAAGAGTTTATTCATTTAAAAGGCTGTAAGGCATTTCAGTTGTTTCATTATGTATTTTAAGCCTAGAATGGTTTTATATATAAGATTTTAGTCCAGCTCTGTAATAAGGAACTGGTTTATCCTTTTTGTTTGTTTTCATGACTCGATAATGGACCAGGCAATTTTCTGTGGGAAGACAATGGGAATAGCATTTAAGAGGGTTTTTTTTTTCCTGATATCCTTTGTGCCACTCCTGTAGGAGTAGCTTTTGAGGGAACAGTAATACTGTTATAAATTTTGTTTTTTAATCTTTTTGAGACTGGAGTGCAGTGGCACAATCATGGCTCAGTGCAGCCTTGACCTCCTGGTCTCAAGCCATCCTCCCATCTCAGCCTCCTGAGTACCTGGTACCACAGGCACATGCCACCACATTCAGCTAACTTTGTTTTCTGTTGTAGAGACATGGTCGCACTATGTTGCCCAGGCTGGCCTGGAACTCCTGGGCTCAAGAGATCCTCCCACCTCAACCTCCCGAAGTCCTGGGATTACAGGTATGAGCCACTGTGCTAATCCTAACCACGGTTAAAATCTGACAAAAGTTCCCAATTCATAAGAAAATTTGGTTATATTTATTATATGTAGCATTTTATAACAACCAGAATCATGTCTTACAGCTTTGCATCAGGTCCCTGAGATCTTTATAAGTTGTATATAATCTTAGAATACTTACATTTATAACATATTTATATGAATATAACTTTAGAAGATATTTAACAAAACAAAAGTATGGCTGACAACAGATTTTCATCAATATATATGATTTTTGGAACATTTATGTCAGGAACATTTATATCAATAACATACCTATAAGTGTAACTGAAAGATCTTCCATCACTTATTACTTGATATCCTTTGTGCCCTGTGTGGTAAAATGTCGCCCATATATTTTACCAGATAAGTCTAACCATTTAATCTCTATAAGGTAAGAGGCAATATTTTTGAGGGTTTCCAGGGGTCAACCTTCAAAATCCCGAAGTTAGTTTTAGGCCAAAAAGACTTAATATAGGTTTTTAATCTTGAAGAAACCTGCCAAAGATGTCAGAAGACTCAAAACACTCAATCAAACAGAATCAGGGGTCACTGTTAAATAATAGCAATACAGAAGGTTACATAGATGTAAAAACATTAACCCTTTTATAGCTCTTTTCCTAACTAATCTAAAACCCAATTAAGACAAGGAAGGAATTGCCTTGATAACATGTACAATCTTTATTTTTGTCTTTTAGGCTAGTTGTGAGAAAGGTAAAGAAAAATTTCCTATAGTGTGATTGCTTTTGTTTATAAGAAACCCATTTAGATTTCTTGGAAGTTAAACCTAATGAAAAGGTTACTTGAATTTCATCAGACAGGTAGACAGTGTCCACGGCTATGAGTATATAGAGAAATGCAACCGAAAAACTGGTACCTTGGACAGGGAAATCCATGGCTGTTAGTAACCACATGAAAAGTTACTGGCTGGGCGCGGTGGCTCGCGCCTGTAATCCCAGCACTTTGGGAGGCCGAGGCGGGTGGATCACAAGGTCAGGAGATCGAGACCATCCTGGCTAACATGGTGAAACCCGGTCTCCACTAAAAATACAAAAAATTAGCCGGGCGTGGTGGCGGGCTCCTGTAGTCCCAGCTACTCGAGAGGCTGAGGCAGGAGAATGGTGTGAACCCGGGAGGCGGAGCTTGCAGTGAGCCCAGATCGCGCCACTGCACTCCAGCCTGGGCGACAGACCGAGACCCCGTCTCAAAAAAAAAAGAAGAGAAAAGAAAAGAAAAGTTATCTGACTGTATGGAATAATTTTGATATATCAAGAAAAACGGGCCAGCTTTGGTGGCTCACGCCTGTAATCTCAGCACTTTGGGAGGCTGAGGTTGGAGGGTCTCTTTACCCAGGAGTTTGACATCAGCCTGAAACATAGTGAGACCCCATCTCTATGAAACTAGAACTAAAAACTTAGCCAAGCATGGTTGGTGTTGTGGGAGGGACCAGGTGAGAGGTAATTGAATAATAGAGGCAAGTCTTTCCCGTGCTGTTCTTGTGATAGTGAATAAGTCTCATGAGATCTGATGATATTATAAGGAGGAGCTTCTCTGCACAGCTCTGTCTTTGCCTGATGCCATCCACCTAAGATGTGACTTGCTCATCCTTGCCTTCTGCCATGATTGTGAGGCCTCCCCAGCAAGGTGAAACTATAAGTCCATTTAACCTCCTTTTTTTTGTAAATTGCCCATCCTCGGGTATGTATTTATCAGCAGGGTGAAAATAGACTAATATTATAAATTGGTACCAGTAGAGTGGGATGGTGCTGAAAAAATAGCCGAAAATGTGGAAGCGACTTTGGAACTCGGTAACAGGCAGAGGTTCTAACAGTTTGGAGGGCTCAGAAGAAGACAAGAAAATATGAGAAAGTTTGGAACTTCCTAGAGACTTGATGAATGGCTTTAACCAAAATGCGGATAATGATATGGACAATGAAATCCAGGCTGAGGTGGTCTCAGATGGAGATGAGGAACTTGTTGGGAACTGGAGCAAAGGTGGCTTTTGTTATGTTTTATCAAAGAGACTGCCAGTATTTTGCCCCCGCCCTAGAGATATGTGGAACTTTGAACTTGAGAGGGATGATTTAGGGTATCTGGCAGAAGAAATTTCTGAGCAGTATATCATTCAAGATGTGACTTGGGTGGTGTTAAAGGCATTCAATTTTATAAGGGAAGCACAGTATAAAAGTTCAGAAAATTTGCAGCCTGGTGGGTTACTGACACAGTGCAGGCCCCTCCCACTGCGGCAGCTGAGCCTACTGGCAGGGCAGCCATAGTGTCACCACCTTATGTGACACCCACCTGTCTGACTGGCCGACCAGTGGGTTACAGGCCCCCCCTGTGCAGGACCCACCCTTTGTGGCAGTTAAGTCCACCCAAGCTGAGGTATCCTGGCGAGATCTTCACCTGGGTCCCATGGGGAAAATCAGTCAGCACCATATGTGCTCTGGTGGACAGGTGAGTGTCCCTTATGCCCCCATCGCCATAGTATCAGGAGAACTAGGAAATGAAATAAACGTCTTTGGCTAGAGCATGTCCTTGTCACCCCTTCCCTGAGTACTTTCTCTTCGGACTCCATTGTGTTGTTCCATTAGTTATTTTATTTTCAGTCCTAAAATGTGTGCAGTCTTATGTTTGGTTTTACCTTTCTGTTAATTGTTTGGGGACGATTAAGGCAGGATACTTGGTTGTGAGAGATCCCCACTGTTTTTACTTCGGGATGCTAGAGTCATGTTGTTTGCTGACCCCAATTTGGTCTTGGATTGACTGTTGGCCGCATTCTGGGTGCCCCAGGGTTTTCAGGATTTGGTGAAGGGACCCTTGTTGGCTGAAACTTGGGCCTTCTGAGTTTTCAACATTGGTATTCTGGCCACCCCCCATATGATCTGGAGTATTTGTGTTGACATTCCCTCTAGGATTCTGAGGGATATATGAGTTATAGCCCTCTCCCTAGGGGAGTATTGGTCTTGCCCTTTTCTGCCCTATAAGTTAGAAGTATTTTCCTAATAGCAAGCTGCTAACCCTTCCTTTATGCTGTCTTCCAACTAGCTTGCTCAAGCCACTCTTGGTCCAAGGAAATGGGAATTCCCAGGCCCCTGGCATAATGGAGAGCCACCTACAGTGGTAGGCAATTGGCCACGTGAATATTTTTTTCAGTGTCTCTGCTACGGGATAGGTTACCCAGCAGGTCAGGGCCTCTGAGGTCTCCCCTTGGGCAGCACTGTTTACCTCTTCCATTTCTCCCTTCCACAGTCCCTCCCTTCCATTTTTGAGCCCACCTCTCTACCAACCGTTGCTGTCTGTGGCATTTAGGTTCAAAATCCAACTGCCCATTTGAAGCTCATAATCCACTTTTTAAAAATTATGCTTTAAGTTCTAGGGTACACGTGCACAACCTGCAGGTTTTTACACAGGTATACACGTGCCATGTTGGTTTGCTGCACCCATCAACTTGTCATTTACATGAGGTGTTTCTCCTAATGCTATCCCTCTCCCAGCCCCCACCCTTGTCAGTCCCCAGTGTGTGTGTGATGTTCCCCACCCTGTGTCCATGTGTTCTCGTTGTTCAACTCCCACCTATGAGTGAGAACATTTGGTGTTTTGTTTTCTGTCTTTGTGATAGTTTGCTTAGAATGATGGTTTCCAGCTTCATCCATGTCCCTGCAAAGGACATGGACTCATCCTTTTTTATGGCTGCATAGTATTCCATGGTGTATATGTGCCACATTTTCTTAATTCAGTCTGTCACTGATGGACATTTGGGTTGGTTCCAAGTCTTTGCTATTGTGAATAGTGCCACAATAAACATATGTGTGCATGTGTCTTTATAGTAGCATGATTTATAATCCTTTGGGTATATACCCAGTAATGGGATCACTGGGTCAAATGGTATTTCGTGTTTTAGATCCTTGAGGAATTGCCACACTGTCTTCCACAATGATTGAACTAATTTACACTCCCACTGACAGTGTAAAAGCCTTCCTATTTCTCCACATCCTCTCCAGCATCTGTTGTTTCCTGACTTTTTAATGATCACCATTCTAACTGGTGTGAGATGGTATCTCATTGTGGTTTTGACTTGCATTTCTCTGATGACCAGTGATGATGAGCATTTTTTTCATGTGACTGTTGGCTGCATAAATGTCTTCTTTTTAGAAATGTCTGTTCATATTCTTTGCCCACTTTTTGATGGGGTTGTTTTTTTTCTTGTAAATTTGTTTAAGTTCTTTGTTGATTCTGGATATTAGTCCTTTGTCGGATAGGGTAGATTGCAAATATTTTCTCCCATTCTCTAGGTTGCCTGTTCACTCTGATGGTAGTTTCTTTTGCTGTACAGGAGCTCTTTAGTTTAATTAGATCCCAATTGTCTATTTTGGCTTTTGTTGCCATTGCTTTTGATGTTTGAAGGGGTGGCCTTCCCCTCCACACCTGTGGGTATATCTCACCAGGTGGGATGAGAGATTGAGAAAAGAAATAAGGCACAGAGACAAAGTATAGAGAAACAACAGTGGGCCCAAGAGACCGGCACTCAGCATACAGAGGACCTGCACTGGCACCGGTCTCTGAGTTCCCTCAGTTTTTATTGATTATTATTTTCATTATCTCAGCAAAAGGAATGTGGCAGGAGAGCAGGGTGATAATAAGGAGAAGGTCAGCAAAAAACATGTGAGCAAAAGAATCTATGTCATAATTCAGTTCAAGGGGAGGTATATGCCTGGATGTACACGTGGGCCAGATTTATGTTTCTCTCCACCCAAACATCTCAGTGGAGTAAAGAATAACAAGACAGCATTACTGCAAACATGTCTCGCCTCCCACCATAGGGGGGGGTTTTCTCCTATCTCAGAATTGAACAAATGTACAGTCGGGTTTTATACTGAGACATTCAGTTCTCAGGGGCAGGCAGGAGACAGTGGCCTTCCTCTATCTCAACTGCAAGAGGCTTTCCTCTTTTACTAATCCACCTCAGCACAGACGCTTTACAGGTGTCGGGCTGGGGGACGGTCAGGTCTTTCTCATCTCACGAGGCCACATTTCAGACTATCACATGGGGAGAAACCTTGGACAATACCCAGCTTTTCAGGGCAGAGGTCCCTGCAGCTTTTCGCAGTGCATTGTACCCCTGGTTTATTGAGACTAGAGCATGGCAGTGACTTTTACCAAGCATACTGTTTGTAAACATTTTGTTATCAAGGCACATCCTGCACAGCCCTAGATCTCTTAAACCTTGATTCTATACAACACATGTTTTTGTGAGCTCAAAGTTGGGTCAAATTGGCTGGGGCAAAGTTACAAATTAACAACATTTCAGCAAAGCAATTGTTTAAGGTACGGGTCCAAATTGAATTTCTTATGTCTTGCCTTTCTACATAGACACAGTAATAGTCTGATCTCTATTTCTTTTCCCTACAATGTTTTAGTCATGAAGTCTTTGCCCACGCCTATGTCCTGATTGGTATTGGCTAGGTTTTCCTAATCTACTTTTGTAACACCTTGGCAACTATAGAAAGTGGGAAATGAAAAGGGAAAAGTAAGTATGCATTTGCTAAACTTAGGCTAACTAAAACCCCTTGTAGTGAGCCTTACTAGACATGGGGACAACAGTAAGCATTCAAAAAGACTCGCCACTCGGGTGTCATTTAGGCCATTGGAGTAGCTTCAAATTATTAGACAGGTTGAAAAAGAAAAACCTTGTTTACTATTGCAATAATGTTTGGATTCAATAAAAATTGATAAACCAACATATTTATTCTAGACACGGTTCTTTACATTATAATGATATCATACAGTTAGATTTGTTGTGTGAAAAGGAAATAAAATGGTAAGAAGTTTGCTATGTGCAGGCTTTTATTTCCCTCTACCAGGATCCTAATCTAAGGGCTAGCTGTAGAATGTGTCTGAAGCTGCACCAGATACCCTAGATGACCCCCTTTTAGCTGTTCCTCTGAGATCTGTGCTCCCACTTCAGAGCCTCCCCAGTCTCCTACTTTTGAGGGGGACCCCACTAGTTCTTTGGTGCAGAATTACACTCCAAAGTCATCAGGAACCCCTCCCACTTATCCAACAAGCCCAGGCCCCTATTCCCCGCTGCCTGAAGAAGCCAGGTTCAAAAGGCCCTCCAAGCATATGGAAACAAAGTATTCCCCCCTCCCCTATTCAACCAGGAGATTAATAAAAGAATTAACCCCCCTATTCAACCAGGAGATGCAGTTTTGCTGAAAACTTGGAAAGAAATATCCCCTGAAGATCAACTACAACCAAAATGGAAGGCCCACTATCAGGTTTTATTGAGTACTCCCACCACTGTGAAACTTCAGGGAAGAACCAGTTGGGTATACCTGTCCATGATTAAACCTGTTTCTGAGTCACAGGCACAAAAAGAGGACATCATGACCTACATCTATGAGTTTTTGGAAGACCTCTGGTACCTATTTAAAAGATTCAACACTCAGCTAAAAGTGGAAATGTGATGCTGTGGGTGGGAATAGGAGCTTAATTTTTCTCTTCTTCTTAATTGAACTTCTTTTATGTTGCTTTAGCCAACTTCTGCAAAACACCTGTTTTGTCCTTGTTGGGTATAGAGACCATGCTAATGCCTAGCTGGACACCATGTTGTCACTGTTGATGTTTGCTCTTCCAATTACCCTGATCCAGTGTGGGTGAGAACATAACTCTATAGTAAAGATTTCTAAGATTATAGCATCAGGGAATCATCTTCACAGTTGTTAGATTTGTCATCAACATCCCCAGGATAGAGAGTTATATCTTCTGGCTTACCTGGAAAATCTCATGACCATCCCCCCTGGCCTCCTAACTAACCATAGCAATCCAGAAATAATCAAACCCCTACTAGTTAAGTGCAGCTCTCACCCACTTAATGTATTCCACTTGAACCCCTCCTCCACCACTATTCCCTGGACCTGGGAAGTTAGATATCCATATCTCCAGTGCACAAATGATTCTATCCTTTGCTCTCACGTCTGTGTTAATGACACAAAAGTGGAGTGATGCTCTCTGATCCAACTATAGTTGTCAAGTTTCCAAGGCTGCAGTAAGTGGGATTCCACTTGTAAGTGAGAAGAAAACATATATGGTGATTTCTGGATCAGAACATACAAAGGAGAAATGACTGCCCAGTCCAGGAAGGTGGAAGTACTGCCCACTTCTGGGAAACAAAGATTATCTGACCACCCCCACTGGAACAGGGAGAAAATATCTCTATAGACCCAACTTGACAGCAAAGAATAAACATCATACCCCATAGGGCTTCTGTTTGTGGCCATGAACGGGAATAAATCAGAATCTGTAACCACTCCCAACTCTAGGGAGTCACCTGTTCTTTTAGGAGTAGCTTTTCTTTGTCAAGTACTTGGAACAGAAGTGAATGTACATTGCCCCCCCTTGACTCACCAGGGGTCACTGTCTATAACCCCAATAGACCCAAGAATACCAGAAGTAAGCAAGCGATAGGATTAATTCTGGCAGAAATGAGGGCAGTGATAGGATTAGCAGCACCCTGGGGCAGCTTTGTCTACCATGACTTAACTCTAAGGAACTTGACTCAAACCCTTAGAAAGCTTAGCCACTATCACAGGTCAGGCATTAAAGGGAAATCAAGTCCTTAGACTCTTTGGCAAATTTAGTTCTCTATAAGAGACTAGTGTTGAATTATTTACTAGCTGAACAAGGAGGAGTCTGTGAAGTTATTAGTAAAACCTGCTGCATGTATATTAACAAATCTGGACAAGTTGAGATTAACATTCAAAAGATCTATGAGCAAGTTACCTGGTTACATAATCAGGGCACTGACTCCCAACTGTATCTGGTCATCTATGAAAAGTACCTTCCCAAGTCTCACTGGTCTTTACCTCTCCTAGGACCTTTGATAGCTATCTTACTATTCTTTGTCACTTCCTTGTTTAACCTCTTAGTAAAGTTTGTGTCTTCTAGATTACAAAACTTCCAGGTAAAGACAATGCTGGCAGAAGAATTCCAACCATCCTGTTTACTGACCCAGAGAATGAAAAAGTGTCCTGCCTGTGGGTCCCTTAGTTGAGGTACCCAGGGATTTTTCTTTTTTCTTTTTTTTTTTTTTTTGAGACGGAGTCTCGCTCTGTCACCCAGCCTGGAGTGCAGTGGCATGATCTTGGCTCACTGCAAGCTCTGCCTCCCAGGTTCATGCCATTCTCCCACCTCAGCCTCCCGAGTAGCTGGGACTACAGGCACCCGCCACCATGCCCAGCTAATTTTTTGTATTTTTTTTAGTAGAGACGGGGTTTCACTGTGTCAGCCATGATGGTCTCCATCTCCTGACCTTGTGATCTGCCCGCCTCGGCTTCCCAAAGTGCTGGGATTACAGGCATGAGCCACCGTGCCCGGCCTGTACCCAGGGATTTTTACTCCTCCAGTGCTAGGCAGGGCCTATGCCCATAAGCTCAGCAGGAAGCAGTTACAGAATACAGACTTCTGCCCTTCTACAGCACCCTTAAGATTAAGGAGGAATATCTAATCTCTGAGGAGAGGATGAGGTAGGGGGTGGGACTTGACTCCAGAGGTAGGGCTCAGACACTGGACCAGATTGAGGAGTAGCTAAAACAAAGCCATAGCAAAAGCAACTTTCCAGAGATACCCACCAGTCTGCCATATCTATTTACCACTGCCATGGCAATACCCAGGGGTTACCTCCCTTTCCATGGCAATGACCTGATGACTCAAAACTTACTAGCCCTTATCTAAAAATTTCTGCAGGAACCACTTCTTAATCTGATATCAAAGGAAATCTGGCTGTGCATGTGTGTGCTCTTACTATGGGTATCTTATACCTCGGCATCAACACAGAAACCCAGGACTGGGAGCAGGGACACATGTGGCACAGGGAGAAAATACACTGACTTCTGTCACAGGCCAAAAGAGCCGGGCCTTATGGTCGCATGTGGTAAATGAGGCAGCTGACACCAATGGATTTAATGTGATGTTAAGCTGTGAACAGTGGAGAACTTTTTCGTATAGAAATAGTCATTATTGTGAAAATTCTGATTTAATTATTTCACCCATAAAAATAGAATAAGCATTATTTGGCTTAAAATATTTGAGTAAAAAATTTTTGTTCCCAGCATGACTGTGGATGTTATTGGACCAACCCACCATTAACAGTAACAAAACTTAAACGAAATACATGAAACAGCTGCTTTAGGCATGAGGGTAGCCTGTTCGGACAGGATTTTCTGAGGTAGAATTCATGAGAAAGGGGAGAGTCAATGAAGTATCACACTGGATTTTCTCAAGCACTTGAAAATTAACATGAAGGGAACATAAGGTCCCAGAAGAAAGATGGCCTGTCTAGGCGGAGGAAAAATAAGCTGACATTTTTGTTTTGTGCAAAATAGTGGGGTTTCTGCTTCTGGGTAGGATGGAGTGAATAAAGATGAAACAAAAAAAGAAAAAAAAAACAGATTAATTTAAAGTGTAAGCTTTAGAGGCTAGAGAGGAATATATAAGCTAAGATTCCATAAATAGCCCTTGTGAGAAGTGAGAATATTAAACATTTACACACAGAACAGAAAGGTTCTTAAAGAAAAAAAGCCCATGGCAACAAAAATCTCTGTTATGATGCTCATACCTGATTCTGGGAGACATTCATGCAAATGTAACCACAATTATCCAGCACTGCCAAATTATATTTAAATAGATTCATTTGTAATTAGTTTTATTTTTGCAATGTTAAATCATATAATATATTGCCTATACTTATCAATACTGTATTATATACTTAAAAATTTGCTACAGGTTGCTGTGATGTAAGTGGTTTTATCACAAAGAGAACAATGAAAAATGAGGGAAGGAAATTTTGGAGAGAATGAATGTTTGTGGCACAGATGGTGGTGGTGATGGTTTCCTGGGCTTATCCTTATCTCAAAACTTATTAAGTTGTATACATTAAGTAACAGCTTTTGTCAATTACACTTTGATAAAGTGGTTTAAAAACAAAAAGGCAAATTTAAGCACCATAAGACTGTACTTTTAAAGTGAGTCTTTCATAATCCATGTTTGACTTAATCATTACCATGTACATATATACCACTACTATAGTTAGGACCTATAATTTTGTGTTCTATGTGTATTAGTTCCATTGAATGTCACTGTCTTTTTGTTTTGAGCCAGAGTCTCACTCTGTTGCCCAGGCTGGAGCGCAGTAGCATGATCTTGGCTCACTGCAACCTCCATCTCCTGGGTTCAAGTGATTCTCCTGCCTCAGCCTCCTGAATAGCTAGGACTACAGGCATACACCATCATGCCCAACTAATTTTGTATTTTTAGTAGGGATGGGGTTTCACCACGTTGGCCAGGCTGTTGTCGAATTCCTGACCTCAAGTGATCCACCAATATCAGCTTCCCAAAGTGCTGGGATTACAGGTGTGACCCGCCATGCCCATCCGCATTTTCTAACTGACCCAAATCTATGTGTTTAAAACTGAATTAAAAACATAGAGTTTGGGCCGGGCGCGGTGGCTCATGCCTGTAATCCCAGCACTTTGGGAGGCTGAGGCAGGCAGATCACGAGGTCAGGAGATCAAGATCATCCTGGCTAACACAGTGAAACCCTGTCTCTACTAAAAATACAAAAAATTAGCCTGGTGTGGTGGTGGGTCCCTGTAGTCCCAGCTAATCGGGAGGCTGTGGCAGGAGAATGGCATGAACCAAGGAGGCAGAGCTTGCATTGAGCTGAGATTGCGCCACTGCACTCCAGCCTGGGTTACAGAGCGAGACCCTGTCTCAAAACAAAAAACAAAAAACACAGATTTTAATAAACCTATTAGATTATTCAGCAACAACACTTAATGCTTGTATTTTTGACAGTACTAATTTAATCTTATTACTTCTTACATAATTCTGCATTCAATATTCCCAGGTTATTTCAGAATTGTACATTTCAACCCACATATTTTAAGTAGAAAGTCTTTATTCAAAATTATAATTTTTTTCTCAAGCACGTGCTTGATGGCTTTATGTTTTGTCCCCCAGCTATACATCTCATCAATGGCTTTTTAGAGTTTTCATCCCTGTCTCACTTTTTTGACATAAAAGCTGCCTGAAGGTTTTTCCACTATCCTGTCAAGATAGTTTTCTCACTGGAAAAATGCTGGTATTGACTAAGGAATGAGTAATTTACTGAGGACTACCCTCCATTCATGTCATTGAGAGTTCTACACCATGTGAATTCTGATCTATTATAGAAGTGCTGCTGTATTAAGAAAAGGATTTCTCATGAGTTTTCATTGAATAACTTCTCCACTATGAATGTCTGGAATTGTTCAAGAGGCCTCATCCACCTAATAAAAAATATTTTCACATATTTCCTGTTTTTATCAGTTACCTTATAATGAATTTTCTTGCACACACCAAAATTGGTGCTTAGCTGAATGAGAGTGCACAGCAATTACAGACATATGGTTGCTTGCCTGTGGATTTTACTCATTTGTTTAGAGGATAAATTATCAGCAAAGGCATTTTCACACTGACGACAGGCACAGAATTTTCGTGATGTGATTTCTCCCATTTATTTAACAGAGCTGTGGATGAAGACTCCTCCACATTCCTTTGATCTATAGTTTCATTCTCTCACGTTGTATATGGTCAGCCTAGAGTCTGAAGTTTGTGCCATAAACATTAAATACATCTGGATTCTCTCTACCTTGAATTCATTTAGGTTGAGCAAAGTGGTAAATATAAATAAAGGCTTTTCCACACTGATTACAGACATAATATTCCTGTAGTATGTTTGTCCTTGGTGTATTTAGTGTTAACGCTACAGCTGATGATTCTTACATATTCATTGCTTTTTTAGTGTGAGTTCTCTCATGTTGTCTAAGGTTAAAAAATTTACTAAAGGCTTTCCCACATAGAGGACATACATATGGTTTCTCTCCAGTGTGAACTCTTCTATGAAGTCTAAAGTTGTAACTTCTATTGAAGGCTTTACCACATATATTGCATTCATATGGTTTCTCTCCAGTGTGAGTTCTCTCATGTCGTCTAAGGACAGAAGAGTGATTGAAGGCTTTTCCGCATAGATGGCATTCATATGGTTTTTCTCCAGTGTGAGTTCTCTCATGTCGTCTGAGGTCAGAAGATTCAGTGAAGGCTTTCCCACATACATGGCACTCATATGGTTTCTCTCCAGTGTGAATTCTCTCATGTCGTTTAAGCACAGAAGATTCAGTGAATGCTTTCCCACATAGATGACATCCATGTGGTTTCTCTCCATTGTGACTTCGCTCATGTTGTCTAAGGTGAGAACAATGAGAGAAGGCTTTTCCACATAGATGACATTCATATGGTTTCTCTCCATTGTGAGTTCTTTCATGTTGTCTAAGGTAAGAACATTTACTGAAAGCCTTCCCACATAGGAGACATCCATATGGTTTATCTCCTAAGTGAGTTCTCTCATGTTTTCTAAGGTCAGAGCAATGAGTGAAGGCTTTCCCACATAGATGGCATATCTGTGCTTTTTCTCTAGTGTGAATCATCTCATGTCGTCTAAGGTTAGAACTTTTACTGAAGGCTTTCCCACATAGATGACATCCATATGGCTTCTCTCCAGTGTGAGTTCTCTCATGTTTTCGAAGATCAGAGCAATGAGTAAAGGCTTTCCCACATAGATGACATCCGTGTGGTTTCTCTCCAGTGTGAATCATCTCATGTCGCCTAAGATTAGAATTTTTGCTAAAGGTTTTCCCACACACACGACATTCCAATGTTATCTCTCTAGTGTGAGTCACACTGTGTGGTCTAAGGGCAGAGTTTTGGATAAAGGCATAATCAAATAGATGACTTCCATATGATTTACATTTGGTGTGAATTTCCTTGTGTTGATTAAAGGATAACCAGTCACTGAA
Organism: Homo sapiens; assembly: GCF_000001405.40. NCBI lineage: Eukaryota > Metazoa > Chordata > Mammalia > Primates > Hominidae > Homo > Homo sapiens. The sequence continues at coordinate 245,288 of NC_000008.11, read as the reverse complement.
GATTTTCCCAAACTTTTTGCTTACAAAGTGTTTCGTTCTCATGTAGGTAATCACATTTTGAGTCAATGCTATATGTTGAGTGAAATCTTCTCCTAAGTCATTGCATAGAAAAGGATCCTCTTGAGTATGAGATCTCTGGTTTTGGGAATGAAATGAAAGACTATTAAAGGTTTATCCACACTCATTCATTACTTCATTCATTTCTCTACATATTAATTCTAGAATAATCATTCAGTGGTAGACTCCAGTTACAATTGTTCCTATATCAGTTATACAAACGTAGTATATTATCTAACTGCATGTAGAGAGTTTTCCTGTTGTAGCATCCCAACTGAAGAGCTATCTGACTAGTTATTAAGACTTTATCATGTTTGAAAGTTTCAGCACGTAGTCAAGTTTGTACAGTTGTCCTGTCATAAGGCCTCATATTATGGTTTTGATTTGAAGTTAACGTCTTCACTAAATCCAAACTATCTAAAACTGCTGGGAGGGCTTTAAGTACAGTCAGGTACCTGTACCAAATTCCAAAGTTGTTTAATGTCCAGGTTTCTATATGTAAGAACAGGGTTTGCATCCATAAAGCTTACCATTGTGCTGATGGTGGACGTGCCCTTCTGATAGATATGTTGAATGAATGGTATCTCTTGATGTTTAATGCCAACTTCTCTACCTGAAATAAATGAAAAAAAAAAGATGCTATATAGGCATTAGGGGAATAAAAATGTTAAATAGCTCCAAAGCCCATTTGAGTGTGTTTCAAATACACACAGACAGGGAAAGAATGTTAAATTAACCATACTTTAAGGAGAAGAGTATTATAGCACATTGACTACTGACATTTTCAGCATATAAAAAAATAAAGGCAAGTCGAGGAAGGAAAGAAAAATTTTCAAAGAAGAGGACCATTATAAAGGGCTAGTATGTAATAGTTTAACTCAAATAAGTACACAAATATCCCCTTTACAAAAGACAAAGACAATGACAGAGAGATACTTGAATAAAAATTGATACCTACAAAGTATAATGACAATATCTGAGAAATGTTTCCCTCAGGTTTTTGCCTACATTTCAGAAACACTGCAAATTTAAGAAACCTTCCGGCTGGGCGTGGTGGTTCATGACTGTAATCCCAGCACTCTGGGAGGCTGAGGTGGGTGGATTTCTTGAGGTCAGGAGTTCAAGACCAGCCTGGCCAACATGTTGAAACCCTGTCTCTATTAAAAATAGAAAAAAATTAGCTGGGCATGGTGGCGCACACCTGTAGTCCTAGCTACTCGGGAGGCTGAGGCAAGAGAATCACTTGAATCTGGGAAGCAGAGGTTGCAGTGAGCCGAGATCACGCCACTGCACTCCAGCCTGGGTGACAGAGTGAGATTCTGTCTAAAAAAACAAAAGAAATCTTCCTTTGGCAACTGTTGGGTCCTACTCACTCACTGGCCATGTTTCTCCTCCTCCTATTGAAGCACTGCTTCTTAGAGCTCACCTTGCAGTAAGCTTATTCTTTGTGTTGAAAGTTTCTCTACTTGCTCCAATTGGGAAAGCACAACTGATTTGCAGAGCTGTTTGCCTGTTTTGGGGAAAAAGATACATGGATTTTGAGTTCTGTGCTGACAAATGTACAAGGTTATCAGATACAGGGCAGCCTACTGGGAAGGATAAGTTAGCCACTGAAGGTCAGCCTGGGAAGAGTACCTTGAAGACAACATTGACAGTCCTTCACGAGCAAAATGAAAACTCTTGAACTTGTTCCCAGACATAAAAGACCTATAATTGCTGATGGCCATGCCTCACTTCAAATACTGATTTCAGAATCCTCAGTGTTTTCACTTAGTGAGAAATTACAAATTGTCATAGTATTTGACATTATATTAAAAAACTATGCAATAAATATTAGCTCCACCAGAACAATCTAGGTTCTGTGCAGAACAGTCCCTATGATAGAATAATTACTTTAAAGAAATCAATACATTTATTTATGCATACCAAAGCAGTGAATTACCATAACTTTTCTGAGTTTGGGAGATTAAAGAGCAAGAAGGATGTGAAACTGTGGTCAGAAAGATGACTTTCTAGAGAGAGGACAAATCAATATAAGTGAAAAGGAAAGAAATGGCTGTCAGGTAATTGTGAGAGTTATGAAAGGATCAAAGCAGAAGTTGAAGTGATAGATGAGAAAGCTGTTCTAAGCACGTGTAGAATGAAAGAATGAATCAGTGAAAAATGAGTGAGTGAATGAATCCGTATATACATACATAATAAATATAAAGAGACTCACCAATAGAGACCAGATGACTGATGTTCTCCAACATCACATCTTGAAACAGCTTTCTCTGGGATGTGTCCAGCAGGGCCCACTCTTCTTGAGTGAAGTCTACAATGATATCCTCGAAGGTCATGGAATCCTAAAACATTATGGACATTCTACTGCAAACAGGGCTATCTCTGCCAATGTTCAGTGGAGCAAGATCAAAGTGACTGTACTAAGGAAGTGTGGGTGGTATGAACAGAAAACTCAAAACAGTGTTTGGGGTTCCTGTCACATTGCTTTAAATCTGAACTGGGAATCTGGCTTTCAGATTTACTCATACATAAAACTTCACATAGAGAAATATCACATGTGGTGTGGCATAATATAACCTGAAGATTTCCCAATAGACTTCTAAAGTATAACTTACAGATACTAATTATGAAATCTGTACTTGGAAATTTAGAACTAAAATTCTCCTCTCCACCACCTTCAAGAAAATCTATAGACTCACTACAAGGGAGGCAGCATCCATAATTTGTCACGTTTTAATCAAGACTATAGTTAGATATTCCACTATAGGACCTCAGTGTCCTCAGAATAAAATAAAGACCTGTTATGAGTTCAAAAAGGTCCAATGAGATAGTATGTAAAGTGGTTCCTATCTATCACTTTTTAGATACAAGCCACAAATACATTATTCATGAAATGACTGAGAACACTCAGTTGTGTGAACAACTTTCATATAGAACTTGGTATCAGCAGATGCAGCCTCTTATGTCTACACAACTCAGGTGTTCACTGTTAATGGATAAGGATGAATGGCTCAGCAGCACAAGCCAGGGACTCTAAGACTTCAGTACTGAAAGATGGTCTCATCCTGCCACTTTCCATGGTCTGAGGATTTCCTTTCTCAATTTTATGTGGGATCTTCAAACACCAGGTGATATAGTTTGGCTCTGTGTCCCCACCCAAATCTCATCTTGAATTGTAATCCCCACATGTTGGGGGAGGGGTCCGGTGGGAGGTGATTGAATCATGGGGGTGAACTTCCCCCTTGCTGTTCTCATGCTAGTAATATCTCAGAAGATCTGATGATTTAACAGTGTGTGGCATTTCCTGATTTGGTCTCTCTCCTGCTGCCTTATGAAGAAGGTGCTTGCTTCCCCTTCCACCATGATTGTAAGTTTCTGGAGGCCTCCCAGTCATGCTTCCTGTTAAGCCTGCAGAACTGTCAGTCAGTTAAACTTCTTTTCTTCATAAATTACCCACTATCAGGTAGTTTTTTATAGCGGTGTGAAAATGGACTAATGCACTAGGTACTATTCTATTTTGTTTCTTCATGTTGTCTCTAGATTTAGGGGAAAAAAAATCCTTTGATTGTCCTGGTCTCTCCACTTCAAAAATTTCCTCAGAGTTTTAAATTTACTCTGTTTCCTATACTCCATCACTTAATGCACAACCAAAATTAAAGAAACAACACTCCAGTTGCTTCCAGTTATCAAATTTGATCAGAGGTTAATTTGGGGACAAGGGTAATAAGAATTTTAATTTTGCTTTTTAAGTTTTTCAAAAGTTCACATTTATTCTCTCAAGACATTAAGATTTTGAGATAGGAAAAATAAATGAATAATTCCTCATTGTCTCCTCTGTCCTAACCCTATCTGCTTTCCCTTCAAGTTAAACAGCCCTCCCCTAACACCTGAAACACTAGACTAACTGAGCTTGCCTTTGTATGGGCTATAACCTGCTCTCACTTATTTTCACCACCTACCCACATATACTCTCAAGCCCACTCCTGCCAATAACATAGGTAATGAGTGAATTTATTTCCCCAACAAGGCCATGAGAGGCTCGTAATGAATGATTTCCCTGAGACTGGATGAGAGAAACAAAAACCTCTCACATCTTAATACACAGCCTTAGTAGAGGCTGGAATGCCTTAGTGTACTGTTGAAAGGACATTACTTCTTGATGACTCTTTGAGCCAATGTAAACATTCCGAAGCCCTGGGGAATCTTAATTGGAGCTTGGATCCTTGAGTGCACTTAGAACATCCATGTTAATAGGATGAATCTGCCCTTAGGCTGGTAACAGGGGTACAAATTTCAGTAGAAAGAAGAATTTCCCACTCACCGGTGATGGCATTGTACTAGCTCAGCCACCAAATGTATTCCTCTGGGTTTTCACTCACACCATCCAAGCACTAAGAAGACAAATCTGAGCAAAAACAAAAACAAAAACAAAAAAACCATGACACTCCAGTTTTGCTTCTAACATCTGCCCCAAAGCTATTAGCCCCAGTCCAACCAACAAGGACATGCAGTGGGTAGGGGGTGGGTTGGGTTGGTGGCTCTCCTCTCCCAGGGTCAGAAGAAATGACTATTGCTGCTAATAAAGATATAAATATTTTTATTTTAGACCTAGAAATGTGAAAATCATGGAGTTTCATATGCCACCTAGCGCATGGAATTCTGAAATGTTTAATTCCTTCTATGATTCCAAATCCTAAGAATCCCTGAATCATGGAGATGTGGCTCCACCTACAGATAAATCCTGGAATTTCTCAGATTTAATTATTCTCGGTTTGTGTGCTTGCAGGCTTTCTCCACATGCATCTCAGCCCTCAGGAGCCTCCCTCCATTCCTTCTCCCTTCTGCTGGTCCTCTGGATACACTTGTACTGAATGATTCTGTCTCTTCCATGTGAGGCTTCTAGAAATACCAGTCCCTCAAGTCTGACCTGTAGATAAATGTAGCATGAATTTATCTACCAAGCAGCTTCAAATTTCATTTTATCATGGTGGATTCCTTAAAAGACACACTTTACAAGTGACATACCTTACAAGAAATGCTAAAGGGAGTTCCTCAAGTTGAAATGAAAGGACACTAAGAACATGAAAACTTGAACATGTATGTGACATTGTTAGTTGTAAGAAATAGATAGTTTGGTTTTCATCCCCAGTTCCTGGCACAGAGCCACCCAAAACCCTTGTAATTTCCTAAGCAACAGAGTTGCTAGGAGAAGCTTTTGTTCTTTTTGGTCTTTGACCCTGGTTCCCAGTACAGAGCTCGTAATGCCTTGGAACTTCATAGGTGATAAGAGTGTCTTCTGTTCTAATGAGACAATTATTACTAGGCTCTAGGATGGGGGGTGATCACCTGAAAGACCATGACTTGATCAGAAGCTTGGAACGTACAGTCCCACCCCCTATCCTTTGGGAAAGGGACAGAGGCTGGAGATCGAGTTAATAACAATTATGCCTACTTGATGAACACCACATAAAAATCCCTGAATGATGGGATTCCTAGAGCTTCTGGGTGGGTGAAGAACACATCCATATGCTGAAACAATGGTACCCCCCAACTGCTTGGAGACAGACCTCCTAAACCTAAGATGCTTCCAAAACTTGCTGTATGTAACTCTTTAGCTGGCTGTTCATATGTAATATTTAAAATGTCCTTTGTAATAAATCAGCTAAGTAAACTGTTTTCCTGGGTTCTGTGAGCTGCTAAACCCTAGTGAATCTAACATAAAAAGGAGTTCTTGCCGGGCATGGTGGCTCACGCCTGTAATCCCAGCACTTTGGGAGGCCAAGGCAGGAGGATCACCTGAGGTCAGAAGTTCAAAACCAGCCTGGCCAACTTGGTGAAACCCCAAAACCCCGTTTCTACTAAAAATACAAAAATTAGCTGGGCATGGTGGCAGGCACCTGTAATCTCAGCTATTCGGGAGGCTGAGGTATGAGAATCGCTTGAACCTGGGAGGTGGAGGTTGCAGTGAGCGGAGATCGAACCACTGCACTCCAGCCTGGGTGACAGAGTAAGACTCTGCATTGGCAGTGGGGGCGGGGAGGAGTTCTTAGGACCCTCCAATTTTTAGCAAAGACAGACAGTTTCTTCACTTTTAAAAAATTCTTTTTCTACTTGCTCTTCTGATTGAATAATTTCAAATAACCTGTCTTTGAGTTCACTGGTTCTTTCTTCTGCTTGATCAAGTCAGCTCTTGAAGCCTTGTATTGATCCAGTTCAGTTACTGTATTCTTCAGCCCCAGAATCTATATTTGATTCTTTTATTATGGTTTTTCTTTGTTGATATTCTCATGTTGTTCATGTATCCTTTTCCAGATTTTACTTGTTATCAGTGTTGTCTCATAGCTCATTGACCTCCTTTAAGGCAATTACCTGTAATTCTTATCAGGAAAATCAGAAACCTCCATTTCTTTTTCTTTTTTTTAAAGCGGAGTTTCACTCGCGTTGCCCAGGCTGTAGTGCAACGGCACGATACCAGCTCACTGCAACCTCCACCTCCTGGATTCAAGTGATTCTCCTGCCTCAGCCTCCTGAGTAGCTGGGATTATAGGTGCCCGTCACCACGACCAGCTAATTTTTTTTTTTTTTTTTTTTTTTTTTTTTGTATTTCACCATGTTGGCAAAGCTGATTTTGAACTCCTGGCCTCAAATGATCTGCCTACCTCGGCCTCTCAAAGTGCTGTGATTACAAGTGTGAGCCACCGCACCCAGCCAGAAACCTGTATTTCTTTATGGTCAATTATTGGAGATTTATTTTGTTCATTCAGTAGGGTCACATCTTGATTTTTCAAGGTTGTGCAATATCTCCCAGTCTCACAGAGCTGTGCCAGTTGCTATACGATGCCCTGTATTTTTCCTTAGAGCTGTGCTCTGATAGCCTGGGACACGAAATGCATATTTCATTACTCTCCTTTCCTCCACTAGTCTCACGTATTCTCCTTGGGGAGAAGTCTAAGGGGTCTGTGCTTTCTACCAGTCTCACAGAACCATGGGGGCCACCATAAACCTCCACACAAGCCTCCTAAAAATTCTCTACCTTGGCTCAAGAGTATGGGAGTCACGCTGCAGACAATGGAGGTATAAGAAAGACATCCAAGGCCCCTGTGAGCTTCTCAATCTCCACAGGCATCACTAAAGGTGGGTGCTAGACTGAAAGGCATGTCCATCCTCATGGGCAATCTCAGGATTCTCTAAGTCCTCCAAGGAGGCCAGCAATGGCTTATGTGGGCCTGGGTCACCCCTGCCAGCAGGGACTAGTACTAAGGATGAGATCCACCAATGGCCACAGCTGAGTTATGCCAAATGAGATGTCCAGACCTCATGGTGCCTAGGAAGACAGATGGCAGAAGCTCAGCCAGGCCATGGAGATTAAAACAGTGCTAGGGGCTTAATGTATGTTTTTAATGGGTCTGCTACATGTCAAGTTTGGATCTGGAGTCCAGCCTATAATCCTAGCAAAAATTAAACACCAAATATGATATTCAATAAAGTGTATGTGGCTAAAAACATACGTTGGAAATACACATAACTAGAAACATCCAAATTCAAAGAGAAACTGCTAATTCCACAAACATGATAGAGTAATTTAATAATGAGATCACACATACATAAATAGTAAATATGAACTGTATATTTATCTGAGTTCTAAAGACTTTTTTTTCCGTCTCAGTACACTAGTGGGTATACGTCACCAGTAAAATCAAAGGGGTATTCCAATTACATTCATGATATTAATAAGTATGATAAATGTAAGTAGCCAGAACCATGGAATTGGGGCTACAGCTGTGATCTTCAAGAAACGTAAAACTTTAAAAACACTCATAAACCAAGAAAAAGATAAAACAGGAGTTACTTGACTTTCCAAATTGTTACAAATTCAGTACATATTAATAAGACTTAAAAAGATAAAACAATTTAATAAATAATAAAATAATGTAATGAATGAACAGATTTGACAGAAATCAATAATTAAAAAGTTTTGAGAGCAAAATCATGAAACTGAAAAGACCCACGGTGGAAAGAAAAAACACAGGTTAATAAAAGAGACTGTATTTATTTAAAAGTAGTAATTTAAAATCTAAGAAATGGGAATAATTATATTCCAACATGAATATGTATATTACTTTCCACAAAAAGAGTAAAAACTTTCCCTCATTAATCAGCACAAAAATCTGATTAGCCAATTTTAATGTTTAAGTTATATATCAGAGTTTAACTGTAAAAGTGATTTGTGAGAGTTCTTACATGTGAAATCACTTCTAGTTCCTTTGTAACCTAAGTTATTTTGAAGGAGAAAAATAAGCCTGTCCTCATTAGTTTATTATGCTAATCAAAATGAACATGAATGTAACAATAACTACAAATTTAACCAACAATTTTCCTTACTTACATTTGCAAAAATCATCAATACAATTTTAGCCATTTGGCTATTTATTTTGGCCACCTGGCCATCACTGGTATGGTTAAATAATGACAGAGCATGGTAAAGTGGAGTTTATTGCAATAATAAAAGGATAATTCCATACTAGAAAACCTATCATTTTCACAAAGTAATTTTAAAGATTAAAAAAATCACATTAATAGACCTTTGAAAAAACATTTTCATATAATTTAAATCTTTAAAAATAATATAAAATCTTTAAAAATCATACCAAATTGTGGGGACTAATTCTTCTTAATCAATAAAATCTCAACAATATATTCAGCAGTTAACAAAAGAACCATTTCCACTAAAGGTAAGGCTGGAAAAAGGAGGCTGGGTGAGGCTGATGCCATTCACCACTGCACATGATGCCTGAGGTGGGACCAAAACAAGAGGGAAAAGGAGAGGGACTACAAAAATGGAGTCAAAGAGCTGCAACTGTAGTTATTCTCAGATGACGTGACTGTAAACTTGAAAAAGTGGAATCAATTCTAATTATCAATACTAATAAGAATATTTAAAAAGTGGGCAAAACTATTATGAATATTCTGAAATCAATATTTCCTGTTTAGCAACATTAGTCCTTAAAAAAAGCAAACACACAAAATCAGTGTCTATTTACAACAGGCAAATATTATGACTACGATTTGAAATAAATTTGTAGACCCATGTAAATAAATTTTAAAACTTAATGAGGATATAAAAATGACATGAATAAAGCCTGAAAATCCTATTATTAGAATGGAGGACATAGTGACATAAAACCTCAGTGACTGTAGACTCAGGGCAACCTAGACTTAAAAGTCCCATGTGGTCTTTTACATGTAAAAAATGAGAATTAGTCTAAAAGTCAATTTTGTCTAAATTTTGATTTTTGGTGAGTATACAGTCAAAATAGTTGTGAAAAGAAAAAAATAAAGTTGTCAAATTTCATGTAACCTATGTTATTTGGAAATTTAAAATAAGTCATATAAATATTTATAACAATATTAAACAATTTCATAAGTGGACTGAATAAAACATAATATTTTATCATATACAATAGCTCCTGCCTTCCTGAGGAAAACATAAAATCAAAGGGCGTGAAGGAAGGATTTTGGTTTCACTGCAGAAACATAATAAGACACCGAAGTGTGTGTTTGTGTGTGCGTACATATAATTAAACTACAGAATATAAAATAGCATCTAATATACATCAAAAATGAGTTTCATAGAAAAATTCATTTTACACATATGTCTATAAAATAATAAAATTTATTCAGCCTCACAATTACTTTGTGAACTGGAAATAACAATGAGTTGTCATTTTATCCAAATCTAAAAAAAAAAAACATACATACAGTATCAAGTTCTGGTTAAAGTAGTAGATGAACTTTATGTGGTACATAAGAGTATCTATACAGTTTGTGGGCTGCATCTTGCTAGAATATATTACATTATAAAATGCACCATTTATTTACTCTGCGATCAAACCCCCAACTTGCCCCAAGTGGAGGAACCCTCAGACATTTGCAGAGCAGTCAGTGTGCTAGTAAGCAGCATTCTTTACAAATCTATGAACATCAAGGTCTCCTTGGAACAGATGTTCTGTGAACAATTTATAAAACTCCCTCCTGTTAGACACTTAGGTTGATTCCATTTTTAAATCAATTACTGAATAAAACACACTCCATCGTGTGGATGAAATGCTACCTTAATTTGTCAAAGCTATCATTTTCTAAACTTTTCTTTTTAATTCAAATCATTAATATTTTGTGGCCAGATCAATACTGATTCATTGTTTTAAGCTTCAAATGCATTATACAGTTGGGCAGAACACATTTCCTCTCATCAATCTTCTTTTCCAGGATTTGTCAGATATTCCTGACATTAATTCACTACTAATATGCACAGTTTCTCTAATCATGGTCAACAAAGATCTGACAGTGCATTGTCCCTAAACGACCCATACTTGCCTCACTGACACCATGTGGCCCACTTCCCATCTATAATCTATGTCTGGGTGTGAAGCCCTTCCCATATGATCCCCCGAATGGAACTTCACAAGTTCGAATTCACTGGGTCACAGTGTGATAGCGTGAAGATGGGAGGACGTTAAGGGAAGGCTATGGGTGAGTTGGGAAATGTGTTAGGCAGGGTCAGAGATTACCACATCCTAAAAACAACACTTAAGGCGGGAGATGACAAAACAATCAATGAATAACATGACTTTTTCCAGTGAAAGTGCCATATCTAATCCTTTTCCATTTTTGTTCTCTGAGCTTCTTTCTTAGGGAAGATCCTTCTTGAGAAGCCCCTGCTGAGTATTAGGAAAATGCATTTCAGGACCTCTCATCAACACACCCTCTTTCTTTACCACAACCACATATATGGGGGCATAACTCAACATGTGTAAAAGACAATCTTCTGCTTTTCACTGAACCTCCAGGAATTCAGGACAATAAACCTCTACATGCAGACCAACAGGTGAGTTTTTCTGCCCCTTCTTTCATAACACCGTTCTTCCCTAGTGAAGTCCACACACATCCTTACATGGCAGCTGTGGGTATATCAACTGGTCTGACCCCTTTTAGTCACAGAGCCTGAAGTCTGCTAGTACCTGCTGAGCACAGTGTCATGGGTGAGAATGGGCAAGGCTTTTTCTTTCTCTGGTTCCTGAACTTCCCAGGCTCTCTCACTTCTGGATCCTGAATACCCAAATCCCAAGCTTCCTTCCCAGAACCAACACCTCCTCCTCATTAGAAAGATACCTTTGTTGTGTGCTTACTTTATAAAGTCTTGCTCTTTCCCTGTCCACTGCCTTGTGTCACTATGTGTGTGTCTTGGGGCCGGTGGAAAGGTGAACAGAAGCCAGTAGAGAGTAACAAGCACCAGCTTCACAGGAATGGCATGACCTTAATACGATAGTGGCAGTTTTCCCTTAACATCCCTGCCCCCTAAAGATTTCAGATCATATGTCACACTCTTAAGTAACAGCGATTTGTCTTTCACGGTTTTAATCATATTGATTAAAAGCATTTGTCTTCTCCAGAACATCACATTAAGTCATCAAAAAATATAAACCTTAAAAAGATGTAATTATTGGAACTGAAAAACATAAAAGGTGAGCTTTGGAAATATCTTTGAGCAGTCTATTCATTATGAACACATGTAATCTGTTGGAACAAAGTTCTAGGACAATCCAGGTCATCCTTCAATATTTGCAGAAAACAGCACAAAGAAAACTTGATACTTAAACTTAGTTGGAAACTTTATGCCACAGCCATTAAATACAGAGATCATATAAAGGAATAGAGGAAGCTGTTGAATACTAAACTAACTCAAATCATCATTATCCTTACGAAGTGCACACTGAATTAATGTAAAAAGCATTTAGTAAACAAAAAGTATTTTCAATATACAATTAAGACTGAAAAGTATTGAGGCCTCATAAGCTGAACCTGACACAATAAATTTAAAAGGGAAACTAATTTGGAAATCAGAAAACCATCTAAAGAATTTGGGAATTAGGCTTCTGCTGCCCTCTCTGCTACTGACGGTCAAGGCCTCCTCATTGTATTCTGTCCTCCATATCTCTGCTGATTCCCATTTTGTCTATTTCCATTTACCCCACTACTACTTGCTCAGGTCACTCTCCTTCATTGTCGGTGTTTGTTCAAATTCCTCAGACCCATCCACTTCCCATCTAAACTTCCCTCCCCTTTTCTCGCTCGTTGGCTCTACCTCCCTCCTCTGTTTTCTCCTCACTCTCCTGCCCCACCTCGACATCCACAGCGAGGCAATGAAGAAGCCCCTGCCAAGGAAGAGCCCGCTTCTCAGTGGGACACCGGGAAGGTAAACACCCAACAGTCACCGCTAGTGGGAGGCGATTGTGCAGAAGCACGAGGGTTGTTACAGGATCGGGCAGGTCCCCTACCCCAGTCTCGGACTCAGGGTCCTGTCTGAGGCGGCCACCCCGAAGCGTGGGGTTTGCGGAGACGTAGGGCCTGGCGGAGGGAAGGATGGGGAAGCATCTCAGGGAGGACTGGCGTCTGCCGAATCCCAGGGCTGCCCTGAGGGGCCAAGAGGGGCGAGGGTGGGGACGATGGAAGACAAGCCACATGCCGAATCGGGACCTGAGGCCGCGCGCGATAGGATGGGCGGACGGTGAAGAGAACTAGGGTGGAAGGGCCGGACAGGGGCGACCTCAGTGACGGAACCGGACACAGACGCAGATCTGGCAGCTGGGCGACAGGCTTCGGAGCATTTCCGGGCGTCGCGGGACTCCCCGCCGACAGGAGGGCGGTTGCCGAGCCTGTGACATCCGCGGAGACCAGCAGACCCCGGGTGTGGAGGACGCCGCAGGAAGGGAACTGCGTGGCTGGGTTTGGCCACAAAAAGCGGAGGGCACTCACCCGAGCGGACCTCGGCTCCGGAGAATCCGTTTCCGGGTCAACAAAAAACGTCGCGCGAGGGGCGGGGCCCGTACGTGCAGGGAGGGGAGGCAGAGAAAAAGGCGGGGCCGGGCCGGGGCGGGGTCTCGGGCAGGGGCGGGGAGCTTACCGACCTCCCGCCCCCGCTGCGCGCGTTTCTGGCCCTGCCAGTGTCTCCGCCGGTTGAAAGCGCGTGTCTGCGTCGGGTTCTGTTGGAGTGCGTTCGGTGTGCCGTGGGTCCGCGCTGCTTCCACCCAACTTCCTGTTAGGTAAGAGGCGCGTGAGGCTCCTGTGCCGGGGGCGGTGCTGCTCCCGAGTCGGCGCGCGGCGGGGACGCGAGTCCGTAGGTGCTGGCGGGAGCGAGAGTCGGGTGGGGACCCTCGCGAGCCCGCACTCCGCCTCTGGGTAGCAGCCTCTTCGGCCCCACACGGCGTGACGCGCGCTCGGGCTCCGCGTTCGCGTCGAGGCAGAGGCGTAGTAGGGGTCGGGCCCAGGGCTGGAGGGGCCGGGACCGGGCGGGGTGCCGCCCTGGACACCGCGCCGGCAGCTGTTCCGCGCGGGTTCATGTCATTCCTATTTTCAACCTGTCCTGCTCCGCACCTGAGATGATTTATAAATTCGGTACCTTTGGGACAGGCGTGGATGACATCCCATAATTTACTTCGTTATTAATTTCTAAATGTAATACATACCACTATCTAAAAGTATTTTTTAATTTGAAATATATTTGTATACGTATACATGTATATTTATTTATTTCTGAATTTTATCTCGTACATATAATGAGGCTCGTAAAGTGGATACTGTTCAGGACATAGGTGGATTTTGCTTTTAAGTAGTAAAGACTTAATTGGTGACTTACTGGGGCTATTTGATAAGGATTTTTTTTTAATGAACATTAAAAACAGTGAAATTGTATTTCCGGATTTCGTTAGCTTCATTTATATCTTAATTGGTGAAAACTGTAAGTTAATAACTCATTTTTATTTCCTTTGGAGATTCTTAAGTTTGTGCTACCAATGATTATTTCCAAAAAAGGCACACTTCTGGTTTTCCCAGAACTAATGCTAGCTTCTCAATCTTTTGAGTTTACTTGATATTAATGTTTGACCTCAAATCATGTCACATTTTTGAAGAAAACTTTCTCTTAGCCAATGGAACATAAACCACCCTGGAGTTCATATAGAGGAGGGGTTCAAATGCCTCTGATAGTGTCGTGTTAAAACTCATGGCCAAACGCAAGGTCACATAGCTTTCTTTCTATGTTTCCCTCTAGAATTTGTATAGTTTTGTCATTATAAAATGGGTCTTGTCCTAGACCCCAAGAACAGGTTTTTGGATTTCACATGGGAAAGACCTTTTGGCAAGTCACAGAGTATAGTGAAGTTAAGATAGTTTATTAGTGACTACTCAGCTACATAGCAGGGCGTCCTCAGAAAGCAAGAGGAGAAATGCACCTGTTGTAAACATATAATTTTTTTTTGAGACAGAGTTTCTCTCCTGTCACAATGGCATGGTCTCGCCTCACTGCGACCTCTGCTTCCTGGGTTCAAGGATTCTCCTGCCTCAGTCTCCCAAGTAGCTGGGATTACAGGTGCGTGCCAATATACCCGGCTAATTTTTTGTGTTTTTGGTAGAGACTGGGCTTCACCATGTTGGTCAGGCTGGTCTGGAACTCCTGGCCTCAAGTGATCTGCCTGCCTCGGCTTCCCAAAGTGCTGGGATAACAGGCATGAGCCACCCGGCGCCCGGGCTTAATGTTTGTTTATATAGGTTATTAAGAATCAGTTTGTGACAGGCTATTAGTATTGTTACTTCTCTTTGTTACTGTCGATTTTAACAACAATTTATGTGTGTACTGTTACCTTTAAAGTAAAACTTATTTTTAAACTAAGAATGCTTTTTGTTCTTAAAGTTCTGGGACATTTAAATAACTTTCATGTCTTTATTAACTTGTTCCCACAATCATAAATATTTTATAACGAAAAGTGCTCAACCCCCGAAATATATAATCCAACAAATTTAACGTGTGTGTGTGTGTGACAGAGAGAGAGAGACAGGGTCTCACTCTGTCGCCCAGGCTGGAGTGCAGTGGTGCGATTATGGCTGGCTCATTGCAGCCTCGAACTCCTGGGCTCAAGCAATCCTCCCGCTTCAGCCTCCTGGGTAGCTGGGACTACAGGTATGTGCAAGCATGCCATCTAATATATATATATATTTTTTGTAGACATAAGGGTCTTGCTATTTGCCCAAGCTGGTCTTCAACTCCTGATCTCAAGTGATCCACCCGCCTTGGCCTTCCAAAGTGCTGGGATTACAGATGTGACCACTGCACCCTGCCCAGATTTAACTTTTTAAAAGCCTTTATTTGAAATAAAGTCACTGTGGTTAAGAGGCCTCTGACGGTTTTGCATTTTAAGTCTGAGGACTATGTTGAGTGACTTTTTGCATAAGTTGTAAAATGTGCATTCATGTTGATTTCATTTCCTATGGTTTCCAATTAATTGTCCCTTCTGCATTTTTAGAAACTCACGGGCTAATGGGCTCTGTGTCAGTTTGCATTTCTAGAATGATGGCGCCGAACACTCCATGCTGTCTTTTAGTTGGTGCAGCAGGAGGGGTAGCAGAGGGCGCTCAGCTTCCGACAGTGCCTTGAGCTCTAGGGCGCTGCAGTGCCCCCGGCCGCCAGCAGAGCACGCGCGAGCCCGGCTTTTCTGAGCCTTGAGGCGGCCGCATCCCGCACGCTTCCTCCGCGCCTGCACCCTGCAAGGGCGGGAGCCGCGTTCTCCTCAGCACATACCAGGAAACGCCCCTCGCTTTGGGACACCTTGAGCCGGCGGCGTCCATGGTTGAGTAAAATCCTTCCTGTTTTCAGCCCTGACTGCTGAGGGGTAGAGACCCTTCATGTGGAAAATTAGAAACCAAAATCCCCTGTGAATCCAGCGCACTCGAGGTTCATTCTCCACACCCAAGGCGAGGCGGCCACAGGGCCAAGCTGCGGTCTTGGAACAGAAATGTAGTGTCAGGAAAGCAACTAGAACACCCGCCACACTGACAATAACCTCTGTAGTGCTAATAACACTGCATCTGTGATGCTAGTGTTAGCACCCGTCGTATGCAGAGAGCACACCCGTCGGGGTAGCTGCCTTCCACATCCAACCCCGGGAACGTGGATGTGTCCCTCAGTGCGCACATAACGCTTGGAACGCGGAGATGACATCGTCACCTAACGCTACAGCCGTCACACTCATATAACCCCCGGAACACGCATGTGTCCCTCAGAGCACACACGTAACCCCTGGAACGCCCGTGACACAGTCAGACTCACGCCACACCCGTCACACTCATATAACCCCCGGAACACGCATGTATCTCTCAGAGCGTACATACCGCCCGGGATGCAGACATGGCCTTTGCAGCCCACACGAGAGGGTCTGCAGCTCTGAGGATGGAACCTTCCGGCTCTCGCTGGGGCGCTGAGTTGACAGCCTCTGCTGGGCTGGGTTTGGGCTGCATTTGGCCTCTGTCATGAAACTTCATGGTGTTGTCTCTGGCTTACTGACGTGGTATTGCCACGGTTGTTTTAAAAAGTAGTTTACTTCCCAATAATGTCATACTTCTGGGAAACTTGCAACAGCACTTAGTATGCCTTCTCCTTGATCTCCAGTTCCCCAGCCGTTATTGCTGTGCCAGATTTGCAGCTTCACAAAAAATACCCCCGTGTGTTTCACCAAAACCAGGAATACTCCTCCAGGTGATCCCCAAGTAACCCCCAATTTAGGAAATACATGGTTTCTATGTGAAAGTCCACTCCACAGACCTATTTCACTTCACTCCCTGCCCTAGGTGGGAGAAAAATGTCTATTTCCATGCGGGCCCAATTTTCCTTCTCGGGAACTGTTCCTGAGACTCAGTGTTCTGTTTTTTGTTTTTTTTGAGGGAGTCTCCCTCTGTCACCCAGGCTGGAGTGCAATGGCGCCATCTCTGCTCATTGCAACGTCTGCCTCCCATGTTCAAGATATTCTTTTGCGTCAGCTTCCCGATAAGCTGTAATTACAGGCACCTACCACCACACCCGGCTAATTTTCTGTATTTTTAGTAGAGATGGGGTTTCACCATGTTGGCCAGGCTAGTCTTGAACTCCTGACCTCAGGTGATCCATTCGCCTCAGCATCCCAGTGTGCTGGGATTACAGGCGTGAACCACTGCATCCGGCCGACTCTCAGTTTTCACAGCCTTAACAGATGTAAAGAGCAGAGATGACTCCAAGCTGGGTCTGCCCAGCGTTTCCTCCTAAACGTGTGCAGATCCTGTGTTCCTGGCAGGAGCATCCTGGCGTGGTGCCGCGCTCTCCTCACTGCAGCCCACTTGGAGGAGCACCCGTCCATCCCACCACCACTGGCGATCTCACTTGGAAATGGCAAATATTCATTTACAATCACAAATTTCATCCTGTCAAGCTTCGGATTTCACTTTGCCAGTGGTTTTCACTGGCCTTAGAACCGTGGACTCCAGACACCGAGTTCTCCTGCCTGCTGTCCTCTCCCATCCAGTCTGCTACAGCTGCCTGCAGTCCCACTCATGGGGACATGGACTCCCAGGTGTCTTGGGGATTTTATGTGGGTTCCCTCAACCCATTCACCCAGTGCTGACCGTAGTTTTTTAAGGCTTTTTCTAGATAAGTCCTTCAAGTCACAGCAATTACGATATCTAAAAGTAGAAAAGTTAATGTTGATTTTCTAAAGACAAAAAAATAATTCATTATTAGATTGTCTGTGAGACGACCGTCAATTTTTTTTTTTTTTTTTTTTTGAGGATAGAATCTCCCTATGTTACCCAGGCTGGAGTGCAGTGGCATGATCTTGGCTCACCAGAGTCTCCACCTCTCGGGTTCCAGCGATTCTCCTGTCTCAGTCTCCTGAGTAGCTGGGACTACAGGCACCTGCCACCATGGCTGGCTATTTTTTGCAATTTTAGTGGAGATCAGGTTTCACCATGTTTGCCAGGCTGGTCTTGATCTCCTGACCTCCAGTGATCTGCCTGCCTTGGCCTCCCAAAGTGCTGGGATTACAGGCCTGAGCCACCGTGCCCAGCTGCCCTCAATTTATAAATCAAGGAAATACTAGTTCTCTGGAACCAAAGTTCATGTTTGAAATAATTAGGAAAGAAAAATAAAATCTCATTGCTGAAAGAAAGACAAATAGCACAATTGATTATTGAAATTGCAGAAGAGGGCTGGGTGCAGTGGCTCACTCCTGTAATCCCAGCACTTCGGGAGGCTGAGGCAGGCAGATCACCTGATGTCAGGAGTTCGAGACCAGCCTGGATAAGATGGTGAAATCCCATCTCTACTGAAAATACAAAAATTAGCCTGGTGTGGTGGCATGCACCTGTAGTCCCAGCTGCTCAGGAGGCTGAGGCAGGAGAATCGCTTGAACCCAGGAGGTGAAGGCTGCAATGAGCCGAGATTGTGCTACTGCACTCCAGCCTGTGTGACAGTGAGACTCCGTCTATAAAAAAAAAAAAAGGAATTTCAGAAGAATTTACTGGACAGACTGTTACGTTGCTGTGTTCTGTAGCCCTGTGTTAACAGTTACAAGGTATTTTAGGTTTAAACACTTATATTTTAGTCATTCGCTATAGTTAACTATCAAAAAGTCCTGTCCACATCATGACAACCTATATAAAATTTGGAAACCTCTTCATCTATACAATGGAAAATTGGTAAAGTAAGTGTAGATGTTTAAGCTGATGAATTATTAATATTTAGGTACTGAAATGAGTGAGGGAATGTGATTATGTCATAGTTCTGGCATGGGACTTGGCGGGGCTCCCTCTGTTGCCTCTTGGTGGACGGCAAATTCGTGACCTGTGGAGACTGAAGGATAAACTGTCACCTTCATCGGAAACCCCAGTCCAGAAGGAAAGTCCTCATTTCAGGATATGCCACTTCGTCCCATGCATTTCCTTTTTCTTGTTCTGTTTTTTGGAGACAAGTCTTGCTCTTTTGCCCAGGCTGGAGTGAAGTGGCCTGATATCGGCTCACTGCAACCTCCATCGCCCAGGTTCAGGCAATCTTCCTTCCTCAGCCTCCTGAGTAGCTGGGATTACAGGTCTGTACCACCACACTGGCTAATTTTTTTTTTTCCTTTTAGGCGGAGTTTCGCTTTTGTTGTTAAGGCTAGAGTATTATGGTGCGATCTCGGCTGACCGCAACCTCTGCTTCCCAGGTTCAAGCGATTCTCCTGCCTAGGCCTCCTGAGTAGCTGAGATTACAGACATGCACCACCACGCCCAGCCAATTTTGTATTTTTAGTAGAGATGGGGTTTGTCCATGTTGGTCAGGCTAGTCTCGAACTCCCAACCTCAGGTGATCCGCCTGCCTCAGCCACCCACAGTGCTGGGATTACAGGTGTGAGCCATCTTACCTGGCCCTTTTTATTTTTATTTTTATTTTTGAGACAGGGTGTTGCACTGTTGCCCAGGCTGGAGTGTAATAGTGCGATCTCAGCTTACTGCAACCTCCACAATATGGGGTCAAGCAGTCCTTCTTCCTCAGCCTCCCAAGTAGCTGGGACTGCAGCTGTGTGCCACCATGTCTGCCACCATGTGCCACCATGTCTGGCTCATTTTTGTATTAGTAGACATGGGGTTTGGCTGTGTCGTACTGGCTGGTCTTGAACTCCTGGGCTCAAGTGATCTGCCTGCTTCAGCCTCCTAAAGTGCTGGGATTACAGGCGTGAGCCACCTTGCCCAGCCTATTTTTAACTTTTTAAGGAAATACCAAACTATGTTACAAATAAGCTGCACCATTTTATCTTCCACATACAGTATTTAAGGGTTGTGATTTCTCTCTGAGCTTGCCAACACTTGTTATTTTACATTTGTTGGATTATAGCCTTTCTAGTGTGTGTGAAGGAGTATCTGGTTGTGGTTTCAGTTTTGATGGCCGTAATGATAACGATGTTGATCATCTTTTCATGTGCTTGTTTTCCATTTGCATGTCTTTTTGGCGAAGTGTGTGTTCAGCTCTTTCTCCATTTGTAATTTGGTTGTTGTTGTTGAGTTATACAAATTTTTTATATATTGTAGTTAACAGACTGTTGTTGGATATATAATGCACAAATATTTTCTTCTTTTCTGTAGGTTGTCTTTTCAGTCTCTCTTTTTTTCTTTGGAGACCGAGTCTTGCTCTTTTCCCCAGGCTGGAGTGCAGTGGTGCGGTCTTGGCTCACTGCAACCTCCGCCTGCCGGGTTCATGTGATTTTCCTGCCTCAGCCTCCTGAGTAGCAGCGATTACAGGCATGGGCCACCATGCCTGGCTAATTTTTTGTATTTTTAGTGGAGACGGGGTTTCTCCATGTTGGTCACACTGGTCTCAAACTCCCGATCTCGGATGATCCACCCGCCTCTGCCTCCCAAAGTGTCGTGATTACAGGATTGAGCCACCACGCCTGGCCATTATTTATTTTATTTTTTTCTTTTTGAGACAGGGTCTTGTTCTGCTGCCCAGGCTGGAGTGCAGTGGTGCCATCTTGGCTTACTGCAACCTCCTCATTCTGGGCTCAAGCAGTCCTCGCGTCTCAGCCTTCCTAGTAGCTGGGACTACAGGTGTGTGGCACCATACCCGGCTAATTTTTGTATTTTTAGTAGATACGTGGTTTTGCTATGTCGTCTTGGCTGGTCTTGAACTCCTGGACTCTAGTGATCCACCTGCCTCGGCCTCCGAAAGTGCTGGGATTACAGGCGTGAGCCACCATGGCAGGTCTTTTTTGTTTGTTTGCTTTGAGACAGGGTCTTGCGCTGTTGCCCAGGCTGGAGTGCAGTGGTGCGACCTCAGCTTACTGCAGCCTCCACATTCTGGGCTCAAGCAGTCCTCCTGCCTCAGCTTCCCTAGTAGCTGGGACTACAGGTGTGTGACACCATGCTTGGCTACTTTTTGTATTTTTAGTAGAGATGGGGTTTTTCTATGTTGTTCTTGGTGGTCTTGAGCTCCCGAATTCAAGGGATCCACCTGCCTCTGCCTCCCAAAGTGCTAGGATTACAGGCATGAGCCACCATGCCCGGCTTATTTTTAACTTTTTGAGGAAATACCAAACTATGTTACAAATAGTCTGTACTGTTTATATTCCATATACAGTATTTAAGGGTTGTGATTTCCCTCTGACCTTGCCATCACTTGTTATTTTACATTTGTTGGATTATAGCCTTTCTAGTGTGTATGAAGGAGTATGTGGATGTGGTTTCAGTTTTGATGGCCATAATGATAATGATACTGATCACCTTCTCATGTGCTTGTTTTCCATTTGCATGTTTTTTGGCAAAGTGTGTGTTGTTCAACTCTTTCTCCTTTTTTAATTTGGTTTTTGTTGTTGAGTTATACAAATTCTTTGTATATTGTGGTTAACAGACTGCTAGATATATAACGTGCAAGCAAATATTTTCTTCCTTTCTGTGGGTTGTCTTTTCACTTACTTTTTTTTTTTTTGAGACGGAGTCTTGCCCTGTTGCGCAGGCTGGAGTGTAGCGCTGTGCTCTTGGCTCACCACAACCTCTGCCTCCTGGGTTCAAGCAATTCTCCTCCCTCAGCCTCCCGAGTAGCTGGGATTACAGGTATGTGCCACTATGCCCAGCTACTTTTGTATTTTTAGTTGAAATGGGGTTTGTTTACGTTGGTCATGTTGGTATTGAATTCCCGACCTCATGTGATCTGCCTGCCTCAGCCTCCCAAAGTGCTGGGGTTAGAGGCATGAGCCACCATACCGGCCTTTTTTTATTTTTTTATTTTTTTTGAGGTAGAGTCTTGCACTGTTACCCAGGCTGGAGTGCAGTGGTTCGATCTTAGCTTACTGCAACCTCCATAATCTGGGCTCAAGTAGTCCTCCCACCTCAGCCTCCCTAGTAGCTGGGACTGAAGCTGTGTGCCACCATGCCTGGCTAATTTTTATATTATTAGGAGAGATGGGGTTTTTCTATGTCATCCTGGCTGGTCTTGAACTCCTGGACTCAAGTGATCCTCCTGCCTCAGCCTCCCAAAGTGGTGGGATTACAGATGTGAGGCAGCATGCCCACCTTTCTTGATTTTTATTTTTTGAGACAGGGTCTTGCGCTGTCTACCAGGTTGGAGTGCAGTGGTGCGATCTCAGCTTACTGCAGCCTCCACGTTCTAGGCTAAAACAGTTGTCCTCCCTTAGCCTCCCTAGTAGCTGGGAGTACAGGTGTGTGGCACCATGCCTGGCTAATTTTTGTATTTTTTAGTGGAGACGTGGTTTTGCTATGTCCTTCTGGCTGCTCTTGAACTCCTGACCTCAAGTGATCCACCTGCCTCAGCCTCCCAAAGTGCTGGGATTAAAGGCATGAGACACCGTGCCTGGCCTATTTTTAACTTTTTGACGAAATACCAAACTGTTACAAATAGGCTGCACCGTTTATATTCCACATACAGTATTTAATGGTTGTGATTTCTCTCTGACCTTGCCAACACTTGCTGTTTTGTATTTTTTGGATTATAGCTTTTCTAGTGTGAGTGAAGGAGTATGTGGTTGTGGTTGCAGTTTCGATGGCCATAGTGATAATGATATTGATCATCTTTTCATGTGCTTGTTTTCCATTTACATGTCTTTTTGGCAAAGCGAGCGTTCAACTCTTTCTCCATTTGTAATTTGGTTGTCTTTGTTGAGTTATACAAGTTCCTTATATATTGTGGTTAACAGACTGTTGTTAGATATATAACGTGTAAATATTTTCTTCCTTTCTGTGGGTTGCCTTTTGATTTTTTTTTTTTAGACTGAGTCTTGCTCTGTTGCCCAGGCTGGATTTCAGTGGTGTGACATCGGCTTACCGCAATGTCTGCCTCCTGGGTTCAAGTGATTCTCCTCCTAGCCTCCCGAGTAGCTGGGATTACAGGCATGGGTCACCACACCCAGCAACTTTTTTGTATTTTTATTAGAGACTGGATGTCTCCATGTTGATCAGACTGTCTTGGACTGCTATTCACAGGTGATATGCCCGCCTGTGCCTCCCAAAATGCTTGGATTACAGGGGGAGCCACCACGACTGGCCAGTTTTTTTTTTGTTTTTTTTTTGAGGCAGGGTCTTGCACTGTTGCCGAGGCTGGAGTGCAGTGGTGCCATCTCTGCTTACTGCACCCTTCACATTCTGTGCTGAAGCAGTCCTCCTTCCTCATTCTCCCTAGTAGCTGTGACTACAGGTGTGTGTCACCATGCACGACTAATTTTTGTATGTTTAGTAGAGACGGGGTTTTGCTATGTCCTTCTGGCTGGTGTTGAACTCCTGGACTCAATTGATCCACGTGCCTTGGCCTCCCAAAGTGCTGGGATTACAGACGTGAGCCACCATGCCTACTCTTTTTTTTTTTTTTTTTAAAGACATGGTCTTGTGCTGTTCCTCAGGCTGGAGTGCAGTGGTGCCATCTTGGCTTACTGCAACCTCGATATTCGGGGCTCAAGCGGTCCTCCCACCTCAGCCTCACTAGTAGCTGGGACTAGAGGTGTGTGGCAGCATGCCTGGCTGATTTTTGTATTTTTAGTAGAGACGGGGTTTTGCTATGTCTCTCTGGATGGTCTTGAACTCCTGCACTCAAGTGATCTGCCTGCTTCAGCCTTCCAAAGTGCTGGGATTATAGGCATGAGTCACCTTGCCTGTCGTGTTTTTAACTTTTTGTGGAAATACCAAACTATGTTACAAATAGGCTGTACCATTTTATATTCCACATACAGTATTTAATGGTTGTGATTTCTCTCTGACCTTGACAACACTTGTTACTTAATATTTGTGGATTATAGCCTTTCTAGTGTGTGTGAAGGAGTATGTGGTTGTGGTTTCAGTTTTGATGGCCATAATGATAATGATATTGATCGTCTTTTCATTTCCTCGTTTTCTATTTGCATGTCTTTTTGGCAAGGTGTGAGTTCAACTCTTCCGCCATTTGTAATTTGGTTGCTTTTGTTGTTGAGTTATACATATTCTGTATGTATTGTAGTTAATGGACAGTTGTTAGATATATAATGTGCTAGCAAATATTTTCTTCCTTTCTGTGGGTTGTCTTTTTGCTTTCTTTTTTTTTGAGACAGAGTCTTGCTGTGTTGCCCAAGCGGGAGTGCAGTGGCAGGATCTCAGCTCATTGTCACCTCCGCTTCCTGGGTTCAAGCGACTCTCCTGCCTCAGCCTCCTGAGTAGCTGGGATTACAGACGTGCACCATTACAGCAGGCTAATTTTGTATTTTTGTTTGAGATGGGGTTTGTTTATCTTGGTCAGGATGGTCTTGAACTCCCGTCCTCAGTTGATCCTCCTGCCTCGGCCTCCAGAAGAGCTGGGATTTCAGGCATGAGCCACCGTGCCTGGCCCTAATGTTTGTATTTTTAGTAGAGACAAGGTTTAGCCATGTTGGCCAGGCTGGTCTCCAACTCCTGACCTCAAGTGATCCATCTGCCTCAGCCTTCGAAATTGCTGGGATGATAGGCATGAGCCATCATACCATGTCTTTTTTTTTTTTTTTTTTTGAGACAGGGTCTTGCACTGTTGCCCAGGTTGGAGTGTAGTGGCACGATCTCAGCTTAATGTAACCTGCACGTTCTGGGCTCAAGCAGTCCTCCTGCTTCAGTCTCCCTAGTAGCTGCTACTTCAGCTGTGTGTCACCATTCACAGCTGGTTTTTGTATTATTAGTAGAGATGGTGTTTTGCTATGTCATCCTGGCTGGTCTTGAACTCCTGGACTCAGGTGATCCACCTGCCTTAGCCTCCCAAAGGGCTGGGATTGCTGGCGTGAACCACAGTGCGCAGGGTTTAGGGTTTACAGTTTAGGGTTTAGGGTTTAGGGTTAGGGTTAGGGGTTAGGGGTTAGGGGTTAGGGGTTAGGGTTAGGGGTTAGGGTTAGGGGTTAGGGTTAAGGGTTAGGGGTTAGGGGTAGGGGTAGGGGTAGGGTTAGGGGTTAGGGTAGTGTAAATAATTTCACATTATTACTAATAACAAATTATTACTTATATTACACTATTACTTAATGTAAAGGCTATTAAGACATGTTTGTCTTCAAAGAATGGCGTTGGTTTCTGTGGGCAGTTTCTCCTCATGGAAAGGTAGTGCGTTCCTGCTAAATCATGGACAAAATGGGCCTCCAGGAGCTACAGGCTGCAGAAGCAGCTTCTCGTCTATGTCCTTCACTGCCTGATACTGTTGTTGACCTTGAAACCTTGTTTTGGGCTAGTTTTATTAACAGAGCTAGTATTTCCATGAGGTTCTACTACATACCAGGTTCCAGAAAGCTAAATGCCTTTTGTTTGTTATTATTCACTAAATACAAATCACAACTCTCTTCTCATTACACACACAACAAAATTTAGCTGAGGGAGATTGAGTGACTTTCCCAGGGTCGCACAGCTACTAAGAGCAGAGTCATGTTTAGATTCATGTGGGAATACTGAACACAGAAATGAACCAACGGAAACATCCTACATTCCAAAAGCCTACTCAAGCCATTTGTTCTTATTTTAAGGAAAATCTATCATGAATGCCAACATACATCCCTAACAACCCAGTGCTGTTACCCTCCAAACATTTTATGTCTTGCAAAGTATTAGAACTTCATATGTGAAGCCATACCACTCAGAGGGAATGCAAAATACATAATGACATCTCCTTTAGGATGTCCTTAGAGAATTCAAGGAAAAGAAGTTAAATAATTTAAAAGTGCTTTCGGGTACAGCTATTTAGCACTAGACAGTAAGATTAGACATAGATTGTAAAGATAATAATAGGGTTAGGGATAGGATTAGGATCTGGGTCAGAGTCAGGGCCAGAAGTATGCTTAGAGGTGGGGTCATGGTCAGGGTCAAGATCAAAGTCAGGGTCAAAGTTAGGGTCAGAATTAGGGACCAGGGTAGGGATCAGGATTTAGATTCAGGGTCAAAGTCTTGGGACAGGGTTAGGGTTAGGATTAGAACCAGAGCTTTTTTCTCCTCAGGACCCACCCGAGGACGGGTCACCATGGCTTTGGAGCACCTGGTAGTGTGGCATGTCCACAGTGAAGACCAGAGTTTCGTTGTCCTTAAGACTGACCTGGGGAGACGTGGCTGCAGGCCATTGAGGAAGGTGAGGAAAAACTTCCTGTCTGCTCCCCGTGTGCTGAGGAGGGAGCTCTGCCATGGGCTTTACTTTCACATGTTACATTCCACAAGTCTTGTTTTACAAAAGCATCCCTTCCTTGAGGCTTCGGCTGCTCATCACTGCTCATCATCATAACGTGCCATAACATACAGTAAGATTTGGGTTTGTTTCTGGGGAGAGATCTTGGTATAGAGAAAGGAGAAATGCTTAGAGCCACCATCAGGACAGTTGGGATGAAAGCTGGGGTTGGGCAGAGGCTGGAGGAAACATGTGCACCCCCTGTAAACACTTTTATTCTTGTTTTAATTACTCATTTTTCTTACAGTGTTAAATTAGTAAAAATAGTATTGAAAAATTGAAAAGTAGGCGTATTAAAACTTGCAACACCACTTAAGCTTAGATGTATTATTTGTACCTCAACATTTTTTATTTTGTTGAGAAAGTTTAAGGTTAATTGGCAGCATATTTCTAATAGTAGATAGAATAATGTCTGTTTTATAAACATTGACATCCTACATTACATGTGTCAACCCTGAAAATCTGAGACGGCTCTCAGATTTTTTAGAAAGTTTATTTTGCCAAGCTTGAGGATGTGCGCCCATGATGCATCCTTAGGAGGTCCTGACAACATGGGCCCAAGGTGGTCGGGGCACAGCTTGGTCTTACACACTTTAGGGAGACATGAGACATCAATCAGTATGTGTAAGATGTACATTGGTTCAGTCCAGAAAGGTGAGAAGGCCAGACAGGGGGCTTCCAGGTCATAGGTAGGTAAGAGACAAACGATTTCATTCTTTTGCATTGCTGATTACCCTCTCCACGTGAGGCAATCAGGTATGCATTTATCTCGGTGAGCAGGTGGGTGTCTTTGGATAGAATGGGAGGCAGATTTGCCCTAAGCAGTTCCCAGATTGACTTTTCCCTTTAGCTTAGTGATTTTGGGTCCCCAAGATTTATTTTCCCTTCATAAGGTTTTCCTATGAGTATTAATTATTCATTGTGTATTTTATTACACAAATAAGGCACAGATTTTTAAAAAATCATCAACTTCGTGGCTACCTATATAGACATAATTGCATAGAAGTTCAACTAAATTTGCAAACATCCCAGAATTTGGGTTTCCAATAATTCTTAGTGATTCTTTAAAAGGTAAAGTATTTTTTTCCCATAAAACATAGCAACATGTAAAATCACCCGTAGAATGTCCCGCCATTTTTGTTTTTCTAGTTTCCTCATTTTCTGCAAAGCCTCACTGAGGAGATTGACTTTGAATATCCTTTTACACTCTTCTGTTTTAGATAGCATTGTGGTAAAACATTGAATCATCATGGTCATAAGTTCTGTCCACATTCTTTCTTTCTTTGAATATTTTTTCCCAGTGAGCAATATTTGATTCTGCTGTATTATGGCTAAAAGGTAGGCATGGCAACAAAATAAAGACAGGAAGTCTTCGGAATAAGTGATCCCATCACAATGAATCAATTTGCCATTGGAACATATTTTTACAAAGTCACTCTTGTGAAAATATTTGGCTATGAATTGAAACAGAGTCTGTAAGGTTAATATTTTTCCTGGTCTAAGGTGAACAGCATTTTAGAGAATGAACCCAGGACACAACCACAGCACAAGAAAAAAATATGAGAATTAAGTTTACACATGTGTGTTACTACAGTAACAGAAAACATGTAAAGAACATTTGTTTTGATTTATATGTCAGTCTGCACTGTTTAATTTTTTGTGTCATAAATGCTCTTATTTAAAAAAATAGGACTAGTTAACAGTGTCAATTACTAGTAATTCATGGTATAAATAATTAAACAAGGAAGTGTTCAAAAAACAGTGTTTTAAATAAAGTTTTATTTTACATCTTTTTACTTACACAGAAATTGTCAAAAAAAAAAAAAAAAAGATTTCCCATGTAGCCGCAACCTAGTTTCCTCTCTTATTAACATCTTCTATTAGTGTGTCTCACATGGCTTATTAATATCTTACACAATTTGTCACAGTTAATGAACCAATACTGATAGACTAAAGTTCATATTTCATTTGGATTCCCTTAGATGTGTCTTACTCTGATCCAGGATCCCATCCAGGATCCCGCATGACATGTAGTCATCATGTGGGCTCTTCCTGGCTGTGACAGTGTGTCAGGCTTTCCATCTCAGGTGACCTTGATAGTACTGAGGAGGATTGGTCAGGCATTTTGTAGAATGTCCCTCATTGTCACTTCATGTTCTCAAGGTGAACTGTTACCTTTGATATTCACTTGGATCATTTTGCAGAGCTACTGTTTGTCAGGTTAGGGTTGGAATTCTTTTGCAAAGGAGATTTCTATGCAACTCCATTTGCTTATTCACCTATGCATACAAATACAGACACCTAGATAATTACTTTAAGCTTTAGCTATTATTCAACCCTGCAGCATTATGTTGCACAATTCATTCCTGTGTTGGCAATCGGTAGCTTTTTTTTATTGGCTCTTATTTTTCTTTGATATATTTTAATTTTTTTAGTACTTACTTACTTTCTGATACTTCCAGATTATCCTGGCTCCTATATTTACTCTCCCAGTTCTAGTATCAGACATTTCTTCAAGGAGCCTGATTCCTTTCAGAATGGTAGGAAAACTTACGTCTGGCTGCTGAAAGAGCACATTGTATCTTGTCCCTCATTAGTAATGCTAGGAAGTATATGTGTGTGTCTAACCTACCTATACACACCTAATTATAAAGTTTTCTATGTAGAACTGTGTGTATCTATATTAAACTAAACATAAGTTTACGTTTATGTCTCCACCTCTGATCTACTATCACATGAATTATTCTAGCCTTGTCGCCTTGCTAATTTGTAACCTCCCACTTCAACAGTGAGAAACCTGGTTCCCACCATCTGCGACTTAATGTAAGTCATTGTTTTATTCCAGATACAGACACTGTGGTTTTACAGTTGTTCACAGTTGCTTCTGTTGGAAAGAACTTTGTAAAATGGAATCCAAGGATGAAGTATAGTTGATTTGCCTTCAGCTTACAGATTCTATTCATTTTCAAAGTGACTTAGGTCAACACCATTTTCCCTACACCTTCAGTGAGTTTTTACTTACATTTGTGTCTTAGTCCATTTTGTGCTTCTGTAACAGAATACCTGAGGCTGGGTAATGTATAAGTAAAAAAGGTTCATTTGGCTCAAAATACTGGTGGCTGCAATGTCTGAGATTGGGCAGTTGCATCTGGTGGGGCCTCAGTCTTTTTCACCTCATGATGGAAAGTGGAAGGGGAGCAAGGTGTGCACCAGAGATCACATAGCAAAAGTGAAAGCAAGAGGGAAGCCAAGGAACCCAGACTCTTTTTAACTAGCTACTCCTGTAGGAATTAATCCATTCCTGTGACAGCAGAACTCACTCACCCCCATGGAGGACATTAATGTATTCATGAGAGATCCGTCCCCATGACCCAAACACCTTCCACTAGGCCCCACCGCCCCACACTGACACAGTGGGGGTCAAATTTCTCAAAAAGAAATAAAAATTTTTTTGAGACTGGGTCCGGCTCTGTCGCCCAGGCTGGAGTGCAAATGTGCAATCTCAGCTCACTGCAACCTCTACCCCCTGGGTGCAAGCGATCCTCCCTCTTCAGCCTCCTGATTAGCTGTGACTACAGGCACATGCCATCATGCCCATCTAATTTTTGTATTTTTGGTAGAGATGGGGTTTCACCATGTTGCCCAGGCTGGTCTTGAACTCCTGGCCTCCCAAAGTGCTGCAATTATAGGCATGTGCCACCATGCCCGGCTAAATTATAGTTTTCCATTGAAACATAAAATTTCTCTCTGTAGTAACCATCATTTTTGATCATAATCAAAGTAAGACTATTCTTGTTTTAAAAATAAGTCTAGTTTTGTTAGATTTTGCTTGATTATTTACATAAGTGCAGCAAGAACAGGAGATGACCACATAGGTGCTTTCAAGTTTCTTTGCTGGAAGTTTTCATACAGAATCTCAGATTTGACTTTTAAAGGCCTTATTCAGGCTAAAACCCAAGCCAAGCACATACTATCAAATTTCAGCCGCAGTCCTTATGGCTTTGTGTGAATTCCTCTCTTCTTGAGGCCCCCAAAATATCCCCAAATTCCTGGGCCTACCGGGAAATGACCTTCTTTACTAACCTGAAGGCTGTGAACCCTGTAATCTAGGTATCAGGCTGGCTTTTCTCAGAGTGCTGTTGGGAATGAAGATTTTGGTGTTCCAAAAAAAAAAAAAAAAAAAAAACAACGTGGGAACAAATGATGTCTTAGTGAGGCGAGCTTTACTTTCTGCATAAAGGGTGCTACTCAATAGCTGTCCAGCCACAAGAGCACACCAAACAAAGGAGACAGAGTTACTTATAACCTGATGTGTCTACCCTAGTGCTGTGTCCAGTTTCCACTGGCTGAAATAGGACCTCACATTTTACACTTTACCCGATTGACTATTAGTTTAACACTTTCTTAATTAGGTAAGGGGAATAGAACAAAGAAAGAAAAGGAAGTTGCCCAGGGATAGTTAAGGAAGCATCTCCAAATAAGGAATGGCATGTATTATGGGCTGGGGCTTGTCTAGTTCTGCCCAGGCATGCTGGAGCAAGCTAGGACAACTGATTTGGAATACACACACACACACACACACACACACACACACACACACACACGTATATATAAAAATAGTGGATAGCAATCTCAAAGTAAGAAATTAGCTAGGATGGTCTGGATCTCCTGACCTTGTGATCCATCCTCCTCAGCCTCCCAAAGTGCTGGGATTACAGGCATGAGCCACTGCACCCGGCACAATATTTAAAATAATAATTGGAATTATGACTCATTACTCTATACTGGCACATAGCATGGATAAGGAGGACATAACAAATTTACAGGAATTTTATATCATTTCTGAAAACATAACATTTTACCCATACAAATGTAACACAGGGAAGGTTAGGTATCTCTTTTTATTTGTATCTTATGTATGGTTTTCCTTATAAAAAATACATCCTACTTTACTTGTGAAACATGCCCTACTTTTCTTGCATGCTTTGCATGGGGTTGTTTCTAGTTATTCCATTATTTCTAATCTTTTTATTTACATATACTGATTATAATTTTAATACTTAGTAATCTTTTATTTTCCAGAGAAAACTAGGAAGTAGTCAGTTATAAACTGTCATATATTAGCATTCTATAGTAGGTTAGAAAATGTATGAATATACTGTCTCCCAACATCTAGAGGGATGTATTTCCTCATAATACAATTTCTCAGTGTGGCAGAAAAAAACATGTTTATTAACGGGCCAAAATATCTTTAGTCTTTCTGTAAAAACAGGAAGCCAAAAGTATATAAACTTGAATTATTTATGTTCAGTAATTAATGTTTTAGTATTGTATCTTATTTATAAATGGTCTAGATATTTAATGCAAATCTTTTACTTAGCTTAAGTTTAAGGTTAAAAATTAGCAAAAGTAGTTTGGAAACTACTATTAGGCAGATTTACTGTGAACAAATTATTTTTGAAATAATGTTTTTCGCTTTTCACAAGACGGCACCGAAAGCGAAGGAAGCTCCTGCTCCTCCTAAAGCCGAAGCCAAAGTGAAGGCTTTAAAGGCCAAGAAGGCAGTGTTGAAAGGTGTCCGCAGCCACACGCAAAAAAGAAGATCCGCATGTCACTCACCTTCAGGCGGCCCAAGACACTGCGACTTCGGAGGCAGCCCAGATATCCTCGGAAGAGCACCCCCAGGAGAAACAAGCTTGGCCACTATGCTATCAAGTTTCCGCTGACCACTGAGTGGGCCGGAAGAAGATAGAAGAAAGCAACATGCTTGTGTTCTTCGTGGATGTTAAAGCCAACAAGCACCAGATCAGACAGGCTGTGAAGAAGGTCTATGACAGTGATGTGGCCAAGGTCACCACCCTGATTTTTCCTGATAAAGAGAACAAGGCATATATGTTCGACTGGCTCCTGATTATGAAGCTTTGGATGTTGCAACAAAATTGGGATCATCTAAACTGAGTCCAGCTGGCTAACTCTAAATACATGTGTATCTTTTCACCATAAAAGAATAATGTTTTTCATAAGAGTGACAACTTAATTAGAATCAAATCTATAAGCTTTAAGATTTTACATTTCTGTAAGTATAATATTAGCTTATTTGACTAGAACTCAAGCAGAATAGGAATTTATGTTTGTTTTATATTCAAGTGATAACTTTGAAGACATAGTTTTATTACACCAAAAATTTTATATTAATCTCATTTAAGTAAGTTTTATCCAAATCATGTTAACTTAAAAAACATTTGATCAGTTCCTATATTTCTAGGAGTTTGGTGAATATTTATTTATAAATGGTTATTTTTTTCCAAGCCAAGTTAGAATAGAGCACTTTTATAGGATTTTATAAATGAATTTTGCAGTGCTATCCGGAGTTAAGAAAATATCACATATACATTACATACAGTAATAGATATACAAACACAAATAGAGATTTCATAGCTTTCATCCTGAAATTTCAGCCATGAATCAGGCATAAATATTCTGATGGTTAATTTTAGACATCTACTTGATTGGATTAAGAAACATACATAGCTGGTCAAACAATTTCAGCCATGAAACAGGCATAAATATTCTGATGGTTAATTTTAGACATCTACTTGACTGGATTGAGAGACACACGTAGCTGGTGAAACACAATTTCTGGGCATATCTGTGAAGGTGTTTCTGGAAGACACTGAGATAACCCTGACCCAGTGTGGATGGGCACTGATATGGTTTGCCTGTGTCCCCACCCAGATCTCATCTTGAATTGTAGTTCCTATAATCCGTACATGTCGTGGGAGGGACCCAGTGGGAGGTGATTGAATCATGGTGGTTGTTACTGCCATTCTGTTTTCATGGCAGTGAGTGAGTTCTCATGATCCAATGGTTTCATAAGGGGCTGTTCCCCTTTGGCTCAGCACTTCTTCTTGTTGCTGCCATGTGAAGAAGGACGTCTTTGTTTCCCCTTCTGCCATGATTGTGAGGCCTCTGCAGCCACGTGGAACTGTCAGCCCATTTAACCTCTTTGTTCTTTAT
This sequence comes from Homo sapiens, assembly GCF_000001405.40. Classification (NCBI taxonomy): domain Eukaryota; kingdom Metazoa; phylum Chordata; class Mammalia; order Primates; family Hominidae; genus Homo; species Homo sapiens. The sequence continues at coordinate 212,179 of NC_000008.11, read as the reverse complement.
AAATTGCTCAGACTCAGGTATTTCTTCACAGCTGTATAAAAATGGATGAATACAGGCACCATCCAATTGGTTGAGAGCCCAGATAGAATAACAAGGAAGAGGAAAGGTGAATTATCTCCTGAAATTGAAACATCCTTCTTCTCCTGCCCTTGACATCAGAATCAGTGTCTCAGAGCTTTGGCCTCAGAATCAGAGTTACACCATTGGCTTCCCTGATTCTGAGTCCTTTATATCTGGAGTGAGTCATGCTGCCAGCTTTCCTGGTTCTCCAACTTGGAGACAGGCTATTGTGTAACTTCTCAGCCTCCATAATTATGTGAACCAATTCCCCTAATGAGTCTTCTCTCATCTATCTACATATATCCTATTGATTCTGCCTTTCTGGAGAACCCTGACTAATGTTATTACAATAATACAAAATTCACTAGTTTATATAGAAGACTTGGTTTTTGTCTTTGCCCCATTTTGTATTTGTATTATAACTGTGTATCTGGAAAATGGAACAAGTTTTTATCTTCTTCATATGAGGGCCAAAGCTTTTTTCTCACCAATATTTTTGGAGATTTTTAAGATTTTCTTTTGTTTGGACATACAATCTTATGGAGGCTGAGAAATAAAATTTTTTCTATTTTATTTTTCAGCCCCAGATGTTTGCTTTTGCAGATTCTTGAGCACATTGAGAGCATGGAGAGCACTCCAAGGCATGGAGTGGGGTGCCTAAAGTTTCAGTGATTACAGGGAGTTGAGAGACTCAACTGGGAAAGGAAAAGTCTAAAAGGAGGCAATTTGGAAGATAAAAATTTTCTCAAAGGAGCGATTAAATTTCTAAATAATTCTTAGTAAAATCATGTAAACAGGAAAGGAAATAGAATTAGTTCCATATTGGTGGAACACATAGCAGAGGTTTGAGAAGGGAGAATTTAGTCAACTGAGAAGTTCTCATGAAAGGAGCAAGTTCAAGATCACAGAGACACCTTGAAACAAAAAGCCAGGAATAACTTCCAACCCAAGAGGAGAACAGAGAGGCCTCAAAACCAAAGCTAGGATAAGAAACTTGTAGCCCAAGAGTTATCTTCCAGACAAAGAAGCCTGAGATTCCAACGCAGCTTCAGAGAGTGCTCACTCAAAATGTTACTGAAACTGAAGGCTTTTTAATGACTTAGCCATGCCTGCAAAAGGCATTCCCTAAGGTGGCACAGAAGACGGAGCCCCCATATCCAAAGATAGCCAAGGAGAAAGAAAGACCCCTGTTGCCAGAGCCAGTGGGCAAAGGCAACAGAAAAGGAGACAAGGGTCCTAATGGGATGAGATCCTTTCGGATTTAGGCTTTTATACAAACTCCTGAGAACTGGCGGGTTGACAGCCATAAATGGGGTACCAAACTTTCTACTCATTGGATTACAAGTTCTCAGGCATCCAGAATGATGAACAAAATGACAATTTCTAGGGCTTCTGTGGGAGAGTATGGAAAGGTCTTTTTGAACCTTTTAATGCTGTCAACGGAAGAATGATGAGGTTCATAAATTTGGAAAGGAGACATTTCTTCATTTTTATGTTTATTTTTATTTTTTTTGAGACAGAGTTTCACTCTTGTTGCCCAGGCTGGAGTGCAATGGCGTGATCTTGGCTCACTGCAACCTCCACCTCCTGGGTTCAAGCGATTCTCCTGCCTCAGCCTCCTGATTAGCTGGGATTACAGATGCCCACCACCACACCTGGCTAATTTTTTGCAGTTTTAGTAGAGACAGGGTTTCATCATGTTGGCCAGGCTGGTCTGAAACTCATGAGCTCAGGTGATCCACTTGCCTTAGCCTCCCAAAGTGCTGGGATTGCAGGCATGAGCCACCCAACCAGTGAGAGATTTATTTCCTATAAAGGGTTGTAGCCTGCAGGGTTGTCCTTCTGACAGGCTGGGAAGCATAGCCTCCAGCCAGAAGCCAGAAACAGACTCTTCAAGGAGGAGGTAAAGGAAATAGCAATTTATGCTGACTGGAATGGCCAAATACATTTATTTAATAAGCTCCAGGAGGAGTCATGAATATTTATGGAAGGAGAAATGCATGCATGCACAATTGAGTTTCTGGCTTCTTCATGGGTCCCATGTACAAAAAATGGCAGTGTTAGCATGATCCCAGGGTGGAGTTTTCAGCCCTCTGACATTAAAAGGTGAAGCAGAGGACATGAAAACTCGCTCTGTGCATCCTCTGTACGCTGGCCAGAACCTCTCTGTTGTGGGTGGTCTCTTATCAGGCAAGAAAGGAGAGGTTGATATCGGTAGTGGAGGCTTTGAAAGGGCTGGTTTCTGTTAAATCCTTAGGGAAGAAAGCCTCATCATGGTTAGCAAAGGAGTGGGTTTAACGATGTGTATGTTAACCCCATCATCCCATCCTAGCAAAGCTGAGAACTCAGTTTTGAAAGTTACTCTGTGGTCCCCTCAGCCAAGAGTGGTTCTGTTCAGTCAGTTGGGAGCTTATAATTTAATTTTTGTTTATCAATGCTAATGCGAAAGAGTACGCTGTCTTCATGGCAGCTGAATTTGCAAGAAACTCCTTGGATGGGGTTAATGGCAGCTGTATTTTTCTGGGAGCTCTGCTTTAATTGGACAAAGTAAGTTGTGGTAAGATTTCTTCTTTTATCTTCAGTATCTCAAATGTTTTCATTTAAATAATCTTTATAACAACTTTTGATGTCTGAGTGGATTCCCATACAGTCATCTATTGTAAGACTTTCTGATTCCGTTTTTTTCCTTTGGTCATTATGAATAGGGCTTATGTAAATAATTGCATGGTAGCTTTTGATTGGAAATAACATCAAAGTAGTTGTCAAAATACTTAGGAATGTTATTTTTGGATTGTAAGGTGAGACTTGTTTAGCTTTGGAAAAAAATGCCCAACTTGTAATAGGGGAGGAAAAATAATTTTCTGTTTTCGGAATTCTTAGATGGGATGCTCTGTAAAAACTGACAGATTAAAATGAGAAAAACAGAAAAGTTGAAAAACACGTATACCTTATGGTTACATGGGAGATATTCAGGGAAAAATGAGTAAATCTCCAACAGGTGGCTTTCAATTCAAGCATAAATACTGTCTTCAACTTAAAGAAAGAAGATTTGAGGTGCAGTATTGGGGAGTTAACCAGCAAAAGCACATTAGACAAGGGTAAGGTTCATTATACAGACTTAAGTCCATGCATTCTCCATTGATAAGACTCTTTAGTGATTTAGTTATCCTTCTCTTCTTGGTGTCGAGAGAGGTAGCTTTTAAATGGTGATTTCCTTTATAGATGTAAATTTTCCTTACACAAGTGTAACTTCTCTGTTTTCACAACTTCCTTTGTTAGCATTTTTTTTTTTCAAAATAATTAGCTTGGAATAATTCTTAAGCCAAAGGGACATATTTTGGGGTTGCATATTCTGGTTTCCTACCATTATATTTTGGGGTGGCATATTTTGGTCTTATACACTGTGTTCCACCGGCAATGAAAAGAGTTCTTGTTTTTCCTCCAGCAATTTGTCATTTGTTAAAGAGTTTAGCAGTTCTAAGAGATATAGACCAGCTGTGCTATCTTTTTGTGGTTTTCAGTTCTCTAGTATGTTGAGCATCTTTTTGTAAGTGTACTTGCCATCTGTAGATCTTCTTTGGTGAGGCGTCTGTTCAGATCTGTGTGCATTTTTAATTGGGCTGTTTAACTTATTGTTTAGTTTTAACAATTTTTTATGTATTTTGAATACAAATTCTCAGATCTGTATTTTGCAAATATTTTCTTCAATATGTGGCTTGTCTTTTGGTTCTCTTAACAAGGTCTCTTCCAGAGTATAAACTGTAAATATTAAGAAATCCACATTGTCATTTCTTCTGTGTATATCAACCTTCTGTGTCATTTGTTAAAATTCATCACCAAACGCAAAGGCACATAGCTTTTCTTCTATAGTTTCTTCTAGAAATTGTATAGTTTTGCATTTTTAGTGTAAGGATGATTTTGAGTGGTTATTTGTGTAAGTTGTAAAGTTTTCATCTACATGCATATGATTTCTTATGGTTTCCAATTAATCATTCCCTCACTATTTTTGGGAAAGACACAGGATAGTGGGCTCTGTTAGAGTAGATAGCTAGCTAGACGTGAACAGGAGGGGGAGCTCCTGGAAAAGGGAAAGTCTGTGAAGGCTCACCTGGAGGGACCACCAAAAATGCACATATTAGTAGCATCTCCAGTGCTGGAGTGGATGGGCACTTGTCAATTGTGCTTAGGAGGGAGAAGAGGTACCTACACAGAAACACCCTAGAACTTCTCTTAAGATGCCCCAATCATCATTCACTGCAATAAAAATGTCAGAATATTGCTAGCTACATGCTGATAAGAAGGACAAAGGGGACATTCCTAAGAGAAACCTGGCACCATAAGTACAGATTAGGGCAGAGAAAGACATTCAAAAGAGGCAGGTGCAGTAGATACAAACGTGACTGCTGTCAGCCTGCCTGGGATGGCGGGAAGGAGGTTGGTGCCAGAGTGGATTCAGATTCATCACCCCACGTGTACCTCAATCAACAGGAGGTCCCACAAGCCTAAGTGGGGCAAGTCAGGGACCTAAGGCAGTAGCAGGAAAACCAAGGAAAACAAGCATAGACTTGAGACAGAGGCAGGAATGTGAAGAAGTCCAAAATAAAATTCCCTGCACAGGACTCTTAGGCTGTTTTCATGCACTATGAACCCACTCCTCCCTATTTTCCTACAATAAGCTCTTTACACTGTATTTCTTTTCAATGAAGTTATCTTCCATCTTTGTACTGCCTCTTGGTGAAAATCTTTCTTCCAAGTTAATAACTGGGACATCAGCTCTCCCCAGTAATAGCTCCTTTTCAGTTTTCATTTACAGAACTGATGGGGATTAATAACTGGCGCTCTGACTTTAAGTGGTGCAGGAGGCGGCCAGTAGGGGACGCCAGCCGTCACACCGGGAGCAAGAGGGCCCTGCTTAGTCCCCATCTGCCTGCATGTGGCGTGCAGCCACGACAGTGTCAGCAAGAGGGCCCGGCAGTGTCCCTAGCTGCCAGCAGGGGGCGAACAACGACTACACTGTGAGCAAGAGGGCCCTGCAGTGTCCTTAGCTGCCAGGAGGTGGCGTAGGGGCACCACACCATGAACAAGAGGACCGTGCAGTGCCCTGGTTGCCAGCAGGGGGCGTGCTGCCACTACACTGAGCAAGAGGATCCTGTAGTGCCCCCAGCGGACAGAAGAGGGCGTGCCCCGACTACACTGCAAGCAAGAGGGCCCGGCAGTGTCCCCAGCTGCCAGCAGGGGAGCAGCCGCCACTACACTTGGAGCAAGAGGGCCCGGCAGTGTCCCCAGCTGCCAGCAGGCGGGTGTGCTGCCACTACAATGTGAGCAAGAGGGCCCTGCAATGTCCCTAGCTGCCAGCAGGCGGCGTGCCGCCAGTATACTGCGAGCAAGAGAGCCCTGCCGTGCCCCGTCGCCAGCAGGAGGCGCTGGACACCACTGTAAGGAAGAGGGCCCTGAAGTTGCCCTAGTTGCCAGCAGGGGGCGCAATGGCACAGCACCGTGGGCAAGCAGGTCCTGTAGTGCCCGGGTACAAGCAGGGGGCACCCGAACCGGGCTTTTCAGATTACTCAGGTTCCACCCGTCTGTGCGCTGCGCCGCCGGGGACGTGTGTCTCTGCGCCTGCACCTCGCCATTCCCGCGCTCCCCGCCCGGCGGCGTGCAACTGTACACCTGCAACACGCCCCGCCATCCTGAGCCCAGCGACGTGCGTCTCTGCGCCTGCGCCTGCGCCGCGCCTCACTCCCGCCCGCCCAGCGACCCCTCCCCTCCGGGGACGCGGAGGCGTGCGTCTATGCCCTGCGCCGCGTCTCCCGAACAGCTCCTGCGCCGGCGCGCCGCGCCTCTCTGCGCCAGCGCCGGCGCGCCGTGCCTTTGCGAGAGCGGAGTTGGGTTCTCCTCAGCACAGACGCGGAGAGCATCGCGAGGGCGGAGCTGCGTTCTCATCTGCACAGATTTCAGTGGTACTGCGAAGGCGGAGCAGAGTTCTCCTCAGGTCAGACCCGGGCGGGCGGGCTGAGGGCACCGCGAGGGCGGAGCTGCGTTCTGCTTAGCACAGACCTGGGGGACACCGTAAAGGTGGAGCAGCATTCTCCTAAGCACAGACGTTGGGGGCACTGCCTGGCTTTGGGACAACTCGGGGCCGCATCGACGGTGAATAAAATCTTTCCCGGTTGCAGCCGTTAATAATCAAGGTCAGAGACCAGTTAGAACGGTTCAGTGTGGAAAACGGGAAACCAAAAGCCCCTCTGAATCCTGCGCACCGAGATTCTCCCAAGTCAAGGCGAGGGGCTGCATTGCAGGGGCCAACTGCAGTGTCGGAACACAAATGCAGCATTCCTAATGCACACATGACACCCAAAATATAATACCCACATTGCTCATGTGGTTTAGGGTTAGGGTGAGGGTTAGGGGTTAGGGGTTAGGGTTGGGGTTGGGGTAGGGTTAGGGTTAAGGGTTAGGGTTAGGGGTTAGGGTTAGGGGTTAGGGTTAGGGTTCGGGTTCGGGTTCGGGCTAGGGGTAGGGTTAGGGTTAGGGGTTAGGGTTTAGGGTTAGGGGTCGGGGTCAGGGTCGGGTTGGGGTTGGGGTTGGGTTTAGGGTTGGGGTTGGGGTTAGGGGTTAGGGGTTAGGGATAGGGGTTAGGGGTTAGGGTTAGGGGTTAGGGTTAGGGTTAGGGTTAGGGTTAGGAGTTAGGGGTTAGGAGTTAGGTTTAGGTTTAGGGGCTAGGGTTAGGTTTGGGTTAGGGTTGGGTTAGGGGCTAGGGTTAGGGTTAGGGTTGGGTTATGGTTAGGGTTGGGTTAGGGTTAGGGTTTGGGTTAGGATTAGGGTTAGGGGTTAGGGTTAGGGTTAGGATTAGGGGTGAGAGTTAGGGTTACGGTACTGTAAATAATTTCACATTATTACTAATAATAAATTATTATTTGTATTACACTGTTACGTAATGTAAACGCTATTAAGACATGTTTTTCTTCAAAGAATGGCCTTGGTTTCTGTGGGCTGTGCCTCGTCATGGAAGGGTAATGCATTCCTGCTAAATCATGGACAAAACGGGCTTCCAGGAGCTACAGGCCCCTGCAGCAGCAGCTTCTCCTCTACGTCCTTCACTGCCTCAAACTGTTGTTGACTTTGAAAGCTTCTTTCAGTCTAGTTTTATCAACAGAGCTAGTATTTCATGAGGTTCTACTACATACCAGGTTCCAGAAAGCTAAATGCCTTTTGTTATTATTCACTAAATACAAATCACAACTCTCTCCTCATTACTCACACAACAAAATTTAGCTGAGGGAGATTGAGTGACTTTCCCAGGGTCACATAGCTACTAAGAGCAGAGTCGTGTTTAGATTCATGTGGGAATATTGAACACAGAAATGAACCAGTGGAAACATCCTATGTTCCAAAAGCCTACTCAAGGCATTTCTTCTTATTTTAAGGAAAATCTTTATGCTAATTTTAAACTCCAAATACTTATGAATGGCAGAGATCTACAGATTTGATTCTGATGTAAGAAATGATGGTCACCAGCTGGTTACTGCTACCACCCCACAACCCCGAGCATACTGGACGAATGTCTAAGCCTTGTGGTTAGTGGGGACAATGCTGGTGGAGTCTGAAGTTGTCATGCAGTGACTCATGCAAGCTTAGGCAGATTTGGTAATATATGACACAGAGATGCAAAGAAATGTTGTAGCTGACACACACAGGCTGGCTCTGGGAGATGCAGAAGGAGCACGTCACCCAAAATAGAGCCAGACAAGACATCCTTAAGGAAGGAGCAAAAGGGCTGCATCTTAAAGAATGTAGAAAGGATTTGTCATGAGAGATGGGGCAGGAAGTTCTTGAGAGGCAGAGGGAGAGCATGAGAATGTTAGGAAGGGAGGAGAGATTCTCACACATCTGGGAAGCTGACAATCCATCAGCATGGCCAGAAGGAAAATAAGGAGGAGGAGCAGAAATAGATGAGGCTGGATATAGAAGCAGGGCTGAAGCTGTGTCGATTGTGGTAAAGAGTTGTGATTCTATCCAGAACGCAATAGGTAGCATTCTAAACAGAGATCTTTTCAAACAAGAGTCAGCAAGTATTTTCTGCAGGAGGCTAAATGTTAAATATTTTAAGTTTTCCAAGCCATATGGTCTCTCTCTCAATGACTCAGCTCTTCCATTATACCATGAAAGTAGCCAGAGACATTATGTAACACATGTATTGGCTGTGTCCTATTACAACTTTACTTACAAACGCAGACTGTGTCAGACATGGTCCATGCATGGTAGTTTGCCACACCCTGTTTTAGAAAGCTCAGGTTTATGATGTGATGGAGAATGCCTACAAGAGCTCTTGTTTTAAATGGTAGAGTGAACATACACTGGAATTCTATCCTGCTTGACCCAAGCTCTTGATAGCAAAAGGTAGAAAAGATAGATGGTAAATAGATAGATAGATGATAGATAAAGAAAATACATAGCTGTTCCAGAAAACAGAAATGGATAACTTCATGAACCAAAAGCAGAGTAATATACTTTAGAAAGGAAGCGGGCCAGAAAACCCACAGTTGCAAAACAAATAGAATTTCCAACTGCCTCTTGTAGCCCCTTCCTGGAAGTAGTCACAGCCCAGGGTGTTTGACTTCTTCCTCTGTTTTTTGTTTGTTTGTTGTTTGCTTTTCTGTGGGGTTTTTGTTGTTGTTGTTTGCTTTTAAAAAAAAATTCCCTTTCCCTGCTTTTTTGTCACAGCAGCCTTTGTCACTTCAAACACCGCAAGTGTTCTTTAAAAAAAATTATATCAACCTTTCAATTAAAATGCAACATGTCTGAAACTTGGTATCTGGAGAGGTGAGTTGGACAAAGGAGCCCTTGTTACTGCACGTTTTCATTCTTCAAATTTCACCTTGCACACAGTAACAGACAGTGCACAAAGCCACTTCCTTATGGACGGAAATTCTGAAATCCTTTTATGCCTGGCCTTTCCATCCTTCAACTTCCCCTCTCCCACGCTGTGAATGATTGTATTGGACATTTTTGTTTTAATGTCAGTGACAGGGGAACACAGGTAGCTCTAATATAGCTGTGACCCAGATGCTTCTGTTTCTAGCATGTATTTATTTTGCAGCAAACATTTACATCCATGATGTTTCACTGTCTTTTGAAAATAATTAGGCAATATCTCATCTGAGGTAGGTTGTTTCTAGGGATTGTGTTCTGAGGGAGGAAAACTAATCTGTTCTCTTTCCACTGCATTCTAGGAACAGTAAGAGGACCTTGTGCATGAATAATTTGTTTCCACACTACAGAGTGGGTAATAAGCAGATTAGTAAAAACAATTCTGCTTCACTTCAATAACAGCTTCCTCCAACTCATTTTTTCTCAACAAACTTATTTTTCCAGCAGAAGAATCCCAGACTTCTTAGAGAACCCAGTGACTTTTTGTACCTTAAATCTGTGAAATCCTCCTGTTTTCTTCTGCCGTATCCATAGTTCAAACAAAGATGAGGCAAAGCTAGATGCATTCCTGAAGGAACCCAAGAAATTCCTCTCTTTCTTTCTCTGGAATGAAATGAATTCTCTAAACCACCAGTTCTAACCTTCAAAAACCAAACCTGTTTGTGAGATCTCCTTCAAATACTACTGTAGACCCCAGTTTTTATTCATTAAATTTTTTAAATATTTGTTTTATTTGGAATCCATGCATTTGTAATTTTAGTGTTTGTATTAATATCAGGGAGAAATGTTTAAATCTGTCTATGCCATATGTGCCTCTGGCTTATTGCCCAGTTAATTGTAGTCTCAGGCTAAACTTTGGTTTCTATCTTTAATTTTTGTCAGAAGAAATATAACTGATCTCAAAACATCTGCTTTTATTGTAGGGGCTCGTGCTGCCATCTCCATTCCTCTCTCTTTTCTTGCAATCTGGGTGGAAGTTCTTTAATATGAACATTTCAACCACCTTCATTCTACCATGTCCACTATCAGCACATTGAAACTGATCCAGGCAAGGCTGTCATCTTAGGCCAGGGATTTTTTAGGAATCTATTTTGCTGTGATGCGGCTGGCACCCCTTTGACTCACTGTATCACCCCAGGGTTCTTTTCATTTCAGAAGCCAAAGAGGGCAGAAAAAGAAGTAGGTGAGCAATTAAACACTCTGAGTCAGGAGCGTCTCCCCTTGCGTTAAGCAATGTTGTAGAACATCAATGTTGTACATCGATGTTGGCGACCTTGGTACCATTTTGTCCACTTGATTGGAAAAGCCAGTCAATAATTTCAGGTCACTGTTGGCCTTAGAAGAAGAGCCCAAAGGCAACAAGCAAAGGCGCTGGTGTCCAGTCGCCTTCTAGAAACATTTTCATTTTCCCTTAAGGTTTCCCTTGATGAACATAGAAGTACTGTATGTAGAATTGACCCAGTGCTGCCCTGGCAACTTTGTATATTAGGCCAGATTTACATTTCTTACCTTTATGAGAGGCACCCTGGTAGGCTAGTGGAGTTACACACAAAGTCTGATCTCAGCTGCACTGTCCAGAAATGCAACACGGTCCAATCAAATAACATTCTCTGAGCCTGTTTCTTTAGCTGTGAAAGAAGAATAACATACCCATCTAAAAAGGCAGCTTATTGTATTTGATTGGTCTTTTATTTTCTATGAAACTGTGTTTAACACAGTAATTATTTTCATTTGTGTACTACATTTGTGTTGTGTTTTTGGTTTTAGTTTTGTTTTTGAAATGGAGTCTTTTTTTTTGTGGTTTTTTGTTTTGTTTTCTTTTGTTTTGTTTTTGAGATGGAGTCTTTCTATTGTCACCCAGGCTAGAGTGCAGTGGCGTGATCTCCGCTCACTGCAACCTCCACCTCCCAGGTTCAAGTGGTTCTCCTGCCTCAGCCTCCTGAGAAGCTGGGATTACAGGTGCCCACCACCATGCCCAGCTAATTTTTAAAATATATTTTTAGTAGAGATGGGGTTACAACATGTTGCCCAGGCTGGTCTCAAACTACTGACATCAAGTGATCCACCCGCCTTGGCTTCCCAAAGTGCTGGGATTATAGGCATGAGCCACCGCGCCTGGCTTGTTTTAAAATAAGGGTTTCTTGGCTAGGCATGGTGGCTCACACCTGTAATCCCAGCACTTTGGGAGGCCAAGGTCAGTGGATCACCTGAGGTCAGGAGTTCGAGACCAGCCTGGCCATCATGGCAAAACCCCATCTCTACTAAAAATACAAAAATTAGCCAGGTGTGGTGGCACACGCCTGTAGTGGTGGTGCATGCCTATAGTCCCAGCTACTCAAGAGGCTGAGGCAGGAGAATCACTTGAACTGGGAGATGGAGGTTGCAGTGAGCTGAGATCGCACCAGTGCACTCCAGCCTGGGCAACAGAGTGAGACTCCATCTTATAAAAGGAAAAAAGAAAGAAAAGAAAAATTCCATATCTGAGTGTTTACTCCTGAGTTTTTGAGATTGTTATTAAGATCGTGCTCTACTGTGATGATTTGGGTTTGTTTGATAATCAGAAAAAAAGCATATTCTTTTAGGTGTTCAGCCACACTGCTTTGGTGTCACAACTGCACATTGGTTTCACAGCTGCAGGACAAGTTCGAGCATCTTAAAATGATTCAACAGGAGGAGATAAGGAAGCTCGAGGAAGAGAAAAAACAACTGGAAGGAGAAATCATAGATTTTTATAAAATGAAAGCTGCCTCTGAAGCACTGCAGACTCAGCTGAGCACCGATACAAAGAAAGACAAACATCGTAAGAAGCAATAGTTTCTCTTACTATTCTGAGAGCCTTATCATTCTACATCCCATCTTCCTGTGAGTTTGTCTTTGTAGCATTTAACTCTAATTGCAGTTCTCATTTTAAAAACTGGCTTGCTTATTGTATATTTTCCCCAACTAAAGCGTGAACTCCTAGCAGGGCGTGGTGGCTCATGCCTGTAATCTCAGCACTGTGGGAGGCCGAGGTGGGTCGACTACCTGAGGTTAGGAGTTCGAGACCAGCCTGACCAACATGATGAAACGCTGTCTCTACTAAAAATACAAAAATTAGCTAGGCGTGGTGGCTGGGACCTGTAATCCCAGCTACTTGGGAGGCTGAGGCAGGAGAATCACTTGTACCCTGGAGGTGGAGGTTGCAGTGAGCAGAGATCTCACCATTACACTCCAGCCTGGGTGACAAGAGCAAAACTGCATCTCAAAAAAAAAAAAAAAAGGGGGTGAACTTGAAGGCAGGTCCTGTGTCCATCTTTTCAGATTCTGTATCCCAGCACTTAGGACATAGACAAACACGAAGATGACAATCAATATTTGCCAAAATGAAAAAACAAAAGAAACATGTAACATCATGTAAAAGAAGCTGGTTAGGTGGAGAAATTTATTTACCATAGTCTTGCTTGTGGATCCAGTAGTGACTTTTACAGTTTATATCTAAATAGAAGCTGGAGGCTTTGTTGGGGACTCATAGGCATAAAATATTATTTATTATAGAGTTAAATGCTACAAAGACAAATCTAATTAATAGGCCTATTTTCCTTTTTAAATTCTACTCATAATTTCTTCATAGTTTTTATGATAAAAGGTTGGATTTTGATTAGAACTCCCATGATTTTGTGTCAGAATTAAAACTGGTATTAGAATAAATAATTCAAAAGCTAGAGAAAGAGTACAAAGAGAAGCCATGAGTTGCATTTGAATTATAATATTATGTCTTACAGATTTGGGGTATATGCTAAAGTTACCAAAGTTGTAGAAAATAAGGCCGGGCATTGTGGCTCACATCTGTAATTCCAGCACTTTGGGAGGCCGAGGTGGGCGGATCATTTGAGGTCAGGAGTTTGAGACCAGCCTGGCCAACATGGTGAAACTCCGTCTGTACTAATAGTACAAAAATTAGCGAGGCGTGATGGTGTGCACCTGTAGTCCTTGCTACTCAGAAAGCTGAGGCAGGAGAATCGCTTGTACCCAGGAGGCAGAGGTTGCAGTGAGCAGAGATTGTGCCACTGCACTCCAGCCTGGGTGACAGAGTGCTATGAGTCACCACACCTGGTATGAGCCACCGTGCCTGGCCCACAATGACTTTTACACATGTTGTTAAATCATCTTACAGATTTTATAATTTGGGGGAAGAAAAGTTTTACTAAATTGTCTTTTAATGGAAACTCTACAAGAACCAGAATCTTTGCTTTGTTCACTTATGTATCCATTCCTAGGCCTAGAAAAATGTCTGACACATAGCAGCAATTATTCATTGAATAAATGGACCCAGCGATAGTACATTAGCTATGCTATATGCATACATTAAAGATGTAGATTATCGACTTTCAAAAGATAATTAATGTAACTTCTTACTGCTTCTGAACATGTTTGTGAGTTATATTGCTGAGGGACCTTTATCTTCTCATTCTTTCATCTTAACGCAGTGTTATAAAATTGAAATCACCAATATTATTCCATATCTAAAATTAATATCTACCTTGTAAAAAATATCACTCTGCTGCATTTGAGAATAGACTTTTTAGGTAATAATGATGCAATCCATAGGGTTTTTTGGGGGCACAGAGGGATTCATGCTAACAGAACATTTTATTTTCTATTTTCCCAGAGCTGTAAAACATGAAATTACGGTAGTATAAGGCATATTTTTACTCTTTTTATAATTTTTTCTAAAAAAAATTAGTGTTTGTTCCCTATATAACTTTTAACTTTATAGGTAAATATTTGTTTCTTTCAGCTCCAGTTTTATGTGAAATAGAGTTTTCAGATTTATGTAGCATGGAAAGTTTTAATACGTCAGAGTTACTGATTTTTGCCAATCATTTTCTCAATTATTTCTTTTTTATCTTTAGTTGATTTTTTTGTAGTGACACATTTTGTTTCTAGTCTCATTTCCTTTTGTTTATATTCTATGTATATTTCATTTTTGGTTACTATGAGAATTACATATAACATCCTAGAGTTATAACATTTTAATTTGAATTTATTTCAACTTAAGTTCAATCACATACCAAAATTCTACTGCTATATATATAGCTCTACTCTTTTTATGTTATTGATGTGACAAATTATATCTTTATTCATTGTATACCAGCTAACAGATTTACAATTACATTTTATGCATTTGCCTTTTAAATTATGTAGAAAATAAAAAGCAGAGTTACAAACCAAAATTACAATAGGACTGTTTTTATGTTTGTTTATGTATTTACCTTTACCAGAGAGCTTTGTATATTCATACAGCTTGCTTATTTACTTATATAGTTATTGCCTAGAGTTCATTTATTTCAACCTGAAGGACTTAACACTTCCTGAATGGCAAATTCAGGGATAAATGGATTTTTTTCAGTTTTAAAAAAAAATCCGGAAATGTCTTAATTTCTCCTTCATTTTTGAAGGATAAGTTTTCCAGCTATATATTTCTCAATTGACAGGTTTCTTCATTATTTTAAATATATAATCCACTGCCTACTGGCCTTCAAGGTTTCTGCCGAGAAATCAGCTGCTAATGTTATCTGGATCCCTATCTGTGAGAGTTGCTCTTCTCTCTGAGTTTTCAACATTCTCCCATTATCTTTTTTTTGTTTGTTTTTGAGACAAATAATTGTACATATTCATGGGATACAGAGTGATATTTTGATACATGTATACAATGCCCAATGATCAAATAAGGATAATTAGCATATCCATCACCTCAAATATTTGTCATTTATTTGTATTGTGAACAGTCAACATTCTTTCTTCTAGTTTTTTAAATTTATAAACATTTAAATTTTATTACAGAAATTTAAATTTTTTGATTCTGAAAAAGTCATATATGTATGCAACATTTTTTATCATTTATTTATATATTTATGCATCTTTCCTTTTAGTTTTGACAGAGATTTTCTATTTTATCGTTATTTCAAAAGAACTCTTACCTGTATTTATTTATCAATTATATTTTCCTTGTTTTTTCCTAGTATATTAATTTATTTACTTATCTTCTAAAAATCCTCCATATAATCTGTTTATTTTGTTTCCTTTCTATAATTTCTTCAATAATTAGTTGTGTTCTATTTTCCATTAAAATATTTAAATCTTGTATGAATTTTTGTCAGATTAGAAATTTAGGGCGTTTCTTAATTTCTCTATACTCTAGCTTTTGACTTTTTTTTTCTGACCTAAGAGGTATTTAGAGCACATTTTAGATTTTTTATTTTGACTAATCATTTAAAATGTATACTAATCATCAATTTAAATAAAAAACTGGTCTATAGTGACAAAAATTACAAATGAGCCTAACTAATAAATTATCAGCTGTGTTTATATGTATAAGCATGCACAGATTTTGGTAAATATGTACATAATATATTGGTGAGCTTATTTTTATCATTCTTAACTCATTGTGTAGTCTAAACGTTGGGGAAAAAATAAAATACAATAATCAGATGGTGTGAATAAGAAAATTGTTCTAATGTTTGTAAACCAAGCAACTGTTTTAACTGCTCCCCTCTTCCTGATTGACTTCTAAAAGGGATTGATCCATATTGGGTCCTATCATATACGTCACGGTATAACATCTCCAGCTATAAAATGGAAATTTGAGAATAACTTTGCTGCTACTCAGATACATTTTATTTCAAAAACATACACTAAGGTGTTGCTGTTGGATCTTTCCAAAAACATATTCACACAGAACTTTCAATCACACTGAGCCATATTTGAACAATCTTTCAAGGTCAGCTCTGGCATAAGCTAACATTATACCATTTAACTCAGAAATTTCTTTAGTATTTGATTAATGGGTTTATGTTTGATATGTAATGTAATTTTCTAATACTAAATCAAGTGGTAATTTTGTTAGTCAAGTTGATTTAGTGGCTTGGGAAGAAAGCTTTTAATGTTCCCCTAATTTTTCTTACCTTTGACATGATCCTTCACATGTCTTATTTTGCTTAGTGATTTTTCTTTTTTTTTTTTTTTTGAGACAGGGTCTTACTCTACCACCCAGGCTTGAGTGCAGTGGTGCAATCACAGCTCATTGCAGCCTTGACCTCCCAGACTCAAGCTATTCTTCCACCTCAGCCTCCCAAGTAGCTGGTACTACAGGCACATGCCACCAAACTTGGCTAATTTTTGTATTTTTTGTAGAGACAGAGTTTTGCCAAATTCTCAGGCTGGTCTGGAATTTCTGGGCTCAAGTAATCCTGCCTTGGCCTCCCAACATGCTGATATTACAGACATAAGCCACAGTACCTGGCCAGTTTTCTTTTTAAAAAAATCTATTGGTTATTAATTTGAAGCCTTCCTTTTCATAGCTGTGCTCCTTAATTGGGAGCAAACATGAATGTACCACAACTTAGCCAATTTTCTATATACGATCTTTGCCGTCCTAATTTAAAGGAATATTAATTCTTTCTTTTCTTCTTTCATTCCACAAACCTGTATTGACTACATCTAAGTTCTAAATGGTGCACTGGATGTTGAAAAAGTTGATGATGAGCAAGAACAAAATTCCTGCTTTCAGGAGACTTACAGTTCAATATGGGAAATATAATTTGTTAAAATATAAAAGTGCAATTGTGTTACATGCTGTACGAAGTACATGTTGACATGTGAGCATATAATAAATGGGCTGGAGGCCAGAGGATTGCCAAAGAGAATGGGCTTCCTGCTGAGATGAAAAGTTGAGCAGGGATTAGTTGGCGAAAGTGGAGGGACGATCCTTTCTAGGCAGGAGGAAGAACATGTACAGAATCTCTGAGGTGTGATGCGACAAAGTCTATATAAAAAACTGAAGAAAGGTCTAATGTGGCTTAAATACAGAAGCTAGTAGGAGAGGAGTCAAAAAGAGGCTGGAGAAGTAGAAAGTGTCTGCATTCTGCAGGAACTTATATTGTATAAAATATATTGTATATTGTATAAAAAGAATTTCTCTTTATTCTAAGTGCAATGTGAAGCCAATGAAGTGCTTTAAACAGGTGATGTGATTTGATTGAATTTATTACTTCACTTAACAAATATTCATTACATGCCCACTGTTTGTCAGATATTGCTGTAGCCCCTGGTGATACAGTAGGGAATAAAACAGGCAAAAATCCCTGTCCTCTTGCAGCTTATAATGGACTGCAATGTTTAATATGTCAGAGGAGGTCCATGGAGGAGTGACTTCTAAGCAAGAATCTGAAAAAAATGAGGATATCTAAGGAGGGAACAAATGGTTCAAAAGCCCTATAATTGCAAGCAGGCATGATGAAGCAATTGCAGTTGTCCTGACTCTCAACACCGTGGAACTCAAAGGAGATGGAAAGATTCCTTCTATCCCTCATATATTTTCTCTCTTTCTGTCTATATATATAGAATATGAGACATTTCCCTAACCATTATGTGTAATTACAATTACATATATATATGTAATTGTAATTACACATAATGATTAGGGAAATGTCTCATATTCTTCTACTCAGAAATAAGCAATATAGCAATTACTGTTTTTTACATTTTACAGTTACAGTTTCAGAGAAAGTTTGATATTTATCTAAAATTTTTCAATGTATGAACTTTTTCATTTGACAAACCATAATTGTACATATTCTTGGGATACAGAGTGATATTTTCTTTACATGTATAGAATGTGTAGTGATCAAATCAGGGTAATTTCCACTAATTTAAAATGCCACCTTTATGTTATTGTAATTTATATATATGCTGTATATATACACACACACACATATATATACATGTCCACATACACTGTGTGTGTGCACATGTACACACATGCATATGTGTATATAATGCCCAGTATAAGCAATGTGCACAAATAAAATTAGCTAACAGAGATAGTATAGAGTGAGAGGAGAGGCAGATTAATCTTTGAGGAAAAGCACAATTTTATAGCTGAATGGAGAAAGCTGAGGTGGTTTCTAAGATGGAGAATAAGACGAAAAATGTAAGTACGTTGTTTGACTGAATTCAAGAAAGAAGGGTAAAAGAGAAGAAAGTAGTGGTCTTATCATTAAATGCCACAGAGAGGTAAAGATAAAGACAACATATTGTTTTGGGTTTAGTAATTTAAGGGTTACCAAATTCCGTTTTGGAGGAGGAACAGATTCCATGTCCACTAGAATGGAATGAACAAGAAATGGAGGAGGAAAATAGGTAGTTTTTCAAAAGTTTTCAAAAATATGAAAAGAAGAAATGAAATGGTACTTGGAAGAGATTGTTGAAATGGGAGAGACTATGGTGGCTTGTTTAGAAGCAGTTGAGATAGATCCAATTGAGATAGAGATATTGACTATATAAACAAAAGAATGACAAATTAATAGTGTAATGGATAACTTGACTTTGGCAAATATTGTGAATTTTGTGAAAGTACAACTAAAAGGCAATGTCACTCCAATAATCACCAGAGTAATCAATTTGCTTATTGCTGTCCCTTTAAATATAGTTCTCTGGTATCAACTAACATGTTTTTAACTAATGATGCTTCTTAAAGAAAAGGGAAAAGACCTTTTTCTTTCTTTCAGTCTTCAATGATTCACTGCTTCATCTCGCTCCACCAAAGATAAATGAAATCTACATCTCTTATACATTAACAATGCATGACAATTTATAAATAGCTAAATTTTTGGAGCTAACTTTAAGTACCTGAATGGAATTTAATCAACCCACTAATCTCCTTCTCACTTCTCAGTTATTTATCAAGTTTATGTCAAGGGACAAGGAAAAATTATCCAAACATTGTTTAAAACAATCATCATTAATTAGTAACACTTATCCAGGGGGGTTTTTAACCTTTCCCCCACTCAAGGATTATTCTAATGTCAGAGTAGAATAAAAAATAAGTGCAGCGATGCTGACTCTTCCAAGCTTAACATTTCTCACAAGTCAATTAGCTTTGTACTGGGAGGAGGGCTTGAAGGGCTGCTTGCAGTAGTTGTGTAGCAGCAGCACAATGGCCGCAGACAAGGAAAACAGTTTCTAGGAATTCCTCGTATATAATTTTATATTTTTGACAAGATTAATGACCCATGCTCCCTTCCTCTCCATTTCTTTTTTTGGAATTCTGTTGGTATGTAGTTACTATATTTTATTAAAGGAAATTAGCCTTATCTCTTATTATATTTTATTAAAGAAAATTATTATATTATTCCTTTATATTTTTATTAAAGGATTTTATTATTATTAAAGCAAATTAGCCTTATCTCTTATTATATTTTTTATGACCTTCAAAGTAGTGTCTCTGCTTAAAAGTGTACCCTGGCCGGGCGTGGTGGCTCACACCTGTAATTCCAGCACTTTGGGAGGCCGAGGCGGGTGGATCACGAGGTCAGGAGATCGAGACCATCCTGGCTAACACGGTGAAACCCCGTCTGTACTAAAAATACAAAAAATTAGCAGGGCATAGTGGCGGGCGCCTGTAGTCCCAGCTACTCAGGAGGCTCAGGCAGGAGAATGGCGTGAACCAGGGAGACGGAGCTTGCGGTGAGCTGAGATCGCACCGCTGCACTCCAGCCTGGGCGACAGAGCAAGACTCCGTCTCAAAAAAAAAAAAAAAAGTGTACCCTGAAGCACACATCAAGCGACATGTAGAGTTCATAAATTCTGGCCAAATGGTCATACCTCAAACCTCATCAGCAGTAAGGCTCTTTACTTGCACTGACAAATATGAACGCTGGGGAATTTGGAAATGATATATAATATATAATATTATATATATAATAGATATATAATATATAATATATATAATACATATATAATATTATATATGTAATAGATATACAATATATAATATATAATAGATATATAATATATATAATAGATATATAATATATAACTTTCCATGTGATTTTCCTCTTAATTTTTTTCTAGCTGATCCATATGAATTCCTCTTGTTAAGAAAAATAAAGCATCCAGGATTCAATGAAGAACTGACTATCACCTTGTTAATCATTCAGAAACATGTTGCAGGCTTAAGCCATTTTTGATATAGATACTGAAACAATTACTTGCTAAGAGCAAACTTGAAGGTATGGATAAGGCCCTGAGTCATCTTCCTGAGCTGAATGATATTTAAGCTGAATGTACGTATAAAATATGATTTTCTAACCACTTGCTCGCCAACAAGGAAAACTTTTAAGTAGAGCAGAACCTGAATAGACAAGACATTTCTTTCTTTTGGTAGAAAATGATTTACCATCACTGTCTAGTTAATTGTAGACTAGGTAATTTTAACTTTGTGATTCATTGCCGGAGACATTTTCTTCTGTACTGTAAAGTGTGTGTCAAAAAAAAAATAGCGATTTTGGAGGATTAGGGGACTTTGATAAATTGCCTGCAATTCTGGCAGTATGAACTGCATATTAATTTCTCTCTTTCAAGAACATTTTTATTTATTAATTCCTTACAAAAACTCCCTAAACTTTGGAACAGCTCTCAATTGCCTGTATTCTTTTTTTTCTTATTATGGTACTCTTCTAGAGATTTGGCTTGCATCTGTGAATAAGCCAGGACATCTTCAGAAATTGTCTGATTAAAAACACCACCAATGGAGTTTCATTAAATTTGTATTGCTCTGACTAGTGAAACACACACATCTATGTTGCTGAGGATATTTTACTGCAGTTCAAGTTGTAATAATAGCTCTGTTTAAGATCCGTCAGTCACTTGAATCTTCTCTAAGGCTTTGTATGTTAGAAGTTAATTTGCTTTCTTACAAGGCCACATTCTATCTTGTAACTAAACAACTGAATTTTATGTCTTAGCGTAGATGGTTTACTACTTTCTGGTTTTTATTTAGTAAGAATCCTATAAAAACACTAGTATTTTTCTCTGAGTTTAAAATTCAATACATGCCTACTGATATGGTTAGGCTTTGTATCCCCACCTGAATCTCATCTTGAATTGTAATCCCCATAGCCCCCATAATCCCCACAGGTCAAGGGAGAGACCAGGTGGAGGTAATTGAATCATGGGGGCAGTTTCCCCTGTGCTGTTCTTGTGATAGTGAGTTCTCACGAGATTTGATGGTTTTATAAGGGATTCTTTCCCCTTTGCTCGGCACTTCTTCATGCTGCCTTGCGAAGAAGCTGGCTTGCTTCCTCTTTGTCTTCCGCCATGATTGTAGATTTCCTGAGGCCTCCCAAGCTGTGCTGAACTGTGAGCCAATTAAACTTCTTTCCTTTATAAATTACCCAGTCTTGGGCAGTTCTTTATAGCAGTATGAAAACAGAAAAATACACCTACTATGTAAAACTTAAAATACAAAAAAACAAAACATTATCTCACTAACATAGGAGCTAATATTTTGGTGTACTTTGTTTAGTATTTTATATTAAAAATATGTACATATATATTTATATATAATTAAGAACATGTATGTACAATCGTGCATACATCATGTACATACATCTACTTAAGAAAATAGCTATGTAATATACCATTACTCAACTAGATTATAATTTTTTCTCCATTTCTTTATTGTAATTTATCATTTTCTACTTTTTTGTTTTCTCATTTTTATTGCATAATATTTAATTATGCAAAAAATACATTAAATACATTGAAAATATATAGTGTAGCTATAAGAATAAAGAACGATGGTAAAACAAATGCTAATACCCACTACCTGACTTAAAGAATATGATATTATTTTTTTCCAATTGAAATTCCCTCAACTACTCAGAATTACTGCTATCCCTCTTATCCTTTCATTAATTTTCTTCTAGTTTTCTCACATGTGAATCTATTTCTAAACACATTTCTTTATTTTGCAAGTTTTTGGACTTCATATAAATGTAACCATATTGTATATATTCTTCTTCAGCTTCTTAGTTTTTCACTAAACAATATGTTTTGCTGATACTTACATTCATATGTACAGTAATAGTTGATTTATTTTAATGGCTATATATTATTCCATTGTTAGAATACACCAGGATTTATTTTTACTTATTTTTTTTGCTGGAAAATTGGGTGTCTTTTTTATTTTTTGATATAACAAACAATGTTGTAATCATTTTGTATTTACTTCCTAGTCCACTCCTGTAAGTTTCTCTTGAGTACATACTAGCAATGAATATGCTGAGTCACTGCATATACATACTTACAACTTTATTCTATAATGTAATATTCTATAAAGTAGCTGTATCAGTTTATACTTTAACCAGTAATGGACAAGATTTTCTGTTACTTCCCATCTTTGTTAATTATTACTTTTAGACTCTAACTTTTATCAGGCTCATGGATGTAAAAAGCATCTCAGGGTGGTTTTAATTTGCATTTATCTGCTCATCTATGAAGATGAGCTTCTTTTCATATAATTATGAGTCATTATTTTTCTTTTGCCTTCTTTCGTTTATGCATTTTGCTTGTTCTATGTCTTATTTTTCCTGTTGATTTTTGGGAGTTCATATATATTCTAAATGTATATTTATTCACTCATATATATGTTGTAAATATTACAGTTTATGATTTGTCACCTTATGATATCATCCAAATAGAGAAGCTTTATATTTTGATGTAGTCATATGTTCATTTTTCCTCCTTAATGTTTGTTTTTCTTGGTTCTATGACCTACAAAAAGTAACAAAAATTCTCATTTATTTTTAATCTAAATGTTTTAAGTATTTTCCTGGAATTCACCTTGAATTGATTTCTATTGGAGATAGGTATCCAATCTAATTTGCCTCATATGGATAACCACTTGTTCTATTACTGCTGTAACAAATTTCTACAAACTAAGTGACCTAAAATAACACAAACTTGTCATCTTACAGTGTACACAAGTCAGAAATCAGGCATGAATTTTAGTGAACTAAAATCAAGTTGTCGACAGGCATGTTTCTTTATGGCGGCTAGGGTAGAATCCATATCCTGGCCTTTTCTATCTTCTAGAGAACATCAGCATTCCTTTTCTCATTGCCTCTCCTCTCTCTTTTTAAAGCTGGCAATGTCACATTTCTCTGACCATTCTTTCATTGTCACATCTCTCTCTGGACTCAGCTAAGAAAGGTTCTCCATTTTTAAGAACTCATGTGATTAGACTGGGCCCATCTGGGTAACCCAGGAAGATCTCTCCATCTCAGTTTGCATCCTTAATCACATCTGATAAGCCTTTATTGCATTCGGTGTAACATATTCACAGGTTCCAGGGTTAGGCATGGGCATCTTTGAGGGCCATTATTCTCCCTACCACATTATTTGCCTAGCATCTTTCATTACATTGTCCATCTATTTACTTACTGATTTCTAATGACATCCAAATCAGTTACAACATTTTATGTAAGCATTGTTTTTATTTTTATGTTATTCCACTAGTCTATTTTTCTACTCATCAGTTATGGTACATGAGTTTATTTTTGCAACTTTAAGCTCAATAACATGTTTTAAGATTTCCTCAACTTTCTTTTTGCGCTTCTTCAGAAGTTGACTCTTTTGGCCCTTTGGTCTTCTATACACATTTTAGAAATGCTTTGTTGAGGACTAAGAGGAATGCTAAGATTTTGATAGGAATTTCATTGAATTTTGAGTATATTGGCATGCTACAATGGTTAGTGCTTTATACATGAAAATAATATATCCCTTCCTCTTTTCCTAGTATCATGAGATGTTTGTTAGGCAGACATGAATATTGAGTTGTATCAAATGTGGTTTTCTGCATTATTGTGGTGGTGATGTGATTTAGCTCCTTTAATTAGTTAATGTAATGAATTACATTTGTAGATTGCTCTAACTATTGAAACAAGCTTGAATTTCTGGAATAAGCCCAATGTGATATTTATTCAACAAATATTCATTGAGTATACCTAGTATGTAACATGCTTTAAGAATACACCAGTGAACCAAACAGAAATATCTGACATTACAGAACTTAACATTCCAGTATTTGGAGACAGACGATAAAAAAGTGAACATGTATATTTACAGTTTGTCAAGGAATGATAAATGAAGACTCTTAAAGTAGATGGGGAATTGGGAGTGAAGTCTGTAATTTAAATAGGGTGGGCAGGAAAGCTTCACAGAGAATGGGACATTTAAGAATAGACTTGAAGGACAGGCAAGAGCAATCTCTATGTTTATATGGGAGAAAAGGTTCCAGGCAGATGCAGTAACAATGGCAAATATCCTGAAGTAGGATCATGCTGGAGTTTTTGTGGAGCAGCAAGGAGGGTAGTGTGACTGCCACAGAATCACCCAAGGGAAGATGAGAAGATCAGACCAGACCAGCACTTGGGCATCTAATGGGAAAAGTTTCTCAAGCCATCATAAAAATTTCACTTTTACTATAAATACTATGAGAAACCATGGGATGTTTTACAGTAAGAAAGGTGGCATAATATGTTACATGTTTTAAACTCTATAGCTTCTGAGTTGATTGTAGGGGCTCCTGGCAGAAGCAGAGGGAACATTTAGGAGACTACTGTAAAGAATATCATGAAAAGAACAAACAACGCTATGTAACATGCTTAAATGGACTGAAGAAGATGTATAAAATCAAAATGATGTTACCTTCACACCTTGAATCAGTACGATAAACCCCCCTCCCCAATCACAAAAGAAAAACTAAACACAAAAACCAGGCTTTGGTTGCTCAGACAATTTTACAGGTGAGTTCTAGCAAACATGCAAAGAACGTTTAATTGCACTGTTACAGAAATTCTTCCGGAGACAAGAAAATAAGACACATCACCCAACCAATTTCATAATAACAATGTCAATGTATAATAACAGAAAAAGTGGAACTCCAAAGAAATAAATTTATTTGGAAATAAACAAGGATTATAATCTGAGATATTTGTGCTATGATCAATCATAGGTGCATCCCAAGAGGTTGAGGTAAGGAAAATATATAAAGACAAAAAGAAGTCCATGCAAGCTGTTTTGAAACAAACATCATTGGTCACAGGGTCTGATGCAGGAGCTGGTGTTAACTTACTGGCAGAAACAGCCATTGCTAGGCAAGTGTTCTTGTGAGGGTGGCTTATCTGAAATGCTGCAGTCTTGAGGAATTTTTTATGATAGGTCCTATTATAGAGACACCTACAGGATGAGCTGGACAAACAGAGTGTGCTGGGTGGGCAGAAATTTCTTGTGAGTTTATAGAAAGTCCTTGTGATAGTGCTTATCGTGGACACACACACAAGATCCCCTTTTTCATGACCCGGCTCCACTTTGCTTTGGGTCTGATGTAAGTGACTTTGCCTTGTCATTGGCAACTTTCACTGTAGTATAATCTGCACATTAAAGTTACCTAACAGTAGTACAAAGAAAGAAAATTAAAGGTATATCTCTTTCAAAAATATAAACCCCAAAATTGTTAGGAAACTGTAGTGAGTATAAAAGATAATTCATTATAATAAACATCTCAAGCTTCACAGAATTCTGACCTTTGCTACACTCTCATCCACAATCTTTTCTCCTAGTAAATGGCAGCTCCTTCTGTTAAGTTGCTGAGGCTTCTTATTGCTTTTTTCTTCAAATAACAGTCAGAACTGAACAACTGTAATCATCCTAGTCCATACAATTGTTATATTTTCATTTAAAGAAGATCAATGTGTGATTCTTTTTTTATATATTTCTGGACAATTCTTTATATTTTAATAGTAGTCAGAATTTGATCAGGAAAACAGAAGACATCCTATGTATTATAATGATAAAAGTTTAATATTAATTAGGGCCTTATGCTATTATTGGAAGAGCTTGGTGAATAGATATTAGAAAAGCAGCTAGACAAAATCAGAAGAGGTCTGTTTTATATCAGAGATCTTAGCCTGACAGTCTAGAGTGTGGGCACAGAACCCAAGCTTATAGGAATTTCTGAAAGGTCTGTAAATCTTATCCAGATGGACAGTGGGAGCTCATAAAGGATTCTGCAAGCCATCACATCTGTCAAACCTGCTATGTCTAATCCTTAAGCCTGCTTTATGTGAAGACCTCCTCTTCACTCCTCATTTCCAGCTCTCATGAGTTTCTTTCATAGGCAAACCCAAACCTGGAACAATGTGCCTGAAGACTTCGGATGACACAGTACCCAGACTTAAATAGGAGGGGAGCCATGGTGGAAGTGGCCATCCAGCACAATTTTCTTGGTCTTTACTCATAGTTTTGATTCCTTAAAAAAATTAACCACATTAAAATATGTGTTTCATAATCTACATCTAATAATACAAATATTTAAAGTCTTTTCAAGTTTGAATACGCTACCCATGTTGCTGCTACCCCCATTTTGTGTGTGTGATTTTTGTGTGTGTGTTAGAAGCTCATGACCTTTGAAACCTGCTCTTATGAGCTTGCTTTGATGATTTATTTGTCCAGAGAGGATTTTTTTTCCTACCTAGCATTTTGGACTGCTATCAACCTGAGACCACTTTGAATTAAATTCTCAGCTTGCAAATTTGGAAGCCACACAGATTGTGTGAGTTCAGGCTGAAACCTGTTTGAGAGCTGGATTCTGGCTATAAACTCCACAGGGAACATTTTCTCTCTCCACTCAGAGCTGAGACCATAGGGAAATTTATTTGCTAGCTCACTTTGAAGGTTTATTTTATTTATTTTTTAAATTTCTAGTACACGTGCTCACTGAAGGTGTAATACTTATGTGAGAATCTCAAAATCAGTTGTGTTCTTTGTATGACCCTGGTTTTGTTTCCTCCTGCTCTCTTACTTTCAGTGTGTCTCAGTATGTCTGCTCAATATGTCATCTTAAATTTCAACTGAGGGTGGATCTTCTTCCCAGCTCACTCACATGGTTCTTAGCTAGATTCAGTTTCTCTCCATTTGTAGGACTGAGGACCTCAGTTCTTCACTTAGGGTTGGCTACAGGTAATCGTCAATTTCTTGTAACAGGACTTACACTGGGCCACTGACAGCATGCCAGTTGGCTTCATTCAAATGAGAGGGCAAGAGAAAGAGAGAGAGGGAGAGGGCACAAGAAGAAATTCACAGTATCTTATAATCTAATCTCAGAAGTGGCATCTCATTTCTTTTGTTCTATTCTATTCAATAGAAACAAGTACCTGGGACCAGCTTACACTATAGGAAAGAGATTATATAAGGGTATAAATACCAAGAGGTAGAGATCATCAAGAGCCATTCTGGTAGCAGCCACAATATCTTATCCAGAATATTTCTTATTCAGGCCTTCAAATGTGCTGTCTTTTCTGGTCTAATGGAAATGAACCTTCCTTCCATACAATTTCTTCTCCTAAATTGTACTCTGGCTCTCTTATCATATACAAACGTCTATGTTAGGTATTTGTGTCTGTCTTGATTCTTGGTAGGCTTTTAAACTCTGTGAATGTTGGACTGTGATGTAGACATCATTTCACCGCACACTATGTAACCACCAAACCTTAGCAGCTTATTCAGTAAGCACATACTTGGCTCTTAATGAGTATTGCTTAAATTGATGAATTGAATTAGTATTTTACCTTCTCTGTTGCTTAGCTAAGCAGAAGAATTTGTCATTTTTTTAATTTAGTGACTGGTTCTATTAAAAGTTACCTTTGTCTATATCATTTTGTTATACTAAAGCACAAATGTATAAGGTCAAAAAACATTCTCAAGATTTTGTTTAAACCACAGCCCTCAGTTGTGTATATTTATCTCTTGTTTTCATATGCAAGATTTCTCCTGAAATGGGCAACAATTACAAGAGTTTTTTTCCTCTTCTGAACTAAGAAAATAAATATTTAATTCACAAGTTTAGAAAAGTGAACCTGAAAAATCACAGGGCTAGGTGGGTTATGAGGCCCACTGGTACATGATAGTGTTGAATGTGGATTAGAATGAACTCCGTGGATTAGAATCTCAGACCATAGGCAAACATTTACTTGTTTTAGAATAAGCACATTTGAGTCTGCAATAAGTATTACTGTTTTTAAGTTGAAAATGTAATTGGTTTCTAATAATAACCATATTGGCTAGCATTATTTCAATCGTGTTTAATGTTTTCCAATGTCATTTCATGTCAGATATCTCTCTTGATTCTTAGTAACAATTTGGACAAGACAGCAAATGCTATTGTCCAAGTTTTCTAAAGAAGAATCTGAAGTGAAATGACATCAAGAGACCTATCAAGACCTGTATCCAGGAAAAGGTAAATCTGAGCTGAAATTGTAGCCCTTGTAAATTACCTACGTGACATACCAGATAGTGTTCATGATCCATTCAGTACTCTGTTCTAAAAATGAGACAATATCCATTTATTCACTTGTTCATTTATTTAGTGTTTGTTCAGCCCTTACTGCATATTCCAGGCACTATTCTGACTGTGGCAGGAGTGAACAAACAGGCATGGTTCTTACTTGCATGTAATTACAGTCTTATAGTGAAAACAAGTGTTAAACAACAAAATCTCCCAATTATTTTAAAATTATAAACTTGATTCGATACTATGTGGCCATATAATTGTTCCTAATTTGGTTGGAGAAGGGAGGCAGTTAGGGAAGGCTTCCCTGAGTTAGTGCCATTTAACCTGAATTATGATAGATGATAAGTAATTTGTCAGGGGAACAATACTCCAGGAATAAAGAACAGGTACAAAGGTCAGGTTCTGGGAAGAGCTTGTCTTGGTCCAGGAGCTAAAAAATGTTAGAGTGGCTGGATCTGGGAAAGAGACAAAGAGTTATTAAATGAGGCAGCAGGCTTCAGCAGGTGCCACATTGCTCAGGGCCTTGTAGGCCATGCTAAGGATTTGGGATGTTAATGTCAGTACAAACAATTGAGTCATAAGCAGAAAGTAAAAGCATGATTCCATCAAATGTTATTCTCTAAACAGTAATTTTATAAATACAGGTTAAATGTGTGTGGTCCCAGCTACTCAGGAGGTCCCAGCTACTCAGTATTCCTTTTCAACAAATATTAGGTGCCTACTATTAGCCAGGTACAGCCCTTAGCTACTTTGAATGAAGCATATATTACAAACTGGCAGAATTTCTTAAACAAAGAATCTAAAGTTGTTTATACACCATAATCTCGGTATTTTATAAATTTCTTGAAATTATTTTTATGTACACTGCTTTGCAGAATTTTAACTGGCTTTGAAATAAACAATGACAATAGTCCTCCATGTTACTAGTTTCAAATTTTCCCAATACCTACTAAGACATTACTTAATCCACAGATTTACTGTCAATAGTTTGTATCAAATTGTGATAACATATTTGAAATTAATATTTCAAATTAAAGCAAAATCACAAATTTATACTTTATATTATGAATGAGATTCACAAAAGGAGCATGATAATATATTCTGTTGTCATCACATACAAAATAATAACATATAGAGTATGAATCAATAATTTTTCAAATACAAAGCTATTACAATTAGGAATACAAAGAAATCATAATTAGGAATACTTCTACAATATTAACACACAATAGTGGTAACACTTGCAAAATGATGGTGGTGGTTTTTTTTTTTTTTTTTTTCCCCGACAGAGTCTTGCTCTTGTTGCCCAGGCTGGAGTGCAATGGCGTGATTTTGGCTCACTGTAAACTCCACCTCCTGGGTTCAAGCGATTCTCCTGCCTCAGCCTCCCTAGTAGCTGGTATTACAGGTGCCTGCCACCACACCCAGCTAATTTTTGTATTTTTAGTAGAGATGGGGGTTTCACCATGTTGGCCAGCCTGGTCCCGAACTCCTGACCTTAGGTGTTCCACCAGCATCGGCCTCCCAAAGTGCTGGGATTACAGGTGTGAGCCACTGCGTCCAGCCAGTGGTGGGTCTCATATCTCAATGTGGACTTTTACTAACTCCCGATGCCTCATTTTCCTCATCAGTTGAAAGGAATGAATGAAAGATTTGTGTTTTTCATATTACCAGGTAGATGATAAGGAGATTTTAATTTTCTTTTTTTTTAACTTTTATTTTAAGTTTAGGGGCATTTGTTACATAGGTAAACTGGTGTCACAGGGGGTTATTGTACAGATTATTTCATCACCCAGGTATTAAACCTAGTACCCAATAGTTATCTTTTCTGCTTCTCTTCCTTTTCTCACCCTCCACCCTCAAGTAGACCCCAGGGTCTGTTTTATTCTTTGTGTTCATTAGTTCTCATCATTTAGCTCCCACTTATAACTGAGAGTATGCTGTATTTGGTTTTCTGTTCCTGCATTAGTTTGCTAAGGATAATAGAAGGTCCATCCACATTCCAGCAAAAGACATGATATCATTTTTTAATGGCGGCATAGTATTCCATGGTGTATATGTACAGCCTGCATATAAACTGTGGGCTAAAGACCTTCACCAGAGCAGTCTGACAGAACCTCTCTGAAAGACTTCTCCTAGGCTGTAATCCTCAGTCTCTTGTTCTCAGACCCCTAAATAAATCTAACTTTAATTTCTTAAAAGCTTAATTTTTTTCTTTAGTTGACACCAAAAATCTCCCCAGCCAGATCCACAAACTTTTTCGGTATTTTTCCTATATTTGATATCATTCCAGGCAAGCGTTTTCTAACTCTCCCATCAGAATACGACTTTGGTGCGTTTTCCTCAGCCTCCACTGATGATTTTTTCTCATTATCCTTAAAGCCCTTTCCAGTAGACTTCTTAAGCTCTTTCAAGTTTTCAGTCTCCTTAAGGACCATTCAGTGTTTACTGTCAGTTCCCAGAATGCTTTTACAGGTTTTGCTATCATTTTCCTTGAAGTCTGTTCACTTTTCACTAACAGTCTTTGTGGAATCCTTCTGGCTTCTATCCATTGTCTGATTCCAAAGCCAATGCCACATAGTTTAAGTTTATATTATATTAGAGTGACATCTTAATCCACGTACCACAAACCACCTCAAAACTTCGCAGCTTAAAACAACAAACTTAAAAAAAATTGTGGACTTGTATTAGTGCAAGCAGGGCTTAGCTACATGATTCTGCTCCGTGTGGTATTAACTGTAGCCATCTGTGGTATTCAGCTGGCAGCTGGGTAGTCTGGAGAGTTGAAGGTGGCTTCAGTGATGTGCCTGTTTTATTAGTGGATTGGATGAAATGTTGTGGTAAGGTGGGCCTCTCTTGCTCTCCGTGTAGTTTGAGAGCCTGTCTACATGATCTATTCAGCAGCAATATGGTTTGGCTGTGTCCCCACCCAAATCTCATCTTGAATTGTAGCTCCCATAATTTCCGTGTCTTGTGGGAGGGATCCAACGGGAGATAACTGAATCACAGGAGTATTTCCCCCATACTGTTCTCGTGGTCTTGAATAAGTCTCACAAGAGCTGATGATTTTATAAGGGGGTTCCCCTTTCACTTAGCTCTCATTCTGTCTTGTCTGCCATCATGTAGAGATGTGCCTTTTGCCTTCCACCATGATTGTGAGGCCTCCCCATCCACCTGGAAATGTGAGTCCATTAAGTGTCTTTTTCTTTATAAATCACTCAGTCTCAGGTATGTCTTTATCAGCAGCATGAAAACAGACTAATACAGTACATTGGTACTGGTAGAGTGGGGTGCTGTTGTAAAGATAACCCAAAAATGTGGAAGCGACTTTGGAACTGGGTAACAGGCAGGGGTTGAAACAGTTTGGAGGGCTCAGAAAACGACAGGAAAATGTGGGAAAGTTTGGAACTTCCTAGAGACTTGTTGAATGGCTTTGACTAAAATGTCAAATAATGATATAGACAATGAAATCCAGGCTGAGATGGTCTCAGATGGAGATGAGGAACTCAATGGGAACTGGAGTAAAGGTGTCTCTTGCTATCGAGAGAGACCGGCAGCATTTTGTCCCTGCCCTAGAGATTTGTGGAACTTTGAACTTGAGGGAGATGAGTTAGGGTATCTGGCAGAAGAAATTTCTAAGCAGCAAAGCATTCAAGAGTGACTTGGGTGTGTTAAAAGCACTCAGTTTTAACAGGAAAACAGAGCATAAACGTTCAGAAAATTTGTAGCATGACACTGTGATAGAAAAGAAAAATCCATTTTCTGAGGAGAAATTCAAGCTGGCTGCAGAAATTTGCATAAGTAACAAGGAGCCAAATGTTAATCGCTAAGTCTTCAGGCCATGTCAGAGATCTTTGTGGCAGCCCCTTCCATCACACACCCAGAGGCCTAGGAGGAAAAAATGGTTTCATAGGCTGGGCCCAGGGCCACTCTGCTGTTTGCCTGTGTACAGCCTAGGGACTTGGTGCTCTGTGTCCCAGCTGCTCCAGCCACAGCTAAAAGGGGTCAAGGTACAGCTCAGGCCATGGCTTCAGAGGGTGCAAGCCTCAAGCTTTGGCAGCTTCCATGTGGTGTTGAGCCTGTGGATTCACGGAAGTCCAGAATCGAGGTATGGGAACCTCCACCTAGATTTCAGAGAATGTATGGAAATGCCTGGATCTCCAGACAGAAGTTTGCTGCAGGGGTGAGGTCTTCATGGAGAACCTCTGCTAAGGCAGTGGGGAATGGAAATGTGGGGTTGAAGCCCCCAACACAGAGTCCCCACTAGGGTACTGCCTAGTGGAGCTATGAGAAGAGGGCTGCTGTCCTCCAGACCCCGGAATGGTAGATCCACTGACAGCTTGCACTGTGTGCCTGGAAAAGCTGCATACAATGCCAGCCTGTGAAAGCAACCGGGAGGAAGGCTCTCCCCTGCAAAACCACAGGGGTGGAGCTGCCTGAGACCATGGGAACCCACCACTTGCATGAGTATGACCTGGATGTGAGACATAGAGTCAAAGGAGATCATTTTGGAGCTTTAAGATTTGACTGTCCCACTGGATTTCGGACTTGCTTGGAGCCTTTAGTCCCTTTGTTTTGGGTAAATTTTACCATTTGGAACGGCTGCATTTACCCAATGCCTGTACTCCTATCTTATCTAGAAAATAACTAAATTGCTTTTGATTTTACAGGTTTATATGTGGAAGAGACTTGCCCTGTCTCAGGTGAGACTTTGGACTGCCAACTTTTGAGTTAATGCTG
This sequence comes from Homo sapiens, assembly GCF_000001405.40. Lineage (NCBI taxonomy): Eukaryota > Metazoa > Chordata > Mammalia > Primates > Hominidae > Homo > Homo sapiens. The sequence goes on along the minus strand of NC_000008.11, from coordinate 179,277 downwards.
AAGTGAGTTAAGACTTTTGGGGACTATTGGGAAGGCATGATTGGTTTTGAAATGTGAGGACATGAGATTTGGGAGGTGCCAGAGGCAGAATGAGGTGGTTTGGCTGTGTCCTTTCCCAAATCTCATCTTGAATTGTAGCTCCCATAATTCCCATGTGTTGTGGAGGGACCTGGTGAGAGATAATTGAATGATGGGGTGGCTCCCCCATACTGTTCTTATGGTCGTGAATAAGTCTCATGAGAGCTGATGACTTTACAAGGGGCTTCCCCTTTCACTCAGCTCTCATTGTCTCTTGTCTGCTCCCATGTAATGCATACTTTTCACCTTCTGCCATGATTGTGAGGCCTCCCCATCCACATGGAACTGTGATTCCATGAAACTCTTTTTATTCATAAATTACCCGGTCTTGGATGTGTCTTTATCAGCAGCATGAAAATGGACTAATGCAAGCAGAATAAGCAGAATTCTTCGATACTGACTCAGCACCCCACACACGTTGGTTCCAAGATGTAGAAATGGAAGCTTCAAGGCTTTTAACATCTGGACATCAAAACTGGAAGTTTTACTTTCACTGTATTTTATTGGTCAAAGCAGTCAAAGAGCCCACCCAGGTTCAAGGAGAAAGAATATGTCCCCACGTTTTCAACAGGATGGTGCCACAAAATTTCTAGTCATCTTAATTCACCACAGATAGAAATATGAAGAGCTCATTTGTTATGTTATTTGTGAATGCAGACTAAAGATATTTGTTGGTTTATATAGTAGTGGGAAAATGAGAACTTTTAAAATATTCAACTTTTAGCCCTTGACATGCAAAATGAGTTCATCACATGGTAAGGATGAGGGAGAAAGAAAAGATCTGAAAAAGTAGAAGAGTGATGGATTCAGAAAGCATAGGATGATTGTCAGTGTGATTGTTTTATCTAGCCACATATAGCTGTGTGGTATCAAGATGTAGAAGGCAGAGAGTAGGATTTATCAGGATTGTTGTTTGGAAGAGTGAGTACAATCATTACGAGGGAGCAAGGTATTGATCATGGAATATAAAGTGGGAAAAGAGGTAAGGTAAGAAGGATATCAGTAAAGTGAATGATAGCATAAATATGGTAGAACCATTGGATTGGTGGCTCTGGAGGAATTGAATAATTATTAGACTTGAAGCATTAGATGGTGCACTAGTGAGGGCATCTCCAACTAAGTCTACCATCAAGTCATGGTGATTTATTATCTCAAATATATGACAAATTTATCTACTTATTTCCAAAACTCCCATATCTAGTTTAAGTAATCAAATTTCTTGCCTTGGCAAGCATGTTGCTTTGTAATTGACTCACCTGTATCCAATTTGAATTCCTTAAAATCCATTCTATACATTGTAACCATAGTGATATTTACAAATGTGAAATCTGGTCAAATCATTCTTCTGCTTAGTAGTCTTGGATTTCTCATTCTCTTAGGAAGCATCTTCCACTACTTATTTCAGCATTATCTGCACAATGCTTCCCCTCACTTCCTCACAATGTGGTTTCAGGCACAACTCCCAAGGCCCCACTCTGGCCTCGGGGAGCAGATTGTTCCCCCTGTAGGAAAACCTTTGTTCTCCACTCAGTTAACTGCTGTTTACCCTTTAGATCTCAGCTTCAGTGTTGCTTTCTTAGGGGAAACTTCTCTGACTCACATCAAATCCCTCTCTTACAGTAATTTTCATTGTATTTCAGAGTAATTTTTATGGTTGCAATTTTACATTTGTGTAATTGTTTGATTAATCTCTGTCTCCTCCACGAAAACTCCAAGATGCAGGAACTATATCTTACTGGCATTCAGCACAATACCTGGCACGTAGGTGTTCAAAAAATACTAATAGGGTAAATAAATGAATTAATTTTATGCTTTTATTTTAATATTTTCATGGTATTAATATTTCTCTCTATGTGATATTTTGTATGTACCTATTTTCTTTTAATTTGAAGATTTATAGTTTAGTTATGTGCTGTATAAATTATATTTAGTTCTTTAATTTTCGTGTTATTTCCAAGGGCGCTCTCCATTGACTCTTTTAATATAGTTCCACTTTACCCCTTTAACCCACTTTCCTCTCCCACCTTCGTCATTCAACTTTATTTGATTTTGTTATTTTTAATTTTTCTAATAATGACCTTTATCTTTTAAAATAATATTTAATCACCCATAACATAATTTGTTGATTCTCTCCCACTGTGAAAGTTGAATGGACCAGAATATATTTCTACTATCTTTCTCTTCTTATTTTTGTTATGAATATAATTAGTCTTTATACAGTTATGGTTTGTAACATTTGCATTCTGTTCTTTAACCGCAAACCCCAGAACATTTTGATATTAGGCTTCAGAATGCTCACTTGTATCATGTTATCTCTATTCATTTTTAGTGGATAGTTTTCTTTTTTAAGTTTTTCTGATAGAGATGGGGTCTTGCTATGTTGCCCAGGCTGGTCTTATCTTGAACTCCTGGGCTCAAGTGATTCTCCTGCCTTGGCCTTTCAAAGTGTTGGGACTGTAGGTGTTAGCCCCTGCGCCTGGCCTCTAATAGTTGTCTTCATTAAAGCCTCATGGGGACTCTATTTTTTTTTTTTTTTTTTGTGGGTTGTTTATTTTGTGTTTGTGAAGTCCGGTAAATTCAGTTGCATCTGCCTTGATGTGGTCATACTATAACATATTTTTTCTGGATAAAGATAAGCCCTTTAACCATTAGATTCAATGTTTTCTTCATTTCAGAAAAGTTTTCTTTTATCTTTGAATTTTTTAACCAGATATTGTGAGCTCTTTCACACTAATTTCTCATTTGTTGGACCTGACTTTAATGTTACATTTCACCTTCTTGTGTTTTCTATTTTGTTTTGCTCAGGATATATTTAAGCCTGTCATTTATATTCTTATCTGTGTTTTTAGCAGCATTATTCTCTCCACTTCCCACTTTTTTTCCTGCTTTTATTGATCTTCATTTCTTTCATGGTTGTCTTTACTCATTACATCCTGAATTTTGCCAGATTATTTTTTATCACTTTATTTTGTATTTATTTTCAATTATGTCTTCTAAATATCATTTCAGAGAGAAAACATTTTAGAGAAGGCATATTTTTAAAAAACATAGAAAATTTGATCCTATTTTTTACTGCTTCATGGTATAATTTGTATGTTCTGTACCTTATGTAATTTTCCCTTTTTCTTCTAGTATTTTTATAAAGGTCATCAAGTTTTATTTTTGTAATACAATTATTATAAATAATTATATAATATTATTAGTCTTTGAATATTCTAGATACTTGTGAAAGGATATTGTGGAGGAGGAGCTGGGGGTAGTAAGTATGATGGAAGGCAGACGAGTTTTGGAATCTTGTCTCCAAAACACTCTCATCTGTTAGAATGACTCCTAGGCTATAGGATTGACTATGGCTTAGAGTGGATTCATAGTTGTTAATTTCATCATGTGACTTGTGACTTATCCTTTTCTTTTCATAATAGAATGAAAATTGCCATCTGTCTGGCTTCTTCCCCATCTTTTTGCCTTCTTTCATTACACCACACACGTGTCCTAATTATTCCAAAGGTGATACATTTGCATGTTTCCCTTTAAACTCCTTTCCCTCTGTCACTCTGTGGAGGGTTCACATGCTGCAATATTTCTGTTCCAAGTAAAGATCACAGGTTTTGATCCTCACTCCTCAGTATACACACCTCTTTTAGGGATTTCTGGGCTTCTTGACTAGCTCAAGCTCTTCAGAGGCATGCACTTTATCTTGGTGTTCAGTCTTGACTAGTTTAAACTTTTGATGTCCAGAAGGTTTTCTTCATGTGTTGTTGTGTGGAATTGTAAATATTTTCTAGCTTTTGTAAGGTTGTGGCTCATATTTATATTTCTCCTGGTTTGAAAGAAGAGAGAGAAAGAAGTATGTCAAATTGAGACTCTTAGATTGGAAATCTGAATTTATTTACACGATTGAGATTGATCTAGAGTTTTATTTTTTCTGCTGTAACTGAAATTTGGATTCAAGATTATATGTGTTTTGTGAATATGTTTGGTAACATTGTGACTTTTCTATAATTTAGGGAAGTTTGATGTAGGAGAAAGAGAAAAAATTTTTGAGAGAATCCTAAATTCATATATGGCCTAACCTTTTAATATCTATGTAATTTTAGATAATAAATAATTTGTTTGAGATTATGTGGCTCTAACAACACCTGCTTCACAGTGTAATTATGAGGATTTCATAGAATTTGTATAGTGAGCGTTAGTTTTGATGTTACTTTAAACCTCTTTGCCTTATACATTCTGTTTTTTCCATGGAATATTATATGATTTCATGTCCACATATTAATCTCATACTTTCAATTACATTTTATGTTTAAATTGAATATTATGGTAATCGTTATGTAAATGATTAAAAATTTAAAGGGACAACATTTAATGTTGCTCTGGAATTCACCTTTAGTCATAAAATAAAGATTTAAAGTATCATCTGTAGACAATGGCAAAAGGCCTTTTTTGTCATAAGAAAATCAAATATGCTTTATTTCACCCAATTAACAGTTTCTGGGCTTGGCCATCCCGGGAAAACCAAAATGACCATAGGCGGTAATTCCCCAGGCCGTGTGATCTCAGTCTGGCATTCTCAGATCTCCAAGGCATCACTTTGGCCACTACCCTCTGGGGCTGTGATTAGCAGCTCTCTTCCTGTTTTATGCAGCTCTGTGTGTATGTCTGCAGTGATACCGTACTGGATCTGGTTCATCTTGTGAGAACTATACCTATCTGAATTTTTGATGATGCTCTTTTCTTAGTTCCCTTGGCAAAACAGGTAGGTGAGGGATAGAAATAAAATCTATACTTAGTAAATCGGTGAGCCAAGGTCTGTGACTGGCAATGAGTGAATTACATTCTCCTCAGTTGGGTGCAATGTCTGCCTTCTGTGTGGCCATTTGCTGTTGCCACTAGAGAAGGAGGATGCAGCAGGGATCAGGCATCGTGGAGAAAAGTCGCCGTGTGTAGGCAGCTAAGAATGTAGGAAAATGAACATCTCGGCTCCCAAAGGACGAGAATAAAGCTGTAGAAGAATGTCAGGGAGGAATCTGAGTTGATAGTATGACTATTCATCCTTCTTCCCACATTTTCCCGACTGTTTAGCCCTACTTTTCTTCGCGTTGGGTCTCATTTTCCTTCCTGTGTGGCCTGTGCCTTATGGTCAGCTCGGACGTCCATCAGTCTATCAAATGCCTAGAAACCTTTCGCCCTTTGTCACCTTCTGTGTCACCCAGCATTCCCCTTCTCAGCCCTTTTCATTCTCATGGTGGAATCCTTTTGGTTTGATTTCAAGGGTCCAGCACTGTTGATGTCACAACAGAGTGGCATGGAAAGTTTCTGAAAATTTTGTCATCTAACCTCTCGTGGGGACTTTTAATTAATTCAGCTTTTGACAACTCCATCACATTCATTATATTATCCATTCATTCATTCATTAATACATTTGACATTTATAATGTGTGCCAAAAATGTGCCAGGTCAAAACTGCCCACTGACAATGTAGAACATTTCTGTAAATTTTATTTCAATTTTCTTGTATTTCTTCTCCTTTATTCTACCATCCCACTTGATCTTCTGCCACAGAAGTTCTCTTCTCTCTCTCTTTGTTCTCTCTTCTCCTCCTTTATTCTTGATACCTGCTTCTGTGTTGGCTCCTCTAGGCCAGCACTTGTCCTCCTACCTCTGTGATGTTCTGTCTAGTTTATTGATTCCTTTTCCTACTTTACATAATCAATGTGGATAGTTTCTATAGTTGGGTCTTTGCTTTTTAATCTTTTTTTCCTGTGTATTATTTCCTTCAGGGACCTTATGCACTCTTACACATCCGTCTATTATTTTTATATGGATTACTATACAATTACATGTTGAATTTGTACTTTTCCCCCATATATCCTGTCATATGTTTTCACCTGAGCATCTCAATATCTAATACTCTTATTTGCTTAAAATACATGTGATTATTTTCTCCACCCTGACATATTTTATGTTCAACTTTCTAATTTCTAAAAATGGACCTACCATTGTCCTATTTATTCTTGCTTAAATCTTGATATTTTCTTTGAGTTCATGCTCCTTCGTATTCACTCCAGCTGTGATAAGTCACCAATCCTTTGGGTTTTTACTTACCAGTATATCTATTTCTGTTTCTATAGCCTTAAAGCTGGAACTGTGTAGTCCCAGTTCCTCTGTGTAGCCCCCCAAGTCTGCTCTATTTCAATCTTCTCTTAAGGGAACTCCTTCCCTCCGTTTTTCTTTTCCTCCATTTGATACATCGCACTTATAGATGGGGCATCTTCCCTAATTACTGGCTTCATCCTCAATTCCCGGGACCCATACCTTCACTGGCTCCCTAAATTTATTTAATAATTCTCATATACCTTTGAGAAGTTTCTAATGATAGGCAACAAATGAATATTGACTACCTTTCTTATTTTCCTTTCTTCACCAAAATGATTTTTAGGATGTAGACAATCTGTATGCTTCAACATACACCAAACTTACAATTTTTGAAATATTTTACAATCTACTTGAAAAGACTTCTTTAGACCCTATATTCTTGTATTGTAATATTTATCCTCTTTTATGGCTATACTCAAATGCCACATCACTATAGTGCCTTCCCTCATCACTGTAGCTATCTCTTTTCACTCTACTTATATTGTAGAGGATTTGTTACACTTCTTGAACTGCTGATCTCAAGCGATTTGCTTGCTTTGGCCTCCCAAAGTGCTGGGCTGACAGGCGTGAGCCACTGCACATGGCCTGATTTGTTCCACTTCTACTATATGCATCACACATGCCTGATGCATATTTTAATGCACGTTGGATAAGGATCGGCTTTGTACGACTTCAGTCTTTCTTGATGTGTGACACCCACTTCTATTTTGGCTCCACTTTAACAAAATGAATAAGTGAGAAGGTAATACTGGAAACAGAACATAACTGTGACTAGGAATTTGGTCTTGACTCGCCATTTAATTTTCTGATGTGCATGACTGTTTTCTTCACATGTGAAATTTAGCATGAGGTTGAAACTGGAGAATTTTATATTTTTCATGAAAAAGGCAATTTGGGAGAAAAGTCCATTTTCCTGAGGATAAGGTATTGTATGGTTTGACTGCTTTGCCTTGGCTGGTCAACACATTTGTACACCTGGATAGGCACAGTTTTCAGAAATCCTTTCAAGCATCTACCAATTCTCCTGTCTACAAGTTTACCTTCCTCCCATTTCTCATTCCTAATGACAAGGGAAATATCCAGTGTTATCTGAAGTGGTCATAAAAGACATTTTTTTTCTTTTTATGTGAGGAATTGAAACTTATGGCTTTAGATTATGGGGCTTACCATCAAGGAAAGGGCGTAGCGTGGTCAGAGGACAAAACTTCTTCCTGCATTTCTCAGGAAGTCTTTGATTAGTGTGTCCACCTAGGAGCAATTTTTTTTTGTTGGGGGTGCTGGGAAATATACTTAAGTGATTAAATCCAAGTGTAGACATGAGAGCTTTACCTAAAGCCAGGTCTAATTACCATACCTGAGAATCAGGGAGTATTTAAAATTTGAGAAATAATTTTCTATACTTGAAAGTCACTTATGTAGGTAGGCCTCAGATTATAATAAATAACGTTTATTGTGCTATACTATGTGGTAGGTATGAGGTTAAGTATTTTTACCTATATTATATCACTTATTTCTTACAAATGGAGCAAGGGAGCAAGCAAGCAAGGGAGGTATTATTATCCCTATTTTATGTATTTATGTATTTATTTTTGATTTCTATTCTTTTGGTTTTTTTGTTGTTTTTTATTGATGTATCATAGTTGTACATGTTTTGGGGTACATGTGATATTTTTGATACATGTATACAATGTGTAATGATCAAATCAGAGTAATTTGGATATTCATCACCTCGAATATTTATCTTTTCTTTGTGTTGGGAACATTATAATTTTTCTCTGCTAGCTATTTTAGAATATATAATAAATTATTGTTCCCTATGATTTCTCCATTGTACAATTGAATACTAAAATTTATTATGTCTATCTACATATCCCCAGTTCAATAACTATAATTTCTCTGCTGTGCAATCAAATACTAGAACTTCTTCCTTCGAACGCTATATCCCTAATTCAATAACAAGTAAACTGAAGCTCAGCATGGTCTAGGAACTTTGTTACGTTAACACAGCAAGTGAATGTTGCAGCCTGGATCCAAAAATCAGGCCTGGTCGACCTCAAAGTCCAGATTATTGACCTTTCTACCATAATGTATGGAGGTAAGTTTGTGAATTTATTCAAAAATCAGGCCTGGTCAACCTCAAAGTCCAAATTATTAACCTTTCTACCATAATGTATGGAGCTAAGTTTGTGAATTTTCATAGTTTTAGGATTTGAAGATAAAAGAGGTGAAAATTTGGAAATGGTTTCTGGACTTTTGAATTTTGGCAAACAGCTATGTGATAAGTCCACCCTGCAGACCCACAACTTTTGGAAATAACTCTACTGTGACCTTCAGTAGCAGAAGCTGCTCCTGGGGTGGTAGAACACAAGGAAAACACACACTAGTAAAAATTTCATGTGCCTTCTTTGTTCTGTACATGTGTTTCTCTTGATTAGTATATGGTAGTATCCTCAAATCATAATAACAAGTATACTTTTTCCAGTGAATTGCATGTGTATATTATTGTATAGTATAAAAGGCAATATTTCCATTTATTATCATCTGTGCTTTTCAAAGAAACTCTGTGAGTCCAAAAGGGCAGATAATAGAAGCAACTGCCCTTTCTCTCCCCCTTTAAATGCAACCCAATGTCAAAGTCCGTAGCATCCCCAAATGAGTGTGTTAAAGGTGAGAAATTCCCAGAGTCAAACTCAGTAGCATCCTTGAATGAGTGTATTAAAGGTGATAAATTTATTTTATTTATGTTCTTTTTAACCTGTGTTCTCAGAAACAGAGACTACTGTATTTCATCCTACCTTAGTCTTGCTTAGCAGTTTCTCTTCTCCTTTGAGGCTCTTTTATTTTTAAATCATTGTTCATATCTTCTAATTTCCCCTTTCTCCCATTCTTCCCATATTTTTAATCTTTTTTTAACTTTATCTCTGTTCTGCTTTTTCTGTATTTCAAATTGATCCATAGACTTTAGAAAAATGAGTTGAATGCTGGCTGTAGGCTGTCTTATCCCCAGCAAGAAACATGTTGTAAAGTCTTAGTACCTTCCCACTGGAAGATCATTAGTCATGGCTACTATGTTTTTAAATGAGAATTGTTTTAATTATGCATTTTAAAATTATTGGAAAACATGAGGGAGAGGAATGAACCATAAGTAATAAAGATTATTGACTTGAAGTTAAGACCTTACTATGATCTGGGATTATTAGTCTTACTTGTCAATCAAGAACTATCCACTTTCTATTTGTTTGTGGGTATCTAATATGGTTATATACACAGAAGTAATGATAATTGATATGAAAAGTCTCCTCCTGTTATATCAATTTAGGTATTTTTCACACATTGTGTACCTCATTCTTCTCCTATTCAATTTTCACTAATTCCTAAAGGGTCAGGTCAATGTCCTTGGCATAACCTCCTCCACCTGTTCTTAATGGCAATTGTATCTTCTGCCCTCCAATATCTATAACACTTTTTTCTTTAAAACTCTTTGAATGTTTATCTTAATACTCATTTGATATATATTGTATACCACATATGATTGTTTGTTATATGTACAATACATGTTTTTTCAACTTTTTTTGGTTCTTTCCATTTACAGGAATTAGAGAAAGAACTAATCAGTGTGAAGGAGAATTGTCAGTAAAATTACAAGAAAAGATTGAGATCATAATTGACCTTTGAGGATAATAAAATTTAAAGACCAAAAGGATGGACTTCACAGAAACATGACCTTAGGTTGTTTTTGCAGTTGTAGTAACTGGTTATATGACCAACAAAATATGAAGAATGGGTAAACAAATTCTGATAGTAATGATCAGTCACTTTGCAAATATAAAGTTACTATTTACTACTGTATTGTACAGGTTCAATAATCTTTGTGTACACATTTTATGTATTTATTGTCAGGCTGCTATATAATTCAGTATTTATAATAGATACTATGTATAGCAATCTATGGTTAGTTTTGGTCTTAACCAGGAAAAATCACTCTTTTGAGTTTTGCTGTTTTTACCAGATTATTTTTACTGGATGATTGCTCATATTATTTGATTATTATTGCAATTTGTCTTTCTGGAATAGGAAGCAAGAGGCCTGAATTCTGGTTCCTATTCTATCAATTGTGTGAATTCTGGAAACTCAGTTTACTTTTCTGGGCCTCATGGTTTTCATCTGAATGATGACCAACTTGGATAAAATGGTCTTTATATAATTCCATAGGCATTTCCCTTCCCAAGGGCTTGAGTCTTTTTCAACAATTATAGAGTTTTCCGGTCCCTCTTCCCAGTGCCTCAGCACCTTGCTATTCATGTTCATCTGATCAGTTGTTTGCATGCTGACTTACATTACCCTGATGGGCAGTACCTGTGGCTGTTTCTGCTCCCTCACCCAGTCCATAGGCTTCTGGTTGTAAAAAGTGTGCATCTTGAGACTGTGGACAGTTAGCTCCAGAGGTGACAGTATAATCACTTCACGTAGAAGAGGATAGAGAGAGACTCATGCCAGTGGTGGTGAGCAAGTATTAGAGATATGATGTGTGCCTCTGTGAGTTTTGGGGTCTAAGATAAATTATGGCACTAGGAAGATGGTCCTTTGTGTCAGAAGAACTGGAGTTGTTGGTGCAAAAAAGTATGATGTCAGCATAGCAGTTTTATTTGTACCTCAGCAACTTCTAAAATAATCTCTATTAAGTGTTTTCAGGAACTACTTTCTACTATAGGAAAATGATTGAGGTGAGTATCCATCTGGACACAGAGAAATATAACACTGTTTTCTGCTCACCCTCCACTTCACATATAAATACAATATGTGTTAAAGGACTAAATTTCTAGTGTCACAGTTTGTACTTTATAGTTTGAAGTCAATAAGAAAGCTCATATACCTTCCTAAAAGTCACTTATTAATGTTTGATATTAATCTAATTTTATCATAAATTAAAAGTATAAAACTACAAATTTCTTAAAGATAAAATATCCAAATGGATTCAGTCAAATTAAGCATGATAATATCAAATATCAGAATAGGTTACCATGCAGGAGGTACTGAGTACTTAAAGGGGTGGGGAATGCAATGAACATAAAAGCTGGTACCAAGGGGAGGAGGAGACAGTGATGAATTAAAACATTATCTTAACTAATCCAAGTGCTGGTCTTCAATACTTTCATGTGTATAGACAAAGAGAAACTGCAGAGATTTCTCACAACCTCTGTGTCCATTTTATGCATGTATCTTAGCAGAAACACTGGTGAAATCCCTCCAAAACATATTTATTAGGCATGGAAAAAGCCTTACATGACAGGTGGCATAGGCTCCTTATGAAATCATTGCAGGATGGGAAGCCATTTAGGGCTTCGTAATTGTGAAAGATTGTATAGAAACTGAGGCACTTAAATAGCAGTAAGCATGAGAAAATGTGGTAGATAATGGTGGTGATTCTATTTCTTGTGAAAGTCCACTTACTCTAGTCTGCTACAGTTGTGGGCTTTCCGATTTCACATACCCCAGTCTCTATATTCTCTCAATCCACAGCCTACCTCAACTAAGTCCGTCCCAGGCACCTCTTACTGCAGTGATAATCCATCTGTTAATCATGTTTTCCTCTTATGTCTACTTTCTGTCAGAGAATTGTGGGTGCAAACTGGGAAGGGAAGGAAATTATAAGAATATGTATAAGTACAAATGGAATATGTTGGAAATGAGGAATAGTTAATATCACAGGTCATTTAAACACCTGATGAATTTCATGGATAGTCAGGAATCTTGTTCTTACCTAATCTGTTAATTTTAGATCAGACATTACACTGAAAGTATTGATGAGGGGTTTAAATCAGGTTGCAGCTCACATGTTGTGATAATATTATGTTGATTTTTTGTTTTTAATATGTGAGGAACAGAATAACTGTATACTATTTATTCATAGTGACATTGCAATATTGATTTTAGTACATATTATTATCTTCATAATCACAATTTCCTCCCCATTTTCTTAGTTCTCATAATTTTAGCCACAGCCCAGTTGGCTGGACCAATGGATGGAGAGAATCACTCAGTGGTATCTGAGTTTTTGTTTCTGGGACTCACTCATTCATGGGAGATCCAGCTCCTCCTCCTAGTGTTTTCCTCTGTGCTCTATGTGGCAAGCATTACTGGAAACATCTTCATTGTGTTTTCTGTGACCACTGACCCTCACTTACACTCCCCCATGTACTTTCTACTGGCCAGTCTCTCCTTCATTGACTTAGGAGCCTGCTCTGTCACTTCTCCCAAGATGATTTATGACCTGTTCAGAAAGCGCAAAGTCATCTCCTTTGGAGGCTGCATCGCTCAAATCTTCTTCATCCACGTCATTGGTGGTGTGGAGATGGTGCTGCTCATAGCCATGGCCTTTGACAGATATGTGGCCCTATGTAAGCCCCTCCACTATCTGACCATTATGAGCCCAAGAATGTGCCTTTCATTTCTGGCTGTTGCCTGGACCCTTGGTGTCAGTCACTCCCTGTTCCAACTGGCATTTCTTGTTAATTTAGCCTTCTGTGGCCCTAATGTGTTGGACAGCTTCTACTGTGACCTTCCTCGGCTTCTCAGACTAGCCTGTACCGACACCTACAGATTGCAGTTCATGGTCACTGTTAACAGTGGGTTTATCTGTGTGGGTACTTTCTTCATACTTCTAATCTCCTACGTCTTCATCCTGTTTACTGTTTGGAAACATTCCTCAGGTGGTTCATCCAAGGCCCTTTCCACTCTTTCAGCTCACAGCACAGTGGTCCTTTTGTTCTTTGGTCCACCCATGTTTGTGTATACACGGCCACACCCTAATTCACAGATGGACAAGTTTCTGGCTATTTTTGATGCAGTTCTCACTCCTTTTCTGAATCCAGTTGTCTATACATTCAGGAATAAGGAGATGAAGGCAGCAATAAAGAGAGTATGCAAACAGCTAGTGATTTACAAGAAGATCTCATAAATGATACAATAAGCCCTTCTCGTTAAACATGATATGGCTTTATGTTTCTTTCTTTGATATTTTAGATTCAGGAACTATGAGACATTATGTATTGATTTGAATGTTATTAGACCTGTAACATAATTCTTATCTGATGAATATATGATGAATATATTCCTTGTTCAAAATGAGTCATAAATTCAACACATCTCTACATCTATATTATGCCCATTTAATTTCTTTCAGCAATGTTTTGTAGTTTTTGGTGAACAGGTACTTTATGCATATGTACTTTATATTTATCTCTAAGTTTTATATTTCTGATGCTCTTTTAAGTGACATTTTTATTTCAATTTACAATTGTTTATTCTTAGCTTATGGGCACATAATAGATCTTTGTTTGACATTATATCCTGTAAACTTGCAAAACTTATTAGTTCCATCAGTTTTTTATAGGTTATGTAGGATTTTCTTTATAGATGATTATGTTGTCAGTGAATAAAGACATTTGCTTTTAAAATTCTAGTATGAATTCACTATATTCATTTTGTTGAATGCTGAGTAGAATTAGTTAGAGCAGACATCTTTGACTTGTTCCTGTTATGAAATATATTAAATATTTCATCATTAAGTATAATGTTAGCTATAATTTTTTTCATAGGTACTCTTTAACAGGCTGAGAAAGTTTTCTGTATTCACAGTTTGCTGAAAATTTCTTTTATCTTTAGTCAGGAATGGATCTTGGATTTTGTAAAGCTTTTTCATTTCAGAATCAGGGTAATGCTGGCCCTTTAGAATGAGTTGGGAAGCATCTGCTCTTCTTAAATTTTCTGCCATAATTTTGTAGAATTCATATAATTTTTTTCTTTAAAAAGGGAAGTACTTAAGTATTTTTTCCCATAAGTTACCCGTAAGTAAATCTAAAGGAAAGTGGGAAACTTTGATACGCATTGGTTGCCCCCTGGTGGAGATTTCTGGGTTCTTGATTATTTTAACACTGGAGATAGAATCTGGTGGAATGATGTCAATGCTACCGTGATTAAGAGGTGTGTAGGAAATGCTTCATGTAAGAGAGAAAATAGTCTTTATGAGAATCTGCCTGGTGGAAAGGAGTTGGTGCAACAATAACAATATAAATTAGTGAAAAATTTTAAATTGACAAATAATAATTGTATCTATGGGGTACAATGTAATGTTTTGATACATGTTTAAATTGTGGAAAGATTAGGTCTGTCTTATTGACATACATATCTTTTTTGTGGTGAAAACATTTAAAATCTACTCTGTTAGTCATTTTGAAACATACAATACCTTGTTATTTATTACAGTCACCATTCCGTGCAATAGTTCACTGAAACTTTGTCTAACTGAAACTTTGAACCCTTTTATCAACATCTACCTTTTCCATGTCTACCCCCAACTCCTAGCCTCTGATAATCACCATTCCATTCTCTACTTCTATGAATTCAACTTTTTCAGATTCCACATATCAGTGAGATCATGTGATATTTGTCTTTTCGTGCCTGGCTTATTTCACTTAGCGTGATATCTTCTGGGTTAATTCATGTTGTCACATATATCAGGTTTTCCTTCCTATTAAGGCTGAGTAGTATTCCATTGTATATATACACTACATTTTCTTCATCCATTTGTCAGTTGATAGACACCTGTGTTGATTTCATATTTGGGTATTGTGAATAATGCTGCAATGAACATGAGCCTGGAGATATCTCTTCAGCATATTGACTTAAATTCCTTTGGATATATACAAGGAAGTGGGATTGCTGGATCATATAGTAATTCTAGTTTTAGTTTTTTGAGTAACTTTTATCTATTTTTCATAATAGTATTAATTTACATTTCCACCAACAGTGTACGAGGGTTCCCTTTTCTCTGTATCCTCTTCAACACTTGTTATCTTTTATCATTTTGATAGTAGCCATTCTAACAGGTATGAAGTGGCATCTCACTGTCATTTTAATTTGCATTTCCCTGATAATTAGGATGACAAACTTTTTTTATGTTAGTCATTTGTATTTTTTTTGAGAAATGTCTATTTAGGACCTTGCCCATTTTTTGACTTGGTTATTTGTTTTCTTGATATTGAGTTGAGTCCCTTATATATTTGGAGATTAGCCTTTCATCAGATGTATGCTCTGCAAATATTTTCTCACAACTTGTAGGTTGTCTCTTCACCATATTGTTTCCTTTGCTGTGCAGAAGCTTTTTAGTTTGATGCAATCCCATATATTTTTGCTTTTGTTGCCTGTGCTTTGGGGGTTATATCCAAGAAATCTTTGACCAAACCAACATTGTGGAACTTTTCCCCTATGTTTTCATCTAGTAGTTTTACAGTTTTATGTTTAAACCTTTAATCCATTTTGAATTGATTTTTGTGTATGGTGTGAGATAAGGATACACACCATACACATTCATGTTCTTCTGCATGTGGATATCTAGTTTTCTTAACACCATTTATTGAAACAAATGTCTATTCTTCATTACGTTTTCTGGGCACCTTTGTCAAAAATTTCTTGGTCATAAATGCATGAGTTTATTTCTGGGTTCCTTATTATGTTCCCCTGGTCAATGTGTCTGTTTTTGTGCAAGTGTCATGTTGTTTTGATTACTGTGGTTTTGTGATACGTATTTGTTTTGGGGGGGGATCGATTTTTATTTGGGTTTCTCACAGTGGTTAGAGAACAACCACAGCACAGGAAATGCCTCGCCAAGATTGCCCAGAAAACTGACCAGCTGCATCTTATTGCTTAAAAATACACATATTCACAATAACTGACAAATGGTGATGTGCCTCACACAGGAATGTGTTCACATTTGCAATGCTGTGTACAGACTTCACTTCGTTCAACATAGATTTTGGTTTAATGGAATTCAAATGTGGATGCTTGTTCACAGCCTTGGATTTGTCTGTTTTTGGAGAGATACAACCTCCATGAGTATATCTGCATGAAAACCACAGACAATGAAGGTATTTCTTCATTGATTTATTTATTCTTTTGACTGTAGCAACAAACCCTGGATGACACCCTTCCTTTTAATTCACCTGGAAACCAGACTCAATCAAATCTCCCTGGTCCCCTCACTATTCCTTCAAATTCCCTATTTCTATCTCTTCCTGAGGAGGGTAACCTCCTGTAGCAGGGGTCAGACTGTGACTTGGGAATCAAGCCTAGGTCTGCAGGTTGCCTTTTCATCTTCTTGTAAAATATTGTAGGACACTGCAGTGAATCCAACAGTTAACACTCAGAGCAGTTCCCTGCTCTAACTCAGGAAAGAGACTTCAGAGGGTCAGGTTTCATCCATTTGATCAGTTAACTGAGAAGGATTCATTTTGGTAAAACTTGTTCAGCTTTGAGACACTTCAGTGAGTTGTTTGAGATTTTTTTTTAAATTATATTTTAAGTTCTGGGGTACATGTGCAGAACATGCAGGATTGTTACATAGGTATACACGTGCCATGGTGGTTTGCTGCACCCATCAACCCATCATCTACATTAGGTATTTAACCCAATGCTAACCTTCCCCTAGCCCCTACCCCCAGACAGGCCCCGGTGTGTTGTGTTCCCCTCCCTCTGTCCATGTGTTCTCATTGTTCAACTCCCATTTATGAGTGAGAACATCGGGTATTTGGTTTTCTGTTCTTGGATTAGTTTGCTGAGAATGATGGTTTCCAGCTTCATCCATGCCCCTGAAAAGGATATGAACTCATCCTTCTTTATGGCTGCATAGTATTCCATGGTGTATATGTGCCACATTTTCTTTATGCAGTCTATCATTGAATGGGCATTTTGGTTGGTTCCAAGTCTTTGCTATTGTGAACAGTGCCACAATAAACATATGTATGCATGTGTCTTTATGGTAGAATGATTTATAATCCTTTGGATATATACCCAGTAATGCGATTGCTGGGTCAAATCATATTTCTAGTTCTAGAACCTTGAGGAATCACCACACTGTCTTCCACAATGGTTGAACTAATTTACACTCCCACCAACAGTGTAAAAGCATTCTTATTTCTCCACATCCTTTCCAGCATCTGTTGTTTCCTGACTTTTTAATGATCGCCATTCTATCTGGCGTGAGATGGTATCTCATTGTGGTTTTGATATGCATTTCTCTGATGACCAGTGATGATGAGCTTTTTTTCATATGTTTGTTGGATGCATAAATGTCTTCTTTAGAGAAATGTCAGTTCATATCCTTCACCCACTGATGGGTTTGTTTGTTATTTTCTTGTAAATTGTTTAAGTTCTTTGTAGATTCTGGATATTAGCCCTTTGTCAGATGGATAGATTGCAAAAATTTTCACCCATTCTGTAGGTTGCCTGTTCACTCTGATGATAGTTTCTTTTGCTGTGCAGGAGCTCTTTAGTTTAATTAGATCCCATTTGTCTATTTTGGTTTTTGTTGCAATTGCTTTTGGTGTTTTAGTCATGAAGTTTTTGTCCATGCCTATGTACTGAATGATATTGCCTAGGTTTTCTTCTAGGGTTTTTTATGGTTTTAGATCTTATGTTTAAGTCTTTAATACATCATGAGCTAATTTTTGTGTAAGGTGTAAGGAAGGGATCCAGTTTCAGTTTTCTGCATATGGCTAGCCAGTTTTCCCAACACCATTTATTAAAAAGGGAATCGTTTCCCCATTGCTTGTTTTTGTCAGGTTTGTCAAAGATCAGATAGTTGTAGATGTGTGGCGTTATTTCTGAGGCCTCTGTTCTGTTCCATTGGTCTACATATCTGTTTTGGTACCAGTACCATGCTGTTTTGGTTACTGAAGGCTTGTAGTATAGTTTGAAGTCAGACAGCGTGATGCCTCCAGATTTGTTCTACTTGCTTAGGACTGTCCTAGCTCTGCGGGCTCATTTTTGGTTCCATATGAAATTTAAAGTAGTTTTTTCCAATTCTGTGAACAAAGTCAGTGGTAGCTTGATGGGGATAGCATTGAGTCTATAAAAACTTTGGGCAGTATGTCCATTTTCATGATATTGATTCTTCCTATCCATGAGCATGGAATGTTTTTCCATTTGTTTGTGTCCTCTCTTATTTCCTTGAGCAGTGGTTTGTAGTTCTCCTTCAAGAGGTCCTTCACATCCCTTGTAAGTTGGATTCCTAGGTATTTTATTCTCATAGTAGCAATTGTGAATGGGAGAGTTCACTCATGATTTGGCTCTCTGTTTGTCTGTTTTTTGCATATAGGAATGCTTGATTTTTGCACATTGATTTTGTATCCTGAGACTTTTCTGAAGTTGCTTATTAGCTTAAGAAGATTTTGGGCTGAGACCATGGGGTTTTCTAAATACACAATCATGTCATCTGCAAACAGAGACAATTTCTTTCTCTTGCCTGATTGCCCTGGCCAGAACTTCCAATACTACGTTGAATAGGAGTGGTGAGATAGGGCATCCTTGTCTTGTGCTGGTTTTCAAAGGGAATGCTTCCAGTTTTTCACCATTCAGTATTGGCTGTGGATTTTTCATAAATAGGTATTATTATTTTGAGATATGTTCCATCAGTACCTAGTTTATTGAGAGTTTTTAGCATGAAGGGCTGCTGAATTTTGTCGAAGGCCTTTTCTGCATCTATTGAGAGAAGCATGTGGTTTTTGCCATTGGTTCTATTTATATGATGAATTATGTTTATTGATTTGCGTATGTTGAACTAGCCTTGTATCCCAGGGATGAAGCCGACTTGATTGTGGTGGACAAGCTTTTGATGTGCTGCTGGATTTCGTTTGCCAGTATTTTATTGAGGATTTTTGCATCGATGTTCATCAGGGATATTGGCTTGAAATTTTCTTTTTTTTGTGTGTGTCTCTGCCAAATTTTGGTACCAGAATTATTCTGGCCTCATAAAATGAGTTAGGGAGGATTCTCTCTTTTTCTGTTGTTTGGAATAGTTTCAGAAGGAATGGTACCAACTCCTCTTTGTACCTCTGGTAGAATTCGGCTGTGAATCCATCTGGTCCTGGACTGTTTTTTGGTTGGTAGGCTATTAATTACTGCCACAATTTCAGACCTTGTTATTGGTCTATTCAGGGATTCAACTTCTTCCTGGTTTAGTCTTGGGAGGGCGTATGTGTCCAGGAATTTGTCCATTTCTTCTAGATTTTCTAGTTTGTGTAGAGGTGTTTATAGTATTCTCTGATAGTAGTTTGTATTTCTGTGGGATCAGTGGTGGTATCTCCTTTATCATTTTTTATTGCATCTGTTTGATTCTTCTCTGTTTTCTTCTTTATGAGTCTGGCTAGTGGTCTATCTATTTTATTGATATTTTGAAAAAACCAGCTCCTGGATTCATTGATTTTTTTTTGAAGGTTTTTTTGTGTCTCTATCTCCTTCAGTTCTGCTCTGATCTTAGTTATTTATTGTCCTCTGCTAGCTTTTTGTATGCTCCTGCCTCTTGAGTTCTTTTAATTGAGATGTTAGGGTGTCAATTTTAGATCTTTCCTGCTTTCTCTTGTGGGCATTTAGTGCTATAAATTTCCCTCTACACACTGCTATAATTGTGTACCAGAGATTCTGGTATGTTATGTCTTTGTTCTCATTGGTTTCAAATAACTTATTTATTTCTGCCTTAATATCTTTATTTACCCAGTAGTTGTTCAGGAGCAGGTTGTTCAGTTTACATGTAGTTGTGTGGGTTTGAGTCAGTTTCTTAATCCTGAGTTCTAATTTAATTGCACTGCGATCTGAGAGACTGTTATGATTCCCATTTTTTTTTGCATTTGCTGAGGAGTGTTTTACTTCCAAATATGTGGTCAATTTTAGAATAAGTGCAATGTGGTGCTGAGAAGAATGTATATTCTGTTGATTTGGGGTGGAGAGTTCTGTAGCTGTCTATTGGATCCACTTGGTCCAGAGCTGAGTTCAAGTCCTGGATATCCTTGTTAACTTTCTGTTTCGTTGATCTGTCTAGTATTGACAGTGGGGTGTTAAAGTCTCCCACTATTATTGTGTGAGGGTCTAAGTCTCTTTTTAAGTCTCTAAGAGCTTACTTTATGCATCTGGGTGCTCCTGTGTTGGGTGCATATATATTTAGGATAATTAGCTCTTCTTGTTGCATTGATCCTTTTACCATTATGCAATGCCCTTATTTGTCTCTTTTGATCTTTGTTGGTTTAAAGTCTGTTTTATCAGAGACTAGGATTGCAACCCCTGCTTTTTTTTGCCTTCCATTTGCTTGGTAAGTATTCCTCCATCCCTTTATTTTGAGCCTATTTGTGTCTTTGCACGTGAGATGGGTCTCCTGAATACAGAACACTGATGGGTCTTGACTCTTTAGCCAATTTGCCAGTCTGTGTTTTTTAATTGGAGCATTTAGCCCATTTACATTTAAGGTTGATATTGTTATGTGTGAATTTGATCCTGTCATTACGATGCTAGCTGGTTATTTTGCTGTTAGTTAATGCAGTTTCTTCATAGTGTCAATGGTCTTTACAATTTGGTATGTTTTTGCAGTGGCTGATACCAGTTGTTCCTTTCCATGTTTAGTGCTTCCTTCAGGAGCTCCTTTAAGGCAGGCCTGGTGGTGACAAAATCTCTCAGCATTTGCTTGTCTGTAAAGGATTTTATTTCTCCTTCACTTATGAAGCTTAGTTTGGCTGGATATGAAATCCTGGGTGGAAAATTCTTTTCTTTAAGAATGTTGAATATTGGCCCCCATTCTCTTCTGGCTTGTAGAGTTTCTGCTGATAGATCTGCTGTTAGTCTGATGGGCTTCCCTTTGTGGGTAACCTGACCTTTCTCTCTGGCTGCCCTTAACATTTTTTCCTTCATTTCAACCTTGCTCAATCTGATGACTATGTGTCTTGGGGTTGCTTTTCTTGAGGAGTGTCTTTGTGATGTTCTCCATATTTCTGAATTTGAATATTGGCCTGCCTTGCTAGGTTAGGGAAGTTCTCCTGGATAATATCCCGAAGAGTGTTTTCTAACTTGGTTCCATTCTCCCCATCACTTTCAGGTACAGCAATCAAACGTAGATTTGGTCGTTTCACATAGTCCCATATTTCTTGGAGGCTTTGTTCATTTCTTTTCATTCTTTTTTCTCTAATCTTGTCTTCTTGATTTATTTCATTAAGTTGATATTCAGTCTCTGATATCTTTCTTCCGCTTGACCGAATCAGTGCTTGATCCTTGTGCATGCTGCATGAAGTTCTCATGGCGTGTTTTTCAGCTCCATCAGGTCATTTATGTTCTTCTCTAAACTGGTTATTCTAGTTAGCAAGTGGTCTAGCCTTTTTTCCAGGTCCTTAGCTTCCTTACATTGGGTTAGGACATGCTCCTTTAGCTTGGAGGAGTTTGTTATTACCTACCTTCTGAAACCTACTTCTCTCAATTCGTCAAACTCATTCTCTGTCCAGTTTTCTTTTGTTCCCTTGCTGGTGAGGAGTTGTGATACTTTGGAGGAGAAGAGGCGTTCTGGTTTTTGGAATTTTCAGCCTTTTTGCTCTGGTTTCTCTCCATCTTCATGGATTTATCTACCTGTGGTTTCTGATGTTGGTGACCTTCTGATGGGGTCACTGAGTGGCTGTCCTTTTTGTTGATGTTGATGCTATTCCTTTTTGTTTGTTAGTTTTCCTTCTAACAGTCAGGCCCCTCTGCTGCAGGTCTGTTGGGGTTTGCCCTAGGTCTACTCTAGACCCTGTTTGCCTGGGTATCACCAGCAGAGGCTGGAGAACAGCCAAGATTGCTGCCTGTTTCTTCCTCTGGAAGTTTTGTCCCAGAGGGGCACCCACCAGATGCCAGCCAGAGCTCTCCTGTATGAGGTGCCTGTTGGCACCTACTGGGAGGTGTCTCCCAGTCAGGATACACGGGGGTCAGGGACCCACTTGAGGAGGCAGTCTGACCCTTATCAGAGCTCGAATACTGTGCTGGGAGATCTGCTGCTCTCTTCAGAGCCATCAGGCTTTTCAAAGATGCTTTAAGTCTGCTGAAGCTGTGCCCACAGCCGCCCTTTCCCCTAGGTGCTCTGTTCCAGGGAGATGGGGGTTTTATCTATAGGTCTCTGACTGGGGCTGCTGCCCTTTTTTCAGAGATGCCTTGCCCAGAGAGGAGAAATCTAGAGAGGCAGTCTGGCTGCTGTGGCCTTGCTGAGTTGTGGTGGGCTCCACCCAGTTCAAACTTTCTGGTGGCTTTGTTTACACAGTGGGGGTAAAACTGCCTACTCAAGCCTTGGCAATGTGGAAGCCTCTCCCCCCACCAAGCTCTAGTGTCCTAGGTCAACCTCAGACTGCTGTGCAAGAATTTCAAGCCAGTGGATCTTAGCTTGCTGGGCTCTGTAGGGGTGGGACCCGCCGAGCCAGACCACTTGGCTCCCTGGCTTCAGCCCCCTTTCCAGGAGAGAGAATGGTTCTGTCTTGTTGGCATTCCAGTTGCCACTGTGGCATGAAAAAAAAAAAACCTCCTGCAGCTAGCTCGGTGTCTACCCAAACAGCTGCCTAGTTTTGTGCTTGAAACCTAGGGCCTTGGTGGCAGAGGCACTGGAGGGAATCTCCTGGTCTGTCGATTGTGAAGACCATGAGAAAAGCATAGTTTCTGGGTGGAGTGCACCGTTCCTCATGGTACAGTCCCTCGGGGCTTCCCTTGGCTAGGGGAGGGAATTCCCCCAACCCCTTGCACTTCCTGGGTGAGGCAACGCCCCATTCTGCTTTGGCTCACCCTCCGTGGGCTGCACCCACTGTCCAACCAGTCCCAGTGAGATGAACCAGGTACCTCAGTTGGAAATGCAGAAATCACCTGCATTCTGCATTGATCTCACTGGGAGCTGCAGACTGGAGCTGTTCCTATTTGGCCATGTTGCCAGCAAATTCTGAGATTTTTTTCAAAAGTGCAAAGAAAGACATCTGAGGGGTGCTGACATATTCGGGTCACCTCAAGCCACATGCCAGCTTGCTTGCCCCTGTTGGATTCAGCAGAGGGAGATAGGCCTTGCCATACCTGTGGTGTCTGCCAAAGCTTCCTCCTGGCAATTCTTGGGAGTGCTGATACCTGGGCCACAGTTAGTCCAAGTTTATCACTGAAGATCCTATCAAAGTTTTGTCTGAAATTCCACTTTTGCCTTTTGTCCTAAGTGGTTGTGGACATCTCCAGGGGCTGATACCAAGGACTAGGAACAGCTGAGGGAGGCAGAAAGGTTCAGAGTACATCTCTATTTACAGGGAACAGAACACCGGCCTCCGAGAGTCCATGGAGCAATGGGAAAATTGCAGTGATTACTCATCACTGTGAAACTTCTACTTTGAATACAGTATCTTCTGGCAAGCATAGGGGACTGCAGTCGACAATGCTGCTGAATATACCTGAGTACATAGTAAGACATTTGTTTGGTAAACAGTCAATGCATACAATAAATTACCTTGAGAGGGCCATCTGTGCTCCAGATGTGAGAGTTCATGTGAATAGAATGGCTGCAATTCAAAGAATCTTCACAGGAAAACAGGGCTCAGAGCTCATCCACAATGGACAGACAGGGAGGGAAACAGGTGGAGGTTAGTTCACCACTTCCTCATAAGAAGGTAATAAATAGTTTGGTGAAATAAAATGGTAGCACTGAGTAATTGCGGGCTTCTGGATAGGCAGTCAGGTTGATTTCATGTTGCTACTGCTGGACTTGAGGGCTGGCTTGGCTGTGGTGGCAGACACAGCAGCAGCTCAGGATGATGGTGATGGTCCATGCCAGCCAGAACCACCAATGTTCATAGTAGTAGTTACAACACTGAGACTGCCCATAGCAGTGTCCTGTTGTGTCACAGATGTAGCTTTGATTGTTGGTACACACACAGGCTTCCTTATCCTTTGGGGGTTCAGCCCTGGCTGACACAGGGCTGGGCAGTGCCTAGAGGTGCAAGAGCTCCATGCCACCCAGGAGTCTTCCCTCCATACTCCTCCTGCTCCTCCGACCCAGCGTGGGCACCTCCCTCCACCCTTGCTGCACTTCTCCTCTACCCTCTTCTTCCTTCTTTTGTTCTTTTCCTGTAATATGTTTTGAAGTCAGATTGTGAGGCCTTCAGCTTTGTTCTTATTGCTCAAGAGTCCTTTAGTTATTCAGGATCCTTTGTGGTTCCATATAAATTTTCAAATTGTTTTTTCTATTTCTGTGAAGAATGACATTGAAATTTTGATAAATATTGCATTAAACCTATAAATCGCTTTGGGCAGTAAGGACATTTTAAGAATATTAATTCTTCCTACCCATGAACATAAACTATCTTTCCATGTATTTGTGTCATCTACAATTTTTCATCAATGTTTTATAGTGTTCAGAATACAGATCTTTCACCTCCTTGGTTAAATGTACTCCTAAGTACAATCCTAAATGTGCTCCTAAACAAAAAAAATACGTTTTTTTTGATGCTACTGTGAATGAGATTGATTTCTTTATTTTTGTCATATAGTTTGTTGTGAGTGTAAAGAAACTACTGAGTTTTGTACATTGATTTTGAATTCTGAAATTTTATTGAATTCATTTATCATTTCTAATAGCTTTTTGGTGGAGTTTTTAGGGTTTCCTATATATAATATGTCATCAAACAGAGACAATTTTACTTCTTCCTTTTCAATTTGAATCTTTTATTTCTTTATTTGGCTTAATTGCTCTGGCTAGGACTTCCAGAAATAAGTTGAATAGAAGTAGTGAGAATAAATATCCTTGTCTTGTTTTTGATCTTAGCAGAAAAGATTTCACTTTTTCATTGTTGGGTATGATGTGAGCTGTGAGCTTGTTATATATGTCCTGTTTTGTGTTAAGGTACATGCCTTCTATGCCCAATTTGTTGAGAGGTTTAGTCATGAGAGGATTTTGAATTTAGTCAAATGCTTTTTCTGCATATATAGAGATAGCTATTTTTTTATCCTTCATTCTGTTAATGTGGTTTATCACATTTGATTTGTGTTTGCTGAAACATCTGGAGGATAAATCCACTTTATCATGGTAAATGTTCTCCTAATATGTTGTTAAATTCTGTTTGCTAGTACTTTTTTTTGAGGACTTTTGTATCTGTGTTCATCAGGGATATTGGTTGGCCCATACTTTTCTTATAGTGTCCTTGTTTGCCTTTTTATTTTTATTTTTATTTATTTATTTTTTAAATTATACTTTAAGTTTTAGGATACATGTGCACAACGTACAGGTTAGTTACATATGTATACATGTGCCATGCTGGTGTGCTGCACCCATTAACTCATCATTTAACATTAGGTATATCTCCTAATGCTATCCCTCCCCCCTCCCCCCACCCCACAACAGGCCCCAGTGCTAATATCCGGAATCTACAATGAACCCAAACAAATTTACAAGAAAAAAACAAACAACCCCATCAAAAAGTGGGCAAAGGATATGAACAGACACTTCTCAAAAGAAGACATTTATGCAGCCAAAAAACACATGAAAAAATGCTCACTATCACTGGCCATCAGAGAAATGCAAATCAAAACCACAATGAGATACCATCTTACACCAGTTAGAATGGCCATCATTAAAAAGTCAGGAAACAACAGGTGCTGGAGAGGATGTGGAGAAATAGGAACATTTTTACACTGTTGGTGGGACTGTAAACTAGTTCAACCATTGTGGAAGACAGTGTGGCGATTCCGCAGGGATCTAGAACTAGAAATACCATTTGACCCAGCCATCCCATTACTGGGTATATACCCAAAGGACTATAAATCATGCTGCTATAAAGACACATGCACACGTATGTTTACTGTGGCACTATTCACAATAGCAAAGACTTGGAACCAATCCAAATGTCCAACAATGATAGACTGGATTAAGAAAATGTGGCACATATACACCATGGAATACTATGCAGCCATAAAAAATGATGAGTTCATGTCCTTTGTAGGGACATGGATGAAGCTGGAAACCATCATTCTCAGCAAACAATCACAAGGACAAAAAACCAAACACTGCATGTTCTCACTCATAGGTGGGAATTGGACAATGAGAACACATGGACACAGGAAGGGGAACATCACTTTAAAAAAAAAACAATAATGCTGATCTTTTAAAATGAGTTTGGAAACACTCTTTCTCCTTCAAGTTTTTGGAAGAATTTCAGAAGGATTGTATTATTATTTTTTAAAATGTTAGAATTCAGCAATGAAGTTTTCTGGTCCTGGGATGTTCTTTGATGGGAGATGTTTTATTATTGATATACTCTCCATACTCAGTATTGTTCTGTTCAGATTTTATCTTTCTTCTTGACTTTCTCTAGGTAAGTTGCATTTTTCTAGAAATTTATCTGCTTTTTCTAGGTTATCCAATTTGTTGGCTTGTAATTGTTTATAGTGGCCTCTTATGATCCTCTGTATTTCTGTGGTATTAGTTGCAATATTTCCTCTTTCATTTCTGATTTTATTGCTTTGAGTATTCTCTCATTTTTCTAGTCTAGCTAATGGTTTGTCAGTTTTATCTTTTCAAAGAACAAATTCTTAGTTTCATTGATCTGTTCTATTTTCTTTCACAGTCTTTTTTGTATTTGAAGGACTTGTATTTGTTAACTGGCTCAAGCCTGGACATTTGTTGAGGTGCTATGAGTCTCTATTGCTCTCATTTCTCTTCACTAGACATAGAAATTTTCTGATTACACGAATCAAATAAGACTAATAAGCTTCCCAGGGATGAATCCCACTTAAGCATGGTGAATTTTTTTGCTGTGTTTTTTTAAAAATAATATTTGCTAATATTTGGCTGAAGGTTTTTCCATCCAAGTTCATCAGGAGTATTGGTCTGCAATTTATTTTTATTATAGTGTCCTTCTCTGGTTTTGGTATCAGGGTAATGCTGGTTTTGAAAAATGAATTTGGAAGTATTCCTCTTCTTCACTTTTTTTGGAAGAGTTTGGGAAGGATTGGTGTTAGTCATCTAAGTGTTTGTTGGAATTCAGCCACCAAGCCATTCAATCCTGGGTCTTTCTTTTATGAGAGACCTTTCATTGGTGATTTAATTTCCTTATTCATGATTTCTTCTAAATTTTGAATTCTTCATGATTCAGTTTTGGTACGAGTTTATCAATTTCTTCTAGGTTATCTAATTTGCTGGTGAATAATTGTTTATAGTAGTATGTTATGATTTTTTAACTTCTGTGGTATCAGTTGTAATGTCTCTTCTTTCACTTCTGAGTTTGTTTTCTTTTTTCTTAGTCTATGTAAGAATTTGTTAATTTTGTTTATCTTTTCAAAAAACAATTCTTATTTTTATTGAAATTTTCAGTTTCTATTATATTATTTCTGCTCTGATCTTTGTTATTTGTTTCCTTCTGCTATCTTTGGGCTTGTATTGTTCTCTAATTTTCTCGCTCCTTTAGGCATAATATTAGGTTGCTTATTTGAGATCTTTTTTTTCTTTTTTGATGTAGGCATTTATTGCTATAAATGTCCCTCTTATAACTGCTTTTGTTGCATCCCATATGTTTTAGTATGTTATGTTTCCATTTTCATGCTACCTGATTTTAGAATATATTTCAAAGCATGGTGTATAGTGCTTTTAAAAAGAGGCTATATATAGGTATATATAAAAACAATACACACATTATATATAAACTATGACATGCTTGTAAAGAAAAGAGAACATAAAGTTTCTGAGGAAATAATTAGAAGAACAAGAGGATGCAAAGGGGTCTGTCAAAGATTCAGTGAAATGAGGGTTTTTGGATATTCACAGCTAATAGATTAATGCATTAGGAATGAGCAAAAAAATTGATGGTAGTCAAACAGAGGGAGGGAGGTAGATTTTGAATGATTCAAAGCAGGAGTGTTTTGAAGATAAACAGAATAACTAAAAAGAAAGACTCAGATGAAAAGCCTAGATTTAAAGCATTTGAATCAATAGGTGGTAATCTAGGAATTAGGTTGATTTCTTTTTTTTAAATTTGTGTAGCTTTTTATGTTATTTTTTGTTATACTTTAAGTTTTAGGGTACATGTGCACAAAGTGCAGGTTTGTTACATATGTATACATGTGCCATGTTGGTGTGCTGCACCCAGAAGACTGGTTAATTTCAATAACCTAAAAATCCACAAGGTGGGAGTGTTTCACTGAAGCCAGTTGTTAGAGAAACGTTAGAACCAACTTCCTTTTTTTGTCTGTCCCTTCTTCTCTGCTTTCTTCTTTTCTCCTCCTCCTCCTCCTACCTTTACTCTCCTTCTTCTCTCTCTGTTTTTCTAATCATGAAAACAAATGAAAAAAACTATGAGCAAGAGCACAGAAAAAAGACTAGCAAAGACTGCAGTTATTGAAAGTATCAGATACAAGAGCCCTCCTGACATGGGAGGCAAGACTGACTCAGGTGTTACCTGTTATGCTGGGGGCACAGCTATACCCTGGTGAGTTTCTCCTTTACTTAAAAAGATCACTTAGGGCAGCCGCCGCCGCCCGACCGCCGGGAGGATGGAGTTCAGCGGGCAGCGGAGCTGTCTCAGTCTTTGCCGCCGCGCCGGCGAGCGCCGCCCGGGAGGCAGCGGCTGGAGGAGCGGACGGGCCCCGCGGGGCCCGAGGGCAAGGAGCAGCCGCCTGCCTTGGCCTCCCAAAGTGCCGAGATTGCAGCCTCTGCCCGGCTGCCACCCCGTCTGGGAAGTGAGGAGTGTCTCTGCCTAGCCGCCCATCGTCTGGGATGTGAGGAGCCCCTCTGCCTGGCTGCCCAGTCTGGAAAGTGAGGAGCGTCTCCGCCCGGCCGCCATCCCATCTAGGAAGTGAGGAGCGCCTCTTCCCAGCCGCCATCACATCTAGGAAGTGAGGAGCGTCTCTGCCCGGCCGCCCATCGTCTGAGATGTGGGGAGCGCCTCTGCCCCGCCGCCCCATCTGGGATGTGAGGAGCGCCTCTGCCCGGCCGAGACCCCGTCTGGGAGGTGAGGAGCGTCTCTGCCCGGCCGCCCCGTCTGAGAAGTGAGGAGACCCTCTGCCTGGCAACCACCCCGTCTGAGAAGTGAGGAGCCCCTCCGCCCGGCAGCTGCCCCGTCTGAGAAGTGAGGAGCCTCTCCGCCCGGCAGCCACCCCATCTGGGAAGTGAGGAGCGTCTCCGCCCGGCAGCCACCCCGTCCGGGAGGGAGGTGGGGGGGGGTCAGCCCCCCGCCCGGCCAGCCGCCCCATCCGGGAGGGAGGTGGGGGGTCAGCCCCCCCGCCCGGCCAGCCGTGCCATCCGGGAGGGAGGTGGGGGGGTCAGCCCCCCGCCTGGCCAGCCGTGCCATCCGGGAGGGAGGTGGGGGGGTCAGCCCCCCGCCCGGCCAGCCGCCCCGTCCGGGAGGTGAGGGGCGCCTCTGCCCGGCCGCCCCTACTGGGAAGTGAGGAGCCCCTCAGCCCGGCCAGCCACCCCGTCCGGGAGGGAGATGGGGGGGTCAGCCCCCCGCCCGGCCAGCCGCCCTGTCCGGGAGGGAGGTGGGGGGGTCAGCCCTCCGTCCGGCCAGCCGCCCCGTCCGGGAGGTGAGGGGCGCCTCTGCCCGGCCGCCCCTACTGGGAAGTGAGGAGCCCCTCTGCCCGGCCAGCCGCCCCGTCCGGGAGGGAGGTGGGGGGGTCAGCCCCCCGCCCGGCCAGCCGCCCCGTCCGGGAGGGAGGTTGGGGGGTCAGCCCCCCGCCCGGCCAGCCGCCCCGTCCAGGAGGGAGGTGGGGGGGGTCAGCCCCCCTGCCCGGCCAGCCGCCCCGTCCGGGAGGTGAGGGGCGCCTCTGCCCGGCCGCCCCTACTGGGAGGTGAGGAGCCCCTCTGCCCGGCCACCACCCTGTCTGGGAGGTGTGCCCAACAGCTCATTGAGAACGGGCCAGGATGACAATGGCGGCTTTGTGGAATAGAAAGGCGGGAAAGGTGGGGAAAAGATTGAGAAATCGGATGGTTGCCGTGTCTGTGTAGAAAGAAGTAGACATGGGAGACTTTTCATTTTGTTCTGCACTAAGAAAAATTCCTCTGCCTTGGGATCCTGTTGATCTGTGACCTTACCCCCAACCCTGTGCTCTCTGAAACATGTGCTGTGTCCACTCAGGGTTAAATGGATTAAGGGCGGTGCAAGATGTGCTTTGTTAAACAGATGCTTGAAGGCAGCATGCTCGTTAAGAGTCATCACCAATCCCTAATCTCAAGTAATCAGGGACACAAACACTGCGGAAGGCCGCAGGGTCCTCTGCCTAGGAAAACCAGAGACCTTTGTTCACTTGTTTATCTGCTGACCTTCCCTCCACTATTGTCCCATGACCCTGCCAAATCCCCCTCTGTGAGAAACACCCAAGAATTATCAATAAAAAAATAAATTTAAAAAAAAAAAAAAAAAAAAAAAAAAAAAGAAAGTATCAGATACAGAAAATAAAATAAAATAACTATATTTAGTATGTTTAAAGTAAAACAAAAAATTAAAAATATCATAATGGAACAGGAAACTCTAGAGAATGGCCAAGAAGATTAAAAGAAAACAAATAGAATGTCCATAGAGAATAACATAATTGAAATTTAAACCCAAATGAATGGTTTTAACAGAATATTAGTATGTTAGAAGCAGTTGAAGAGTGAACTAGTAAACTGTAATATAGGTGAGAAGGGGCTATCCAAAATGAACACAGGAATAAAGACATGGAAAATAAGAAACATGTAGTTAGGAGACATGGAAGACAGAGGGGGAAATGCTAAAAAGTTTTAAAGAGTGTTTCAGAAGGAGAGAAAGGAGATCATGAATCAGTGTATATATTTTTTAAATTTTATTTCATGTTCTGGGATACACGTGCAGAAAGTATAGGTTTGATACATAGGTAAATGTGTGCCATGGTGGTTTGCTTCACCCATCAACCCATCACCTAGGTATGAGGTCCTGCATGCATTAGCTATTTGTCCTGATGGTCTCCTACACCCTGTCCCCCTGAGAGGCCCTGGTGTGTGTTGTTCCCCTCCATGTATCCACGTGTTTGTCCTGATGGTCTCCTACCCCCTGTCCCCCTGAGAGGCCCTGGTGTGTGTTGTCCCCCTCCATGTATCCACGTGTTTGTCCTGATGGTCTCCTACCCCCTGTCCCCCTGAGAGGCCCTGGTGTGTGTTGTCCCCCTCCATGTATCCACGTGTTTGTCCTGATGGTCTCCTACCCCTGTCCCCCTGAGAGGCCCTGGTGTGTGTTGTTCCCCTCCATGTACCCACGTGTTTGTCCTGATGGTCTCCTACCCCCTGTCCCCCTGAGAGGCCCTGGTGTGTGTTGTTCCCCTCCATGTACCCACGTGTTTGTCCTGATGGTCTCCTACCCCCTGTCCCGCTGAGAGGCCCTGGTGTGTGTTGTTCCCCTCCATGTACCCACGTGTTTGTCCTGATGGTCTCCTACCCCCTGTCCCGCTGAGAGGCCCTGGTGTGTGTTGTTCCCCTCCATGTACCCACGTGTTTGTCCTGATGGTCTCCTACCCCCTGTCCCCCTGAGAGGCCCTGGTGTGTGTTGTTCCCCTCCATGTACCCACGTGTTTGTCCTGATGGTCTCCTACCCCTGTCCCCCTGAGAGGCCCTGGTGTGTGTTGTTCCCCTCCATGTACCCACGTGTTTGTCCTGATGGTCTCCTACCCCCTGTCCCCCTGAGAGGCCCTGGTGTGTGTTGTTCCCCTCCATGTATCCACGTGTTTGTCCTGATGGTCTCCTACCCCCTGTCCCCCTGAGAGGCCCTGGTGTGTGTTGTTCCCCTCCATGTACCCACGTGTTTGTCCTGATGGTCTCCTACCCCCTGTCCCGCTGAGAGGTCCTGGTGTGTGTTGTTCCCCTCCATGTACCCACGTGTTTGTCCTGATGGTCTCCTACCCCCTGTCCCGCTGAGAGGCCCTGGTGTGTGTTGTTCCCCTCCATGTATCCACGTGTTTGTCCTGATGGTCTCCTACCCCCTGTCCCCCTGAGAGGCCCTGGTGTGTGTTGTTCCCCTCCATGTACCCACGTGTTTGTCCTGATGGTCTCCTACCCCCTGTCCCCCTGAGAGGCCCTGGTGTGTGTTGTTCCCCTCCATGTATCCACGTGTTTGTCTTGATGGTCTCCTACCCCCTGTCCCCCTGAGAGGCCCTGGTGTGTGTTGTTCCCCTCCATGTACCCACGTGTTTGTCCTGATGATCTCCTACCCCCTGTCCCGCTGAGAGGCCCTGGTGTGTGTTGTTCCCCTCCATGTACCCACGTGTTTGTCCTGATGGTCTCCTACCCCCTGTCCCGCTGAGAGGCCCTGGTGTGTGTTGTTCCCCTCCATGTACCCACGTGTTTGTCCTGATGGTCTCCTACCCCCTGTCCCCCTGAGAGGCCCTGGTGTGTGTTGTTCCCCTCCATGTACCCACGTGTTTGTCCTGATGGTCTCCTACCCCCTGTCCCGCTGAGAGGCCCTGGTGTGTGTTGTTCCCCTCCATGTACCCACGTGTTTGTCCTGATGGTCTCCTACCCCCTGTCCCGCTGAGAGGCCCTGGTGTGTGTTGTTCCCCTCCATGTACCCACGTGTTTGTCCTGATGGTCTCCTACCCCCTGTCCCCCTGAGAGGCCCTGGTGTGTGTTGTTCCCCTCCATGTACCCACTTGTTTGTCCTGATGGTCTCCTACCCCCTGTCCCCCTGAGAGGCCCTGGTGTGTGTTGTTCCCCTCCATGTATCCACGTGTTTGTCCTGATGGTCTCCTACCCCCTGTCCCCCTGAGAGGCCCTGGTGTGTGTTGTTCCCCTCCATGTACCCACGTGTTTGTCCTGATGGTCTCCTTCCCCCTGTCCCCCTGAGAGGCCCTGGTGTGTGTTGTTCCCCTCCATGTATCCACGTGTTTGTCCTGATGGTCTCCTACCCCCTGTCCCCCTGAGAGGCCCTGGTGTGTGTTGTTCCCCTCCATGTATCCATGTGTTTGCTCTCATTGTTCAACTCCCTCTTACGACTGAGAACATGTGGTGTTTGGTTTTCTGTTCCTGTGTTAGTTTGCTGAGGGTGATGGCTTCCAGCTTCATCCATGTCCCTGCAAAGAACATGATCTCATTTATTTTAACGGCTGCATAGTATTCCATGGTGAATATATATCACATTTTCTTTATCCAATATATCATTGATGGGCATTTGGGTTGATTCCATGTATTTTCTATCGTAAATAGTGCTGCAATAAACATATGTGTGCATGTATATGTATGTGTGTGTGTATATATATGTAGTTATAATATGTATATATATGTGTATATATATGTGTGTATATATATACACATATATATACATTTACATATATAATATCTGTATATATGTATATATATGTGTATATATATGTATGTATATGTATATATATATATTTTTTTGAGATGGAGTTTTGCTCTTGTTGCCCAGGCTGGAGTGCAATGGTATGATCTTGGCTCACTTTGACCTCTGCCTCCTGGGTTCCAGCGATTCTCCTGCCTCAGCCTCCAAAGTAGCTGGTATTACAGGTGTGCACCACTATACCTGGCTAATTTTTGTATTTTTAGTAGAGATGGAGTTTCCCCATGTTGGCTAGGCTGGTCTCAAACTCCTGTCCTCAGGTTATCCACCCGCCTTGGCCTCCCAAAGTGCTGGGATTACAGGTGTGAGCCACTGCACCCAGCCCTGTGCATGTATCTTTATAATAGAATGATTTATATTCCTTTGGGCATATATCCAGTAAAGGGATTGCTGGGGCAAATGGCATTTCTGGTTGTAGATCTTTGAGGAATTTTCACACTGCCTTCCACAGTGAATGAACTAATTTACATTCCCACAAACAGTGTAAAAACATTCCTATTTCTCCACAGCCTTACCAGCAACTGTTGTTTCTGGAGTTTTTGATAATCACCATTAAGACTGGTTTGAGATAGTATCTCATTGTGGTTTTGAGTTGCATTTCTCTAATGATCAGTGATTTGAGCTTTTTTTCATATGTTTGTTGGCCACATCCATGTCTTCTTTTGAGAATTGTCTGTTCATGTCCTTTGGCCAATTTTTGATGTTTTTTTTTTTTATTGTAAATTTAAGTTCTCCATAGGAGCAGGTGCTCTAATTGCTTGGAGGTCTGCCTATGTGTGGAGATGAGAGGGCCTCACTGCACTATAATCTCAGCACAGGAAGGTTGGGGAAGCTCAGGCTGCTGATCCAGTCAAGTGGGTACTCCACATACCTGGAAATCTGCCTGGCCATAGACTGGAGAGGGCCCCACTGCACCACAACCTATGTTTATAAACGGTGGGGTAGCTCAGGATGCTGGTCCAGGTAGACAGGTGCTCCAATGCCTGAATTTCTGCCTGGGGGTGAAGCAGAGAAAGCCCTGCTGTATCACATTCTCAGGGGAACAGGCTGGGGCACCCAGCAATGACACCTGCAGACTGGTTGTAGGTCTCCAAGCTGGCCCTGGCTGCAAGTTTCATCACCTGGGAGAAATTACAGCTGTAGCAGCTTTTCTGTTGCCCTGAGGCTGCGATGGGGGAAAGCACAATTCCAGCACATACTGCTGAGGTGTTTTCCACAATATGGCTGTGAAGGTCCCTACCAAGCCCCAAAGCAGTTGTTCCAATCTTTGGCCTGAGACTAAAATGCCTGTGCAGGCATTCTGCTGGGTCACAAAAAGAAAAAAAAAAGCTGACTTTGCATGCATCCAGATTGAAAATGGCATCTTGCTCTTACTTCCTGGTCTGGGAAAATGTCTGCAGCTGTTCCCAGTGTCTTTGCTTCACAGCATCTCCAAGCCTCTCCCCATGTTGACTCCAGGCCTTGGGAGAAACAAAATGCAACAACTTGGCTGGGGTTGCTCAGATTCACAGTGAAAATGTCAGTTACAGAGGGAGGCTCTCTGCCTCTCTCACATACTAGGACTTCGCTCACTTTTATAAGCTGGTTGCTGTCATGTTGACTGTTTGCTCACATTCTCCTTCTTGGGATCTATGATGTCCTTCATGATTCTGGTGGATTCCCATTTTCCTTCTTGACTTAGAGCTCACAGAGTTGACCTTTGTGCACTCTCTTGCTATTTCTAAGTGGCCGAGGCATACTAAAAGCCTCTAATTTATCATCTTTGGAAAAAAACAAAACAGGGAAGTTTGCTTTTGCAAATTGTTGTTTGTGGGGGTCTGTCCTGCAGACCCCAGCTGCACGAGGGATGAATAATGTACTCAGACACCAATTATTCAGTGAAAGAGCCGCTAGGGGGCTGGGCCGTGCACAGAAAGAGTTCTGGCAGCCACCAGCCCTGACTAGCTAGCCCTGCCAGCATTTATTGAAAAAACATTAAATGACAGGGGCTTTTAGTCAACACAAATAGAGGGTAATTAACCTGGTCACCCTCCCCCGAGAGAGAGCCATCCTGCCTGTGAATGATCAAAGGTTGGCTTCAGGACCACATGAGTAAACAAGTTATTTAGATAAACTCCCTTACATTCCTTTGCACCTACTTTAAGCTATTTACTCAAGGAAGGATTAGGCCGCCTTCATTCAGATCTATTACTGAAGCTATACAACACCCCCAGCCTTCCATGAAGGTTTGTGTCGATTTCTTATAACTATCTTTAAAATTTTTCCCACCAGCCTGACTGAACTCCCACAGTTGTTGCTACTTTTTGAAATTGAAATACTTCTAGGAAGACTGATTAAGAACAATATAGAGAAAAGACATATTTTTCAAACTCCTGATGAAGAAGAAACATCCGTATTAATATATAGCTAATAAAAAGATAAGAGATGTTGTGGAAAACTTCATACAAGGGTGCCCACTCTCAGAACTTCTATTCAACATAGTACTGGATGTCCTAGCCAGAGCAATTAGGCAAAAGAAAGAAATAAAAGGCATGAAAATTGGAAAGGAAGAAGTTAAATTGTTTCTGTTTGCAGTTGACATGATCTTATATATAGAAAACACCAATAACTCTGCCAAAAAATTTAGAATTCATAAATGAATTTAGTAAAGTTGCAGGATACAATGTGAACATACAAAATTCAGTAGCATTTCTACACATCAACAACAAACTATACAAAAAAAGAAATCAAGAAAACAATCCTATTTATAATAGCAACAAAAAATACTTAGATGTAAATTTAAACAAAGAGGTGAATGATCTTTACACTGAAAACTACAAAACATTGATGAAAACAATTGAAGAAGCCACAAATAAATGGAAAGATATATCATGTTCATGGATTGGAAAAAGTAATATGTTTGAAATGTCCATACTATCCAAAGTGATGTACATATTGAATGCAATCTCTATCAAAATTCCTATGACATTTTCCCACAGAAATAGAAAAACAACTCTCAAATCTGTATGGAATCACAAAAAACTCTGAAAAGCCAAAATAATCTTGATCGAAAAAAGCAAGGCAGGAGATATCACATTACCTGACTTCAAATTATACTACATAGCTATAGCAATGGAAACACCATGGTACTGGCATAAACGCAGACACATAGACCAATTACACAGAATAAAGAGCCCATAAATAAATCTACATATTATAGTCAATTGACTTTCAACAAAGGTGCCAGGAACACACATGGGGAAAGAACAGTCTCTTCAAAAAATGGTGTTGAGAAAACTGAATGTCCACAAGATTGATCTTAGGCCCTTATTTCATACCATATAAAAATATAAATTCAAAATAAGTTAGACTTAAATGTAAGACCTAGCACTATAGAACTCCTGGAAGAAAACAGGGGAATAACTCCAAGACATTGGTTTGGGCAATAATATTTTATGATATTACTCTAAAGCACAGGCAAGAAAAGCAACAAAACACAAATGGAATAGCATCAACCTAAAAAGCTTCTGCACAGCAAAAGAAAGTCAACAGAGTGAAGTGATAACCTACAAAATGGGAGAAATTATCTGCAAACTATACATTTGATAAGAGGCTAATGTCCAAAATATCTTAGGAACTCAAACAACACAATAATAAGAAAACAAGGAACCCTAATGAAAAATTGACAAAGGATCTAAATAGACATTTCTCAAAAGAAGACATACAAATGGCCAACAGATATATAAAAATGCTAATTATCACTGATCATCAGAGAAATGCATATTAAAACTACAATAAAATGCCATTTCACATCCGTTAGAATGGCTGTTACAGAAAAGGCAGAAGATACCAAGTGTTGGAGAGGATGTGGAGAAAAGGAAAACCTTGTAATTGTTGAGAATGTAAACTATTTCAGCCATTGTAAAAGACAGTATAAATGATTCTGTAAAAATAGAATTACCGTATGATTCAGTAATGCTATTTCTGGGCATATATTAAAAAGATATCAAATCAGTGTGTCAATGAGTTATCTGTACTCCCATATTTATTGTAGCATTATTCACAACAGCCAAGATGTGGAATTAACTTAAGTATCCATCGACACATGAGTGGATGAAGAAAATGTGGTACACATACACAATAGAATAGTATACAACCTTAAAAAATAAAAAAAGTATCATTTGTGACAACATGAATGAACCGGGAGGACATTATACTGAGTAAAATAATCCAGGCACAGAAAGCCAGATACTGCATAATCTCACTTGTATGTGGAGGTCTAAGAAGGCTGAACACATAGAAGTACAGAGTAGAATGATGGTTACCAGGAGGATTGGGTAGATGTTGGTCAAAGGGTACAAAATTGCATTGTACAGGAGGAATGAATTCAACAGATCTATTGTGCAATATGGTGACTATAGTGGATAACAATGTATTGTTTTTAAATTTAATTTTTGTGGGTACATAGCAGGTGTATACATTTATGGGGTACATGAAATATTTTGGTACAGGCATGCAATGTACAATAAGTACATAATGGAAAATTGGATATTCATCCCCTCAAGCATTTATTATTTGTGTTATAAACAATCCAATTATACTCTTTCAGTTATTTTTAAATGTATAATTGAATTTTAGACTGCAATCCCCCTGTTGTGCTATCAAATACTAGGTCTTATTAAATCTTTCTTTTTTTGTACCCATTAACCATCCCCCACCTCTCCCAACCCCCACTACCCTTCACAGCCTCTGGTATACTTCCTTCTACTCTCTATCTCCATGAGTTCAGTTGTTTGCTTTTTGGATTCCACATATAAGTGATAACACATAGTATTTGTCTTTTTGTGCCTGGCTTATTTCACTTAACATAATGACCTCCAGTTTCATCTATGTTGTTGCAAATGACAGGGTCTCATTCCTTTTTATGGCTGAATAATACTTCATTGTATATAAGTACCACATTTTCTTTATTCATTCATCTGTTGATGGACACTTAGGTTGACTCCATAACTTCGCTATTGTAAATAGTGCTGCAACAAATACGGGAGTGCAGATATCTCTTCGATATACTGATTTCTTTTTTGGGGGGTATATATGCAGCAGTGGGATTGCTGGACCACATGGTAGCTCTATTTTTACTTTTTTGAGGAGCCTTCAAACTGTTCTCCATAGGGGATGTACTTGTATTCTTCAAAATTGCTAAGAGTAGATTTTTAAGTGTTCTCATAAAAAAAGATAAGCATGTAAGGTAATGCATATGTTAGCTTAACATGGCTATTTTACAATGAATATATATTTCAAAACATATAATTTTATTTATCTGATAAAATAAATATAAAATATGAAACTTTATATTAATAAATTTGACAATCATAAGGAATGGTCAAGTTCCTATGAAAAATACCTACTTTTATGAAATGATCAGAAAAAAACTAGAAAAACTGAGTAGTTTTTTTTTCATTGTAGAAATTTTATTTAGAAAATTTTTTTTTCCTGTAGAAAGAACTCCAGGGCTAGGTGGATGCAATATTTAATAAAGAAATATTACCAAATATTTAATAAAGAAATAATGCCAATGTTACATGAATATTTTTAGAGAATTGGGAAGACATAACACTTTCCAACTTGTTTTATATGGTGGTACCTCCATGATAGTAAAACCATACAAGGATATTAAAAGAAATGAAATTACAGACTAATATACTACATAATAATTCTAAACAAAAATGTTTGCAAATATAATCCAACAATATACTCCAAAGAAAAATACATCATGACTAAGTGCAGTAATTTCAAGAATGTATGGTTTAAAATTAGAAAACCAAACAATGAAATTAACCACATTAACTGAATAAAAGAAAAAAATATGGTTATTTCAATAGCTGTGGGAAAAGCACTTGTTCACATTTGAAACTATTTGTAATAATAACAAACTAGGAATAGAAGAGAACTGATGTAAATATCTTAATATATACACAAAAACTACTCTCAACATTATAAATAATCATGACATATTAAACAGTTTCATTCTAACATGAGGAACAAGGTACACATGTCCAGCTCAACACTTTATTCATCATTAAAATAATACTGTGCAGTAAAATTAACAAGGAAAATTTTAAAAAGAACACAAAAGAAAACTACAAATCCTTATCCCTGATCAACACAGATGTAAAAATACTCAACAAAATTCTAGCAAACTGAAGCTAACAACACATCAAAAAGATAATTCATCATGATCAAGTGGGCTTTATTCCAGGGGTGCTTCAATGGTTCAAAATAGACAAATCAATAAACATGATTCACCACATAAATGGAACTGAGAACAAAAACCCTATGATCATCTCATTAGATGCAGAATAAGCATTTGATAAAATCCAACATCTGTTTATGATAAAAACCCTCAACAATATAGGTATAGATGGAGTATACCTCAAAAAATGAGTCATCTATGACAAAGCCACAGCCAACATCATCCTGGATGGGCAAAAGTTAGAAGTGTTGCTTCTAGAAACTGGAAAAAAGCAAGGATGTTCACCTTCATCATTCCTATTCAATACAGTACTGGAAGTGCTAGCCAGAACTATCAGAAAGGAGAAAGAAATAAAAGGTATACAAATTAGAAAAGAAGTCAAATGATCTCTGCTCACTGATGACATGACTGTAGGCCTAGAAAACCCTAAAGTCTTCAGAAGACTCCTAGACTTGATACACGACTTCAGTAAAGTCTTGGGATAAACAAGCCACAAAAATCAGTTGTATTTCTATACACCAAATACATTCAAGCTGTTTGAATGTTTGTTGAGATTAATTTGTTGAGAACCAAATTAAGAACTCAACTGAATTTACAATAGCCATGAAAAATACCTAGGAATGCATAACTATATAAATGAAAGATCTCTACAAGGAGAACTACAAAATACTAATGAAAGAAATTATAGATGACATAAACAAATGGAAAAACATCCCATGCTCATGGATTAGAAAAATCAATAGCTAAAGTGACCATATCACCCATACAATCTATAGAGTTAATGCAATTCCCATCAAATTACCAACGTTATTTCTCACAAAATTAAAAAAAAATCCTAAAGTTCACATGGAGCCAAAAAAATATCCCTAATAGCCAAAGCACTTCTAAGCAAAAAACAAAGCAAAACAAAACAAAGCCCCCAGAGCAAAAGACAAATATGGTTCCTACAAATGAAGACCAATGGTAATGCTTATCTGTTCGTGGTAGAAGTGTAAAGTGGTAGGATTGTTAAAAAAAATAGTGTAGCATTTCATGGTAATGTTGAATAACTCAATAATTTTACTTTTAAATATATACCCCAGAGGATATCTTGCACATATGAACCAGGTGATTTACAAAAGAATGTTCATAGCAGCATTGTTTGTAATGGTTAAAAACTGGAAAAATTTCAAGTGTTCATCAACAATAGATCTGAGGAATGAAGTCCGACATATTCATGTAGTGGAATATCATATAGCAATACGAATGGATGAATTACACCAACATTCAACAAGGTTGTAATATGCAAACTTATTATTGAATCAAGGTGAAAGTACCTTCTGATAAAGGTGAAAGAACTTCTACAAAATAATTTCATTTATATAAGTTTCAAAGAACCAAACTAAATAATGCATCACTTGAGAACCATTAAAGTCTATTAAAAAACACATACAATGCAATGGAAGGACAGTGGTCATATCCAGCAGGAAATAAAGGAGAACACAATTGGCAAGGAGCACCCAATGGGCGTCTAAGGCACTAGTAAAGTTCTATTTTGTTTCCAATCCTCCAAGACATCTAGTTTTTTTATTTTTCTGAGACATGGTGGCCCAGGCTGGAGTACGATAGTGTGATCTTGGCTCACTGCAACCTGTGTCCTGGGCTTAAGTGATCCTCCCACCTCGGCCTCCCAAAGTACTGGGATTACAGGTGTGAGCCACCATGGCCGGCAAATGTTCTATTTCATATCCTGTATGGTGGACACATAGATGTTCTCTTTTTTATTATTCCTTGAACACTAAGTATATGTTTATTTATATTCTCTGTGGAATACCTCCTTATTTCTCAGTCAATTCAGGATACCTCCTTACCCCCATCCCCTTTTTACTTTTCGTCACGTCATATAGTTTCTGAAATATAGAAAAGCTTACATATTATCCTGTCATCAAAGCGGCATGGAGGCATTTGGTAGAATAAATATTATTTGTTGATTATTCATCCTTTCCTTTCACTTTACAGAGTCAATCAAACACCAGGTCATGTTAATTTTACTGTCACGCACATATCTTGAATTTGCCTCCTTATCTCTATTTCCACTATTCAGTTCAGACCTTGATAATCACTCATCTGCATTGTAGTTGCATTTTTCTAATTATTCTGTTTCTAGTCTTGTTCTAAAATCTTTTTTCCTCCCACAATGCAGCTAGAGTGGTCAATTTAAAGCATCATCTATCTCAAGAACAAAAAACCAAACACCGCATGTTTTCACTCATAGGTGGGACTTGAACAATGAGAACACTTGGACACAGGAAGGGGAATATCACACACCGCGGCCTGTTGTGGGGTGGGGGGAGAGGGGAGGGATAGCATTAGGAGATATACCTAATGTAAATGATGAGTTAATGGGTGCAGCACACCAACACGGCACATGTATACATATGTAACCTGCACGTTGTGCACATGTACCCTAGAACTTAAAGTATAATAAAAATAAATATTAAAAAAAGAAGCATCATCTTTATTAAAACATTTAACGGTCCTACTATTCCTTATGCTATAAATTTCTTATAATTTAATAAATATTTTTCCATAATTGTGACTCTCTTCTATAGCTCTTGTTACTCCCGATATTCTTCTAATTATCAGGCAGCAGTACAAAGCTGCTTACACCTCTTTACACATCTCTTTATTTTAGGCCTCCTTGCATTTGCTCATGCTGTTCCTTTTTGTTTGAAAAACTTACACATTTCTTCATTTGGTTAATCCTTGCACACTTTCAAGATTCATTTGAGGCCTCATTGACTTTGGAAACCTTCCTTGTAATCTTGTATTATTAATTTATCTTAGTTTTCACTTATTAGCTCTTATTAGATTACTGTCCTTACGTGTGTAACTCTCCCACTAGACAGTAAGCTTTTGGACGGCAGAGATGATGTCTCATTCATCTTTGCATCTTTAGCGCCCAGCCTGGTTTCTGGTTTCCTATAGTCACTCAGTGTTGAGCTAAACCATATTTTTGGAGCAATGACTTGACAATGCAGTATCATGATGGAACTATCACAGATGGACAGAATGAGTCTCTTGATTCCTACATTTATTTTTCTATTGATATAGCTGATTTAAAAAGAAACCTGTTAATTATATAATCATGTAATTACCCTGACATAACATCAAACTCCATAAATTACTTTCCATCTCTGCCTCTCTCTCTTTCTATATATATAACATATACATGTTACAAAAATGCACAGGGAATAAATATGAGCAAAATGGTAAGAAGTGCAGGTCCTAGGTCAGATTTCTTGCATTTAGTTGCAGGCTACACCAACTTTAGAGAAAAGATTTAGTGAAAAATAAAAATGAATCATTAATACACCACTTGGCACAGATAAGTTATTCAGTAAACATTAACATATGTGCATTTATGTTTAACCATGGGTTTAAGTGATTATCCAGAAATCTCCCTCTCTTTGACTATGTTTGAATATTAGATACTTCTTAATTTATCTTTGCTCTGAATTTGTTTTTTTTCACTCGTTGTATACTCATGGACCATTTTATGTGTTTCAGGAATTGATATTTTATTTAAAAACTGTTACTATAGAAAATTAACTTTTGGATAGTCCTGTTCAGACTAAAACTATCATTTGTAAGATCTGTATTACTGCAATCATTGGTGTTAATACTTTGCATTAATTAAAATTTTTTATGGACATATAATAAGTATTTCTCCCACCTTGATTTTTGTGGCTATCATTTTATTCATTCCATTGCTTTTTTCTCCCAGTTTGCTATGAGGAAGTTGATAAGTACGTAGGCAAAACGATAGATTGTTTTGGCAGCTTCAGTGTATTTAAGTGCCTGTGATGAGGCTATGGTTTATTTTTCTAATGTAGAATTCATAATGTAGAATAAATTTTAAAAACATAAATTTTATTCCTGCACATTGTGCACATGTACCCTAGAACTTAAAGTATGATAAAAATATACATATATAACAAATTAAAAACATAAATTTCTTTGCACAGCTTTTTCTTTCTGCTATTTTTATTCAATGATTATTTGCTTCCCTTGTTATTTAAGAGCTGACTTTTGGCTTCATGGCCAAAAATAAAATTCTTAGTAGGAGAAAGTAAATGTGATTTACTGATGAAGATGCCACCCCCAAGTGACCCATTAACCACTTTCCCTGCGTTACCCTGGGACAACCAAAGTGATTCCAGGAGACAATTCCCATGACAAGTGATTTCTGGCTGGCAATGCCAGGTCTCTGAAGTTCCACTTGGCCACTGCCCAAGAACAATTAGTGCCGTTAGTTAACTACCTTTACTATGACAGCATTTTGTGTAACTCTTTGCACAGGGGAGTTTTATGCAACAGACAGAAACTTTCTGAGTTGTTCTGATTGCCTGAAGATGCCCTGTTTTAGAGGAGCAAAATTTTCCCTGTTTACTGTGTTTCAGTGTTAAAAATATGAATGCATTGTCAGGATTAGCTCTGGCAATGGTAGTTAAATGCAGATATCCAGACAAAGGAGGTTATAGATTGGAGACTTTGTGCTACTTGATAATGAAGCCTTGGTTTTGATTTTATTTATTTTTAAGTTGAAAAACAAAACACACACACACAATACAAAACATGGCACAAAACAAACTTATAGTTTGATTTTTGTAAACATCCCTGTAATCATCACATAAGTCAAGATATAGGACTTTGCCAGCCCTGAAGCATGTGACTCTCCTCAACTGCAGCCACCTTTCTCCTGAAAAGTGACGATAAACATGACTGTTCCAGTAGAGGCGTCCTTGCATTTTCACGGCTGTGTCCTTCATGCATGCATTCCAAGACACTATGATTTAGTCTTGCCCA
Source organism: Homo sapiens (assembly GCF_000001405.40). Lineage (NCBI taxonomy): Eukaryota > Metazoa > Chordata > Mammalia > Primates > Hominidae > Homo > Homo sapiens. The sequence goes on along the minus strand of NC_000008.11, from coordinate 134,811 downwards.
TTTGTTTTCATTTGTCGTGTTTTTAAAATCCCTTCTAACATACAGGTTTCTTTTCAAAGTTTTCTTTCCCATACAATATATTTGTTGAAAAATTTGGGATTTTTGTCACTTGGTGTCCACACTGTGAATTTTGCTGGTGAGACTCTCAGTGAAGATCGACATTTTCACTATCCTTTGCGTTTTATCCAAATGACAGTTGAATCCAGAGGTTTGACTAGGACACGTGCTTGATTCTATTTTTGGTAAGATTGTAGGTGATGGTGTGTTCATTCACCAGGAGGTTTAATTATGGCTTTTATCTTAGCACCTACTACTACTTTCTACTAACACCTGTTAATACAAAGAAAGTTAATATTTTCTACTAGCACCTGTTAATCCTCAATATGTACATGTAGGATATGTATAGACACACGTGTGTCTATGCATATAATATATAATAAGTACATATTATATATTTTTTAAGAGAAGGAAAGAGCATGTGAGAGAGCACATTGCTTATTTATGTTGATAATACTGATTCTAATGTAACTCAGTGGGCTGCTTCTTTCCTTGTCTTATTCCATATCTGTATCTCTGTCCTTTCACAGTGAGAATCTGGGGTTCTAGCAATACAAATATATTAATATTTACTCATTGGCTTAATCTTACAATGCACATACATTTGTTTCAGAATTGTTATATTTATACTAATATAAAAAGAAAAAATCCTATCATGAAGATTTAATAATTTTTTGCAGATATTTTATTTTTTCAAGCAATAGTATGTAGTCAAAGTATGTTCAAAAGTCAATTTGAAATAAGAGAACAGTCAAAAATTAATCAGATTAATTATTATTTTCCCCTTAAGTTTGATTATGTCATTCATTCATTTGAAATATATTTGGATTCACTTGTTTCTCATTGCATTCGGTTTTAGAGTCTTGTAATAACTTATCTTTGCTTGCTTAATATCACACTTTGAGAGTGTAAAAGATTAACTTAATTAAAAATGTACAATTATGCACAAAAGCATTCACAGAGCAATATCCCATTCTCCCATATTTCTTTCACCAAATTCGCCTCTAATTCTTTATAGATAATACATGTTTTCAGATTCTGGTACATTTTGGCTACATTTGTTTGTTTCATGCTTGTATTTTTGGTGTATTATCTAAGAATGCATTGCCAATCCACAGCAATGTTTTATTTCCATGTTTTCTTCTAAGCATGTATGGTTTTCACTCGTATATTTACATTATTGATCCAATCTAGATTTTGTATATAATGTGAGGTAGGGGTCCAGCTTCATTTTTTTTGCATATGAATATTCAGTATTCCCAGCACTTTTTGTTGAAAAAGCTATTATTCCCCACTGAATAATGTTGGCTCCCTTGTAAAAAAAAAGTCAGCTGAATAGAGATGTTTTGCTTAGTCTATGTAAAAGTATATTAATTTTATTGATATTTTAAAAGAACCAACTTTTAGTTTTGTTGATCTCTGTATAATTTTTTAATTCTCAATTTCATTTATCTCTGCTCTAATCTTTATTTCCTTCCTTCTGCTAGCTCTGGATTTTGTTTGCTCTTCCTTTTATGATTTATTGAGTAAAGTTTGGTTATTGATTTGACATGTTTCTTTTTTAAAATGTAGGTGTTACAACTCTGAGCACTGCTTTTGATATATCACACCCATCTTGTTATATCTTTGTTTTCAATCGTCTCTAAACATTTTCTAATTTCCCTCATGATTTGTTCTTTGATTCATTGGTTGGTAAATACTGTGTTGTTTAATTTCCAAATATTTGTAAATTTTCTAGTTTTTCTTTTGTTATTGATATCTTATTTCATTCCATTGTGGTCAGTGAAGATACTTTGCATGATTTCAATCTTTTTAAGTTTATTGAGCTTATCTTATGGCCTAACATATCATCTGTGCTGGAGAATGTTCCATGTTCACTTGAGAAGAATGTGTATTCTGCAGTTTTTGAGAGAAGTGTTATCTATAGTTATTGCTTATAGTTTTATTCAAATCCTCTAATTCCTCCCTTGATATTTGCTCTGGATGTTTTGTCCTTTATTAAAGTTGGGTTTTAAAATGCCCAACAATTTTCGTGGAATTGTCTGTCTCTCCCTTTAATTCTCTCAATGGTTACATTATATATTTTGGAGCCCTGTTAGTTGGTGTACATATATTTATGATTGTTATATCTTCTTGTTTAATTTTGAAATCAATATATACTGTTCTTTGTATTTTGTAACAGTTTTTGACTTAAAGTCTATTTTGTCTGATATAAGTATATTTGCCTCAGATCTCCTTTGGTTATTACTTACATGGAATATTTTCTCCCATCCTTTCATTTCAACTCATTGTGTATTTTGATCTAAAGTGAGTATCTTGTGGACAATATAGTTGGATCATTTTTTAAAAATCCATTCTGTCAATCTCTTTCTTTGGATTGGAGAGTTTAATTCATTTGTATTTAATGTAATTACTGATAAAGAGGGGCTTACTCCTACCATTTTGCTTTTGTTTTCTGTATGTCTTATACCTCCTTTGTTCCTAATTTCCTCAATTATCGCCTTCTTTTGTGTTTAGTTGCTATTTTGTAGCATATCACTGTGTTTACCCTCTGCTTTCCTTTTCTGTATTTTCAAAAGATATTAACTTAGTGGTTACCATGGGGATTTACAATTAACATTCTTAATTTGGAACAATTTAGAATAAATTGAAACAACTTCAATAGTATACAAAATCTCTATTATTATTTAGTTTCCTATGAATTTCTTTATGTTGGTAATTTCACAAACCACATCTTTATACATCATGCTTCATTAACATAGATTTATAGTCATTATTTTACACATTTGTTTTAAAACATATAGAATATTTAAAAAGACTTACAAAAAATATGATAATTGCTTTTATATTTACCTATGTAGTTATCCTTACTGGAGTTATTTCTTTATGTGGTTTTGAGTTACTTTCTAGTGTTTTTTAGTTTGTATCTGAAGGAGTCTTTTTTTTTAAAAGTGTATCTTGAAGTACAGCCTACCAAACATGAACTTTTAAAGCTTGCTTGCTTTTCTTTCTTTCTTTTCTTTCTTTTTCTTTCTTTCTTTCTTTCTTTCTTTCTTTCTTTCTTTCTTTCTTTCTTTTTCTTTCTTTCTTTCTTTCTTTTTCTTTCTCTCCCTTTCTTTCTCTCTCTTCTTTCTTTCTTTCTCTTTCTCTCTCTCTTTTTTTTTTTAATCTGGGAATGTGTAATTTATCCTTAATACTTGAAGGGGCATCTTCCAAGTTACAGAATTTTTGGTTGACAGTGTTTTTTTCTTTCAGAACTTTAAAATGTCATTCTAAGCTCTTCTGGCACCCATGGTTTATAATGAGCTCTCTGCTGTCAAACTTACTGAGGATCCTTTGTAAATGATGCATTGCCTTTTTCCTAAGCTCTTCTGGCATCCATGGATTATAATGCACTATCTGCTGTCAAACTTATTGAGGATCCTTTGTAAATGACGCGTTGCCTTTCTCTTGCTGCTTTCAAACATTCGCTTTGCCTTTTGACAATTTGAAACATAGTGTGTCTTGGTGTGAATATCTTTGTATATTTCCTTGATGAAGTGCACTGAGCTTTTTGAATGTATATATTTGTTTTTAGTGAAATTTGGGAAGCTTTCAAACACATTTCTTCAAATAGTCTTCCTGCCCCTCACTCCCCACCAGGATTCTGTATGTAGGCATTCTTGATGTTGTTACACAGGTCTTTAGGCTCTATTCTTTTTTGTTGTCATTCTTTCATTTTCCTGCTCTTCAGACTGAATCATTTCACTTGATCTATCAAGTTCACTGATTCTTTTTTCCAGCTGCTCAAATCTTCTATTGGAACCCTAAGTAAAAAGTAACTTTTTAATTAGTTATTGTACTTTTCAGCCTCAGAATTTTTTTGTACCTTTTAAAAAATTCATATTTCTTATTTATTTATATGTCATTCTCTTGGGTTTCTTTAGCTCTTTAAGTTTATTTAAGACAGTTATATAAAGTTTTTGTCTAATATTTCCAATATCTGCTTACTCAGGGAGAGTCTCATTTATTTCTTCTGTAAATGGGCCATAGTTTTGTGTTTATTTGCATGCTTCTTAATTTTTGTTGAAAACTGGACATTTTGGATATTATAATGTGTTTATTCTGGAAACCAAATTTTTCCCTTCTTCAAGGTTATTTTTGTTACCCACTGTGGGATGTAGTTTTTATTTGTTTAGTAACTTTTGTAAACTGGTTTTGTAATATCTGCATTCTTTTTTATGTTTGATGTTTGAAGGCGGCTCGGTTCCTTTAGCTTGTGTTCATTTAGCATTTAGTGATTTAAAAATGATTTCCTTGACTGCAAGGAGCCAAAAAAGAAAAAAATATGAAAAACATCTCCCAGACTTTGCTTACTGACTCTGTATTGGGGCTCCCTCAACACTTAGTGGAGCCATATATAATTCTGCCTTAGCCTTCATTTTTTCTTGCTGTGAGCCTAGGAATTACTAAAGGTGAGTTATTAGTGTCTTCTCAGGCCTTTTCTGAGCATGTGTCCCACCTTGGCCATGCTTATGGATTTCCAAATTTTTCATTGTATGTAAGCACTTTTGAGTATTCGAATTTCCCAAAGGAACTTTCTCTCCTGCTTTTTCCTCAAGTTTTCAGTACAGTATATCTTGCCTCAATTGTAATATTTTGCCTCAAATGGCTGAGGGTTGTTAATTTGCCTTTGGATGATCTGATTTCTAAAGGTTTGGTGGAATTCTCTGTGAAAACATCTAAACCTAGTGTTTGTGTGTGTGTTATAATTCCATGACAACTGTATTTCTCTATGGAAATTGCTCACATAAGTGCTGTACTTCTTTTTTTTTTTTTTTGAAGTCAATTGTGGTGAATTGTATTTTTCTGGAAAATTACCCATTCCCTCTAGCTTTCAATGTTTTTCATAGATGTGAACAACATTGTTTTTAATGATTTTTTATTTGCTGATTATCAATAGTTATTTCTCTCACCATTCCTTATTCATTTTTGTGCTTTCTCTTTTTTTATTCATGATTAAAAGATCTAATTTTTTGTCAACTTTGTTGATTTGTTTAAAGAACAAGATTTTTGGTTTACTGATTTGATCTGTTTTTTGGCTTCTTATTTTATTAATTTTCACTTTTTTCTACTATGGGTTCTTTCTTGTACTTTCTGCTTACTCTTTTAGATACTTTTTACATTTTTCAGCTGATAATTTAATTCCTACACTTTTATTAATAAATGTGTTAAGGCTATAGATTTTCCTCTGATCACTGCTTTAACTATATCCCATATACAGATGCTCCTTGATGTATGATGAAGTTATGTCCCAACAAACCCCCGTAAACTGAAAATATCATAAGTTAAAAATGCATTTAGCACACCAAAAATTATAGGTTAGCCTAGCTTACTTTGAACATGCTCAGAACATTTAGATTAGACTTCATTGGTCAAAATAATCTAACAAAATGTCTAAATAAAGTATTGAATAACTGATATTTATTAAATATGGTACTGAAAATAAGAAACAGAATGGTTGTATGGGTACTCATCATTAATGTACATAGCTGAAATTACACAGGGCCTGAAGAATTTTTGAAGCATTGAGCTAAAGTTAATTGCTGAATGATGGGACTAATACTTTGACACAGTCAGTGTCTGTCTCTTCCGATGATGAGGGTTGAGAATAGCTGGTAGAAAGTATTGATGCTTGTTGATGGTAGGCAGGAATTATGTTCTTCAGGAAGATATCAATAATATTGATATCAGGAAGATATCAATAATGTCACAGATTATGCTTCATACTTGTCTTCCTGAGTCTTCTTTATCCCGAACACCCTGAGTTTTCGAATGGTTGACATGCCAGCTGGCTTTCTGCAGATGTACTTCTCGTGTGTAAATTTCCTTCTCTGTGAGGTATTCATATTGAACATGACCTCCAAGTGTGTTTGGGTCTGTGCAGAAGACAATAGGACTGCGATTTCTGATGATTAAAACCTGGATTGTATGTTACTGTGATCAGACCCTGAGACTGCGTTAGCAAGTTTTATAGCATCTGAGTCGCTCTGTTGGAGGAAAGTGCATGTGATGGGCATTTGCTTGCTTCCCCACCAGATTCTCTACCTTCACCCTTCCTGCAATATTCCCTAGGAAGCTGACCTCTGCTGAATGCAACACTCAGGTTCTCTGCTTCCTAGATTCTAGTTGAGTTTGGTCCATGGGAGGCCTTGGCAGAAATTTTGAGAGTAAGAGCAAATAATTACTTAACCATTAGAAAAAAATAACATGAATGTGTCCTTCTATCCATGGCCTCAGTTCCTGTTGGGGAGCCTCGGTGCCAATCCCTCGGTGCATCACCATTTCTAATTAGTTCCTGTTTTAGTCTGCTTTTGCGTGTGTGTGTGTGTGTGTGTGTGTGTGTGTGTGTTGTTATAAAGGAATACCAGAGGCTGAATAATTTTAAAGAAGAGAGGTTTATTTGGTTCACAGTTCTGAAGGTGTGCAAGAAGCATGGTGCCACCATTTGCTTCTGGTGAGGGCTTTAGTCTGTTTCCACTCATGGCAGAAGGGGAAGGGAAGCTGGCATGTGCAGAGATCACGTGGCAAGAGAGAGGGGTTTGTACCAGGCTCTTGTTAACAACCAGCTCTTGTGGGAATTAAGAGAGCTAGAACTAGGTAGGCACGGTGGCTTACGCCTGTAATCCCAGCACTTTGGGAGGCCGAGGCAGGTGGATCACCTGAGGTCAGGAGTTTGAGACCAGCCTGGCCAACATGGTGAAACCCCGTCTCTACTAAAAATACCAAAAATTAGCTGGGCATAGTGGTGGGTACCTGTAATCCTAGCTACTCTGGAGGCTGACACAGGAGAATGGGTTGAACCCGTGAGGTGGATGTTGCAGTGAGCCAAGATCGCACCACTACATTCCAACCTGGGCAGCAAGAGTGAAACTACATCTCAAAAAGAAAAAAAGAGCGAGCAAGAACTCACTTGGATGGCACCAAGACATTCGTGAGAGGTCCACACTCAGGACCAAAACACCTCCCATTAGGCCCCACCTCCAACAATGGGGATCACATTTCAACATGAGTTTGGAGTGGTCAAATATCCAAACCCTAGCAGTTCCCTTAACCCTGGAAAGAGACCCTTCATTAAACTCTTTCTGCTTAATCCTTTGAGAGTGCAACAATTTCCTGCTAGGACCCTGACGGATAGAGGGACCATACAGATCACTAAAATGCTGAGGAATTTTTCAAATGAACTGCACCCAACAGATCTCCCTGATTCTGAATATATCAAACTTTTATTTTTTATTTTATTTTATTTTATTTTTTGAGACGGAATCTCGCCCTGTCACCCAGGCTGGAGTGCAGTGGTGCGATCTCGGCTCCCTGCAACCTCCACCTCCTGGGTTCAAGCGATTCTCCTGCCTTAGCCTCCCGAGTAGCTGGGACTACAGGCATCCACCAGCAGGCCCGGCTAATTTTTTATTTTTAGTAGAGATGGGGTTTCACCATGTTGACCGGGCTGGTCTTCAACTCCTGACTTCATGATCCACCCACCTTGGCTTCCCTAAGTGCTTGGATTACAGGCGTGAGCCGCTGCACCCAGCCAAACTTAAAAAAAAAAACCCAAATAGTACTTTGAACTTCACCCGCAGGGAGTTATTCAAATTGGTTGTCAGCCAGTTATTTCAGGTTGTTGAGATCATCTGGCTCTTGATTTTATTAATCATCTTAGCCTTCCCTTTCAACAATTTGCCGACTTTGTGCAAATTTTATTAATATGTGATCTCTGTCTTTATCCATGGAGAGGCAGTATAGTATCATGAGGAAAAATAGACTTTGGAGTAGGCAGAAATTAGGTTTGAATTACTAGCCACGAGGCTTTGGGAACATTACTTAAACTCTATAAGCTTCAATTTCTTTATCTATAAGGTATAGATACCTTACCTTTATCTATACCTTATAGATACCTTTATCTATAAGGTATAGATCTTTATCTATAAAACCTGAAAGTTTTGGCATGAGTTTAGTAAAACTGTCTGTGAAGCCCTTGTGGACTGCTTGGTCCATGTAGGCATTTGATAAATGGTGGCTTTATATAGAGTAGGGAAATGCAAGCTATCTCAAAAAGAAATCAGGGAAATAAGAATGCCATCTGAAATCTGTCATATGAGAATGAAAGGAGCATAGACAGGTTTTGAGTGTGGGGTGAGGAGTAGGGGAGGGGAGGAGATAAGTGAACTGCCCCTCAGACTTCCAGGGAGGAGAAAAATGATGTCACTGGGAACTGCAGTCATTAGAAAAGATAGCAATCAAGCATTTCTTTCAGAGCCCTGTTCATCTTTCAGTGGCTTTGCTTCTCCAGATGCTTTTGCTCCTTCAATTATCTCTGCCTTCTCCCACCTCCTCTCCAACCATCTCTTCCCTTCCTTAATTCACAATTTTTCTCCCTCTTTTCAAGGCATAGTGCTTTGATTTATAAATTAGTTCTATGTTTCTGTTTTCTAATTTATTAGTTTCTGCTTTCTTATTTATTTATTTTGAGATGGAGTGTCACTCTGTTGCCCCAGTTGGAGTGCAGTGGCATGATCTTGGCTCACTGCAACCTCTGCCTCTCAGGTTCAAGAGATTCTCCTGCCTCAGCCTCCCAAGTAGCTGGAATTACAGGAGTGCGCAACCAAGCCTGGCTAGTTTTTGTATTTGTAGGAGAGACAAGATTTCACCATGTTGGCCAGGCTGGTCTGGAACTCCTGACCTCAGGTGATCTGCCTGCCTCAGCCTCCCAAAGTGCTGGGATTACAGATGTGAGTCACCGTGCCTAGCCTGCTTTCATATTTATTAACACATTATTTCCACTTTCCTAAGGATAGTTGTTGTTCAACCTTTACTAGCTTTTTTGTTGTTCATACTTAATACATTTATTTTTATTGTGCTATAGCTATTTCCCACATGTGATTTTTTTTTTTTTTTTTGAGATAGGATCTTGCTCTGTTGCTGAGGCTGGAGTGCAGTGATATGATCATGGCTTGCTGAAGCCCTGAACTCCTGAGGTTGGGTGATTCTCCCACCTTAGCCTCTCAAGTAGATGGGATTACAAGAAGTACCACTATACCTGGCTATTTAAAATTTTTTTTTGGCGTGTGTGGAGATGGAGTCTCCCTATGTTGTCCAGGCTGGTTGCGAACTCCTGGTCTCAAGTGATCCTGCCACCTTGGCATCTCAAAATGCTGGGATTACACATGTGTAATATTTTTATTGTCACTATTTTCCACATATTCTGGAAATTTTATTTGGATTTCTTTTTTTTTTTTTTTTGACAGAGTCTTGCTGTGTCACCTAGGCTGGAGTGCAGTGGTGCAATCTCAGCTCACTGCAACCTCCACCTTCTGGGTTCAAGGAATTCTCCTGCCTCAGCCTCCTAAGTAGCTGGGATTACAGGCATGCGCCACCAGGCCCAGCTAATTTTTGTATTTTTAGTAGAGACAGGGTGTCGCCATGTTGACGAGGCTGGTCTTGAACTCCTGACCTCAAGTGACCTGCCCACCTTGGCCTCCCAAAGTACTGGAATTACAGGCATGAGCCACTGTACCCGGCCTGGATTTCTTTTTGACATAGAATTATTTAAGAGAAAGCTTTTAAATTTCCATGCTGTAATTTCTAGTTTTGTTGTGTCATAATCAGAGAATATAATCTGTAGCATTTCTACATTCTCTACTTTGCTTAGATGTTTTTAGGGTGGGGTGTGTAATATGTACTGAATTTTGTAAACATTTTATGGACATACAAATTTCAATGTTTACTTTTTCAGGCTATAGGCTTTGCTACATAATCTTTGTGTATTTTTTGGTCCTCATATAGATTTTTTAATTACCTTTTTGCTGTGATAGAGATTAGAAGGGTAAATTAATGTCTCATTTACCATCATTTTTCTTTCTGTATCTCTTTTCATTTCCTGATGCTTTGGCTTTATGAAATCTTTATGTATAAAAATTGTGCACACATATCTTTATGCACAGTGTTTTGGATTTTACCCTTCATAATGAGCTTTTTTCTCTCCTTTGAATTTGACCTGGCCTGGTGTTAACAGCCCAGGTGTAAAATTCCAGTGAGAAAGAAGTCTGATGAGGAGTCAGTAGGATCTTTGTGTTGCTAAGAACTGCTCAGTAACACGGACAGCTCCCTGCACTCCAGGAAACATCCTGATTCAGTGTCTTGAGTATTGTGAAACACAGTTAGAGCAGAAACATGGAGAATCACCTTAAAATGGCAAATTGGCTTCTGGTCTTGCATAAGACTTCATTGAGGCCTAATGGGCTATGCAGGTCTACTGTCCAAAGTACAGAGGTTATTCCTAGTGTCTTTAATATTACTGTCCCTTTAGGCAAGAGTATCCTTATGATAAGGGAGACTGAATTAAGCTATTTTGGCTGAGGTATATTTTTATAAATTCATCCAATTAGCTTCCCTTGTTGTAGTTTTGGCTCACCAAACATTGTTCTGATTATAATTTAGCATCCCATATAATTTCATCTGCAGGGAGAGTCTGTACTAGGCATGGCGATGCTTACATGTCAGCCCGTGTGACTGCAAGAGTCTCAGTATAATTTGATAACATGGCACTCAGATTCTAGACATTATTCTCTGTGTGCTTAGTGAGTGTGATGACATAACCTTCAGAAAGATTCATCCTTTCTCACATATTGATAAATCAACTTTTACATCTACAAAGTTGAGAGCCAGAAATTAAAACCTGATTAATTCACTAAGGCATCCCTATGACGGCAGTCTTCCAACTAGCTCCATTCTGGGGCACTCTGACATCATTATACACTTTCCAATGAAAGCAGGGAGTGTATGTGATTAAAGGGAGAGCCCTGTGGCACTCCTGAAAAATCTCCCCTCCCAGTTCACAGTGACTTATTAACCAACACTCATGATCATGTGAAACTCTGGATCTGGGTGCCTGGCAGGATGACATGGTGTGAGGCTCAAGCAGCACTGTGGGAATTCAAGCATCTGTTTATTTCTGAGAGAAAAAGTGTAAAGCAAAATAATATCTTTTAACAAATGTTTGTATTTGACTAAAAAGGAAGCAAGCACTTAATTTATGAATTTGCTAATTGCTCTTCTGAGCTGAGAATATCTGTGTTGAATATTAGTCATTATCCATATTTGGCACAGAATAATCCCGAGGGCTAAATGACATTGTTCCTACAGTGGGCACCTGAAGACTGGCTATAAAAGCAATCCTGGCCAGGGGCGGTGGCTCACGCCTGTAATCCCAGCACTTTGGGAGGCCAACGTGGGTGGATCATGAGGTCAGGAGTTTGAGACCAGCGTGGCCAACATAGTGAAACCTCATCTCTACTAAAAATATAAAAAAATTATCTAGGCACGGTGGCAGACACCTGTAATCCCAGCTACTTGGGCGGCTGAGACAGGAGAATCACTTGAACCTGGGAGGCAGAAGTTGCAGTGAGTCAAGATTGCGCCAATGCACTCCAGCCCAGGCGACAGTGTGAGACTCTGTCCAAAAAAAAAAAAGAAGAAAAAAAGAGAAAGGAAAAAAAAAGGAAAAATAAATAAATAAGTAAATAAATAAATACATAAAAGCAACCCTAACACTACTGAGGCTATTGACAGTGGCACTTTGCTCTTCTGTTAGAACCTTGGGAAAATGTTTTCCCCCTGAATACAGTATAATAAACTTGGTTCTTATTTCTCTTTCTCTCCCCCTCCTTTTTTCTTCCCTCCCCACTACCACATGCACACACACAAATAGACAGATTTGTTTATATTTGACTTTCTAAAAACCTGTTACTAGAAAGGCACATTAATACATTTCTCCTGTGCTGATAGTAATCAGGCAACTCTGGTTTCTATCGGAGGCAATTTCTTACGTATTAAATGCCAGAAAAAGGGCATCCCTCCGTTTTTGTAGAGAGCCTTTCTTTATGAAGATTAATGACCACATTAGTTAGTCAGTCAGTCAATAATACTTACCAAATGTCAGTAGAGCCGAAGTGAACACCAACAGAAAATCACATTTTACAAATGCAATTTACTTGGTATCCTAACATGCCATGTCATAATAATTATTGAGGCTTTTCTTCTCTGCTGCATTGGTCTAATGAAAGTGGCTAGAAAAATATGGGTGCCCATGTAGCCTCCTGGAAGCACCTGTATGACTTTTCTAGAAGCGAGGTTCCTGGATAAAGATGAATTTTTAAAAGCTGGAATGAATGAGCAGCAATAGCAGAAGGAGAAAAGTGAGTGAGGGCTCTCCAAGAAGCCATCTGGCAGGCTAAGGGTTCTGAGGGAAGCTCTGGTTTCAGAAGCAACTCAGGAATTACTTCTGTCATATTAGGATGGGATGGTAGGAGATTGGGAACTCTAGGGACTAGAAGTCATTTAATTTCCTGTCTACAATCCTTAGAAGAGGTTTTGAGACTTGCAACCTAGGACCTTAACTAATCATCTTCCCTCAGCATTGATAGAATTCTTTATTATACATGTTAATATCAGATTAGTCAGGATGGGCTGGATTATGCTGTGTTAACAGCCATTCTCTAAATCTCTGTGGCTCAACAGGGAGCTCTGCCTGTCATGGTCACTTGGGACCCAGGCTTTGGGTATAAGGCTACAGCACATGGAAAACGTATGAATGTCTCTCAGATTCTTAAAGCTTCTGCTGGAAGTGACATGTCATTCTGCTCACAGTTCATTGGCTAAATGAGTCACGTGGCTCTCTCTAACTTCAAGGATGGTATGAAATTGCAATCCTACCATGTCTCTAGAAGGAGAACCAGCCCTAATCACAATGCTACATGTTTATAGCTTGCCTCATAGAGTTTACTGTATTCTCCTGGTATAATTTTCTTACATGCTCAACTGGAGAGGAAGCTCTTAAATAGAAAAAAATCACAGTAAATTTCCTTTAAAAGATCTATTTTACAACTCTGGCATGATGGAGCACAATGGAGTCCTTAGTAATGGACTCCATCTCTTCCATCAGATAAAATGTTGAGAACTGAAGTTAAAATTTGAATAATGAAACCAAAGGAAAAAAAATTAAATGAATTTTAAGACAATTGAGATAAGAACAACTGTGGCATCAGCATAATTCAATTTAATAATGTATTAAATATTTTGCAGAAAAGTGAAAACAAATTGATAGCCAAATCAATGCAGCATTAAGCCACCATGTGGTCTAATTTCTTGCTGAATTGACAAAACAAAACACTAGTTTAGTTATATAAACATGGCTGATGTTTATACAAACAACAGAATTTGCCGGTAGCATTATCACTGGAAAATAAGATGTGTACTTAATTCTTGTATGTTCTGAGCCCATCTAGGAAGAACATAAAAGACGAAGAACAAAGCAATCACAGGATGTTATCATGAAAATATCACCTTTGGCTGGAGTAAAGTTTTGGCTAAATGTGGCACTAGTATTTATTACAGCTCACCTTTTTATAATGAAGGGCTATGGACTGAACATTCTTATTATTTCCCATTTTCTTATCACTCTATCCCAACACACATGCACATGCATGCACACACGCACACACACTGGCACCCACACCCATGCATGTGGGACACACAGAGCAGCCCAGGCAATTTCAGTTGTTGGCAGCTTTGCTTTTATTAGGTATTAGTCTACCAACTTGCTTTCTCTTTAGAGAGACTAAGTGAAACCAAACTCATTTCCACCCAGTTATCCTGCTGGAACCTGTAACAGTTACTGTAATGTTAAAAGCAGTAAAACAAAATAAAAACCAGTCAGTTCACTTACTCCCGAAGTCCGCAGTTTGGTGTTCAGCTTTAAAACGTGCTCTGGGCGTCCTGTGGTGGCTACCAGAGGCTTTGGTGAGTCATTGTCAACCCAGTAGCTAGAGAAGTGCTGGAATGCCCCTGTTAAATACAGAGCCAGTTTGTCCTTCAGAATGGCTGCTTGAACGAATTTACTGCTCAACTCGAAAGGCCATTTTTTATAACCCACTGCAGTTGTGCTTCATGTGTTTCTCCACCTATCCTGTAAAGTGTATTGTGAAATTAATTTTGTAGATTTCCTCACACTGCAGTGACTAGGGAAATCACCCATTCATTATTATCTAATGAGGAGAAAGTGGAAACATCTAGAAGCACTGCTCCCATCCTCCTCCCCAGCCCACACAGACACCTACCTCAGGCCCTCCCTGTCCCAGGTGAGCAGAGGGCCCCACCTTCGGAGGTTGCCTCCCTTCCACCTTCACCAATCCTATGACCAGATTATCCCCAAGGAAATGTCAATCTCCAGGCAGCAAGGGAATCATATAAAGATAAGATCATTGAGAGATTTTTTTCCTCCGTGATTGGCAGTTTATATTTTCTTGGGTCTACAAATCTGACAGCATTTATTAAATTTTCTAGTTTGATACTGACCTCTGTCTGATGCTGGGCTGTCACCATGCCCAAGACTGAGGGGACCCACAGTCTAGCTAGAAGGCATGGATCAATTCCAACTGCCCTACCCCTAGCCTGTGTGCAGGAGAAAGCTCTCAGGCTCTGGCAGAGGAGTCCCAGGGGAAGGATGCATGATCTTCCACTGTGCCTCCCAGCCATGCTGAGCAGCAAAGCAGACCATGAGCAGGTCTCCCTTAAATTCATTTGCTTGATTTGTCCTTGAGTGTCCTTGGATGGGTTTGTTCCCTCCTTGTCCAGTATGTCTTGGTCATCCTGATTCCTGGGCTTGGCTCCCAGGTTGATTCTTTCCCTGACACAAAACAGACACTATGGGCAAAGACACCTGCAGCCTTGGAGAGACCAGTGATGCTGGATGTTTCCTGTTAGCACTCAGGAAAGCTCAGAGCTTTTGATGAGCATCTTTTGATCCATTAGTTAAAACCACGCTGGGTTCTTTATAGTGGTTAGTTAGCTCTGGGCTATGGGATTGTGGAAGACATTTATTTCTTCTTTGGATTCACCTGGATTTTCTGCAACGGACATGTATCGATAAAATACATGGTGCTTTTCAGAAATTGCCCCATCATCATGTTGCTGTTGTTGTTATTGATATTGTTGTTTCTGATGGATAGAGATCTAGGCCTGACACTCCAAGCAGTGTGAACAGCATTTACCTTGATAAGCATTCTTACATCTTAACCCTCAGGAATTTTAAATAGAAGTGTTCCGTGTGATTAAATTAACAGGTTTAGAGATGGGTGTCCTGGTTATTTCCTTTGTTCTCCTCCTGGTAGCTGCCTGCACTCACAGCGTGTTGGGAATGGTGATTATAAATGTAACCATGCTCTCTTCTTGTAAGTGGAGAGCCCAGGTACCTCTTATCCAGCATGTGACCCTCTTTCTACCTCAGGATAGTCATACTCTTAGGCTTCCTAGATTTATTCAGGGCCAAAGGAGTGGTCAAGGTCCTTTTTGTTTTGCCCTATTCCCTTTGGAAAACATTTAGTTTATGCCCATGTTACAGATTGCAAAATACAGGCACATATTCTCACTAATGTGGTCTGCATGTCCCTTTGCAAGGACATGCAATGTGACTTCACTACTCCTTTCATCAAGAAAAGGAGCCTCTTGGTCGGGCACGGTGGCTCACGCCTGTAATCCCAGCACTTTGGGAGGCCAAGGCAGGCAGATCACGAGGTCAGGAGATGGAGACCATCCTGCCTAACACAGTGAAACACAGTCTCTACCAAAAAATACAAAAAAAAAAAAAAAATTAGCCAGGCGTGGTGGTAGGTGCCTGTAGTCTCAGCTACTTGGGAGCCTGAGGCAGGGGAATGGCGTGAACCCAGGAGGCAGAGCTTGCAGTGAGCCTAGATCGCGCCACTGCACTCCAGCCTGGGCAACAGAGCAAGATTCTGACTCAAAAAAAAAAAAAAAAAAAAAAAGAAAAGAAAAGGAGCCTCTTTGCCTCTTTACCCTAATCTGGGCAAGCCTTGCAACCTGATTTGCCAAAAAAAATATGAAGGAAGCAATGTGATGTGATTTTCCAGGCTAGAATGTAAGAAGCCTTGGAGCTTCTGCATTTACTGTCTTCAGATGCTGCCTGAAACCACTGTAAGAAGCTCTAACCTACTGGAGGATAAGGGGTGAGCCCAAGAGCATCAAGGCTCCCATCAACAGCCAGTCCTGTGAGTGAGGCCATCTTGGACCTGCCAGCTCAGTAAACCCTTTTGCTGAACACAGCCCAAGGAAGGAACCCTTGCAAAATGAAATCATGTGGTCAGTTTGCAGGGTGGTTATTACACAGCAGTAGATGATTGAAAAGGCCCAGTGTCTTCCTGGGGACTGAAACACCCACCTCCTGTTCATGTTGATACGCGGTGAGCAGAATATGGATGTGGGAGTGGTGTTGGTTGCAGGTGAGGTAGAGAAGCACTGAACAGAGCACAAAGACCTGATGTTCCAGGGTCGGGAGTTTAGACTTGATCCTAACAGCGGCCATAGGCGGATTTAGGCAAGAGAGTAACGTGGTCAGATTTTCATTTTAGAAAGTTACTCTGACATCCATGTGGAGAATGAACTTGAAGGTCACAAGGCTGATGGAGCCAGGAAGACCATTTGGGAGGTGATCGTAGTAATCTACTTAAGAGTTCATTACGAGCTGGGGAATGGGGAGGTGTTAGAGAAGAGAAAATGGATTTGAAGAGCTGAGGGATGTTAAAAAGGCAAAACTGGGCCAGGGATGGTGGCTCACGCCTGTAATCCCAGCACTTTGGGAGGCCAAGGTGGGCAGATCATGAGGTCAAGAGATTGAGATCATCTGGGCCAATATGGTGAAATCCCCTCTCTACTAAAAATACAAAAATTATCTGGATGTAGTGGCACACACCTATAATCCCAGCTACTTGGGAAGCTGAGGCAGGAGAATCACTTGAACCCAGGCAGTGGAGGTTGCAGTGAGCTGAGATTGCACCACCGCACACCAGCCTGGTGACAGAGCAAGACTCCGTCTAAAAAAAAAAAAACAACGGAAAATTGTTGGGACTTGTAATTAATTGGGTGAGGAAACTGAGTGGCAAATGGTCTCAGCTCTACACATGGAGAGCCCTGGGGACATAGGGAGAGCACATTTGGAAGGAAAGATGATGATTTTAGTTCTTAAAATTTTGTTTGTGGAGGAGGCATTCAGACAGAGAATTCTGTTGGGCAGTTTTATGTAGAGAACTACATCTAAAGAGGTCAGAAGTGAACTTCAATAAAATTGAGGTGACCAATGATCATCAGTTTTAAAGAGGACATATTTTCTTTTTCTGTTAAAGGGAACACACCTATGAGTCAGAAAGCCAGACATTTATTTTTTCTCGCCAAAGGTTATTGTACAACCTACGGAAGAGAGTGTAAACACTGGTCTTTAAGATGAATTGTAAAGCTCTAAAGAGAATAAGAAAAATTGTGTTTCATGATTTATGATGGATAACATTTTAGAGTTGATTTCATAAGAGAATTCATTAAGCCAATAGACAACCATGGCATTTTAACTGTAGTGTTTAAGTATCTTTAGCTCTGATTTTTTAATTAGCAGAAGCAAATAAAGAGAGCTTCATTTTAACCATGAGAAATCTCTCTTCTGTATTTCATGTGACTAAATTTGTCCAGATGCTGAAGTTCAAATAATCACAGTGATTGCCAACATAATGGTTAATTTTCTGAGAAGTAAGTTCATGCTTTGCCACAGTTTGCTCCCCTGTAAGATCAGACAGAAAAATAAGAATAAAACCGACTAATAGCTATTGATTGCTTCTGGAACAGCTATCAATATAAAGAGCCAGACAAAACACATAATAAAGAATTGTGTTAGTGCCAGAGAGACTTTAGAGATCATTTGCCCATCTCTTTACCTTCTCCCACTTCTTTCTGTCCCTCCACCCCACCAGCTCTGATACAGACACACAGGATATTAGTAAAGGATAGTATTTGTTGAGAGCCTTTTGCATGTCAGGCACTGCTTCTAAACGTTATATAATACCAGCTCATTCAATCTTCAAATCAATGCTATACAGTAGGTACTCTTCTTCTTTTTTTTTTTTTTAAATTTTACAGCTGAGGGACTGAGGTATGGAGAGGTTAGGTAACTTGTTCAAGGACACCAAGCCAGTCAGGCTGCCACTGGACCTAAGACAAGGTAACCTGGCTCTGAGACCAACCCCACAGAGAAGTATGTGGATGCTGACAACACTGTAGGAAGTTACAAGGAGCAAAAGAATAGCAGCCTCAGCCCTGAATTCCACTGTAAGCTTCCCTCTAATCTTCCCTGCCTCACTCTCAATCGAATAAAGAGCTGATCAGGAAGCAACTATGCACGGTCTTCCCCTCCACACCTCCAGCCCCAGCTCCCTTCCCCAGACTCAGTGCCAGCCTGTGCCAGCCCCCAAGATGGCAGTGTGGAGCCATGCACTAGGTCTGCCGTGCACCCAGCAGTCGGCTGTGGGTTCTTTGTATCTGTCAGAGTCCTGGCAGGAAATGGTTTCATTCTCAAAGGGTTAACTAGGAAGAATTTAGTGAAGGGTCAGTTTAGAAGGTTCAGGAACTAACGGAAAATGGTGAAGCACCCAGGGACTGGCACTGGAGCTTCCCCACAGGAGCTGAGGCCAGAGAAGTATACATCCATTGTTGTCTTAAAGAGTGGTTAACTATCTATTTGCTCTTACTTTCAACATTTCTGCTGGGGCCTTGCATTGAGCAAACTCAACTGTAATCTAGAGAGCAGGGACTCCTGAGTGGCACATTCAGTGGGAGTCAGCTTCCTAGGGAATCATTTATTTATTTATTATTTATTTATCAGAGTCTCACTCTGTAGCCCAGGCTGGAGTGCAGTGGTGCGATCTTGGCTCACTGCAACCTCTGCCTCCCGGGTCTCTGTTCAAGCAATTCTCCTGCCTCAGCCTCCTGAGTAGCTGGGATTACAGGCACGTGCCCCCATGCCCAGCTAATTTTTGTATTTTTAGTAGAGACTGGGTTTCACCATGTTGGCCAAGCTGGTCTTGAACTCCTGACCTTGTGATCTGACTGCCTCAGACTCCCAAATTGCTGGGCTTACAGGCATGAGCCACTGAGCCCTGCCTTCCTAGGGAATCTTGTAGGAAAGACAAAGGTAGAGAATCTGTCTGATGGCGGAAGCAAATGAATGCCCATCACATGCACTTTCCTCCAACAGAGCAACTCGGATGCTATGAAACAATGCTAAGTCAGTCTCAGTGTCTGTTGCAGTAATATTGTACATACTGTAGGTCTTAATCATAGGAAATTACATGCCCATTGCCCTGTGCATGGACCGGAGCGCACTTATGGGGGGCCGGTAGTCCTCCTTTCAGACATCTTTTTTTTCTCTGCCCCAACAAGTGGCCTTTCCATAGAAGACTGCCCAGAGAACCCTATGGCAACCCTACCCTCTTATTCCACTTTATTTTTCTTCAAAGTGTTTATTACTCCCTGTTGTTATGTTAGACTCTATATTTCTGTATTTGCTGTCCTCCAACTTGAAAAGAACCTCTGAGAGGGGAGGGACTTTCCTGGTCACATTCACTTGTCCCAGCACCTGCGATGGTGCCTGACATATCTCAGGGGCTCCTTAAATATTTATTGCTAGACAATGGGTATCATGGCTCAGCCTCCTCTGGGGTTACGAGGCTGGAGGAAAGAAACTTTAGCATGAGTGCAGTGAGAGTAAAAGAATTCAGCAGCTCTAATCAGGGAATGAATCTGGTGTGTAATAGGATCTCAAGGCTTGACTCCTAGTCTAAGACCATTTCTGGAGTTTGCTGACTTGATCCCCATCCTTCATCATTAGCACTTTGCAGGGAAGGAGCTGAGCGTGGATCTTGACTCTGAATTGGCTGGGGCATGCAAAATCGGGGGCACGCTTGGTGTTGCCCAGGCTCAGCTCTGCCTAGACACACGTGAGGGCCAAGATCTGGTTTGTGTTTCATGAGCTCTCCCACGATGAAGACCCAGCCAGGCTGTCTGAAGAAGGGGTGTTCTTGAGTAGGAGGGAAGGACTGCTCCAATACGAAAAATCTAACAATAGCATAGTCCTTAAGAGCTTGAGCTTTGAAGAGGGAGAACAGACCCATTTAAGGCATGAAAAATAAAGGAAACTCTTGAGTCCCTCCAAGGAAAATTCCAGCCACCTGGCTAGCCTCAAGAAGTAGATGAGCACCCTGATAAGTAAGAAGGTAATAATAGCTTAAAACAATAGTCAAGAAAATTAGAGCCACAAACTAATCTTAAATGACGAGTTAATGGGTGCAGCACACCAACATGGTACATGTATACATACGTAACATACCTGCACGTTGTGCACATGTACCCTAAAACTTAAAGTATAATTAAAAAAAAAAGAAAATTAGAGCCACAAAATGTTTGTTTCCCTATAGAAACTAGAGATAACATCTTAACATATGTCCCTGAGTTGTTTTGTAGAAACCCAGACCCCGCTAAATGGAAAATACCACCTGTTGGCTCGTAGATCTCAGATAAGGAGGAACTGAGGACTGAACACTCATAACTGTTCTTTGTTCTAAATTTCTTCCTGAGGGACCTGGAGGAAGTCACACCCACAGGCCAGAGCAGAACATTCCTTTCTGCTGACCCCAAGTTTGTAGCCAAAACTTAACCAATCACAAATCAGAAAATCTTTGGGTTTTTGTTTGTTTGTTTGAGACAGAGTCTCACTCTGCTGCCCAGGCTGGAGTGCAGTGGCACGATCTCAGCTCACTGAACCCTCTGCCTCCCACGTTCAAACGATTCTCATGCTTCAGCCTCCTGAGTAGCTGGGATTACAGGTGCACACCACCATGCCCAGATAATTTTTGTATTTTTAGTAGAGATGGTGTTTTGCCATGTTGGTCTGGCTGGTCTCAAACTCCTGGCCTCAAGTTATCCACCCACCTTGGCCTCCCAAAGCGCTGAGATTACAGGTGTGAACCACTGCACCTGGTCTCAAATCAGAAAATCTTTGAATTCATCTAATGGTCACCTATCCTGTGGGCCCTCACTTTGAGATATTTTGCCTTTTTTGGCGAAACCAATATGTAGCCTCCATGTATTGTATGACCTTGCCTGCAACCTCTGCCTTCCCACCTTTAAAAACCCTTACACATAAGCCATCAGGGAGATTAGGCCTTAAGGATTAGCTCCCTGATACTCCTTGCTTGCTGCCTGCAATAAATTCCTCAACTTGTGTCTCAGCAATGCCGATATCAGTGCTTGACTTTGATAGGCTGGGTGGGTGGACCCAAATTTGGTTTGGTGACCCTTTGAGCTTAGATTCAAAATTCTAGTTTTGTCACTCTGCAGTTTTGTGATCTTGAGCAAGTTACTTAACCTCTCTGAGCCTTGTTTGTCATGTGTAATGAAAAGAGCT
Organism: Homo sapiens; assembly: GCF_000001405.40. Taxonomy (NCBI): domain Eukaryota; kingdom Metazoa; phylum Chordata; class Mammalia; order Primates; family Hominidae; genus Homo; species Homo sapiens. The sequence goes on along the minus strand of NC_000008.11, from coordinate 113,417 downwards.
ATACTTACCTTGTGAGGTAGTCCTCAGGATTCAATGAGATAATAAGTACTCACTAAACAAAACTCGTTATTACAAAAGAATCACTTTGTCTCTGAAGTGGGCAATTCAACCCATTTCTAGGAGATTTTAAACATGATTTTAGATATTTGGTGTGATTTTGTGAATGGGTTTATCGTTAATAGCTTTCATGCTCCAGAATTTTCTTGAATAATAGGTTTTTGCAAAGTGCATTCCATGGAATACTCATTTGGGTGACGTTAATAGACATCACTCAAAAGCTGGGTGAATATTACAATGTTTACTTCATCTGTAACAAGCTGAGTAGCTACAGTACATATCTAAGAGGGGGCTCTAATTCTCAATATTTTCCAAATTTATTAGATCACAGACTTTTCTTTTAGTGAAGTGCTTAATGAAACTTAAGTTCTGTGAAAAGTACTTTGAGAAATATTGCTTTAAAAAGAAAAAGATTGAGCCCTGTATCAGGGGAAATATCTAATATTATATTAAACAAAAAAGTCCCACTGAAGAAAATCATCTTATTGTTCATAGACCTTAGTTTAGGTATTGGGGCCAAAGGATGGATGACCATTTCAAACGATCCAGGCTAAGCCAGGAGGAGAGCTCAAAGTCTGATCTGGTGAGTAAGTTGTGAAGGGAATGTGATGAAAAAATACACTTCTATTGCAAAGAAATCATGAGCTAGGTTTATACGCTATGCTGTGAATGGCCAATAGATTATAAATTCAACAGTCTCCCTGTCACAGCTATGGTAATGACGACTGTTTAGGCCTTAGGGGAGCTTTAGGGAGAGGCAATTTCATACTTAAGTCACACTGACTTAAAAAGTGAAATATTTGAAATCATTGTTGAAATCACGTGGAGGTCGTCAGCAAGCGGATGAGGTTGGAATGCCTATCATTTTCCTCAAGCTCATGTCCTCTCATTTTCTTATTTGAAAATCTATTTGGCTCAGAAAGGACACCTAGGGTTAGTCAAAAATCACCTCCTGATGTTCCTTTTAAAGGAAGCTTCCAAGTTATTTGAATAGCTTCCAAGTTATTCATCGAGAAACAAAGCAAATTCAAAGATTATGTCCGTAGGCACAAACTGGATTTTAAGAAATCCTGGCTGCATAAACAATTGTCTTATAGAAAAGAATTTCTGTTCCTCTTTTCCCTCCCCTTGTCAATCCTATTTGTTTCAGACCTGGGTTCAAACACTAGCTGTAGAGGCTATAAGCTATTGGAAGCACATTTGAGCCTGAAATAAACTGAACCTCTTTTGCCTTGGTTTTCTCACTTGTAAATGGGGATTTTTGTGCCTACCTCAAAGGTACGTTGCAAGGATCGAGGGACAAAGCGTGCAGCAAGTGGCCAATGAATAGAAGTCTGGTTTTCTGAGCATCCTTGCAGCTGCAGGCTTCAGTCTACCAGAGAATGTGAGGTGTTATTCTTCTAGGGCAGTGGTTAGAAAAGAAAATGAAAGTAGCAGTACTCTTTTCCTAATGCAACCATAGATGGATGATCAGAATTTGTAATCCATAAGGTAGAAGCCGCTGTGCCTGAAGAAATAGAAAGTGGGCAGAGGTGGAGGGGCAAGGTAGGGAGTGGAGTGGAAGGTAGGGAGAGTTTGATCCTAGCCTGCACTGCTCCTCAGAGGTACTTTAGCCTCTTTGGAACAGTATTAGAAAATCATGGTTCTATCAACTCATGTCTGAAAATCAATTGCTATTTCAGAGCAGGAGGTGACCAATCTTGGAAATAAGGAAGGGAGAGAGGCAGCCAGGCCAGCAGCTCCTAGGATTAGTCACTGCCTGGAGCCAGCTCTTGGAAGTTCCCCAGGAGCTGTCCAGTCTTATGTCATGTCTAGTCAGCAGAGTCCCAAAGAAGCTTGTCATTCTCTAGGCATTTGTGCTTACATTCTGATGGGCCTAATAGCAGGGAGATGACATGGAGCCCAGGCAGAACAGCTGAGATTTCTACTGGTCATGACCTCCATCTTCTCCTTCACACCTTTCCTACCTTTCTTTTTCCATGCATTCAACAGACATTTATTACCCAATAAGTGCCAGGTAGTAAGCGAGGACCTGGGGAGAGCAGATGAGTAAGACACCGTCTCTGTCTCTCAGGAGCTCTCAGATTCTTAGGGACACATGTACATCCTAATAAACACAGTGCATCTCATGAATGTGTAAGTTTAAGTTATTGATATAGGCACACACAGACAGAGGGACTTCATTCCCTGCAGGTTCTGTAGTATTTCGTGCCCACTCCCCTTTCTTCCCTTGCTGCTCACATCATCTTGCCTTCAAGGAATCTGGGGGGATGGTAGACTGAAAGTGGCCCTTTCTGCATAATTCTTCTTGAAAATAAACATTTGCTCTCTTCTTAGAGGCTGACTATACTGAGAGCTACCACTCCTTGGCTGCTTATTAGCCATTGGGTTATTGCTAAGCCCTTTACATATGTTATATCATTTAATTGTATTGAATCTTCACCATAACACTTCAATGGAAATATTTTTCTAAATAAGGAAAGGTGAGACTCAAAGTAGTTGTATTAGTCTGCATTGCTATGAAGAACTACCTGAAACCGGGTAACTTATAAAGAAAAGAGGTGGGCCGGGCGCGGTGGCTCATGCCTATAATCCTAGCACTTTGGGAGGCCGAGGTGGGCAGACCACGAGGTCGGGAGTTAGAGACCAGCCTGGCCAACATGGTGAAACCCCGTGTCTACTAAACACACACACACACACACACACACACACACACACACACCTGTAATCCTAGCTACTCAGGAGGCTGAGGCAGGAGGATTGCTTGAACCCTGGAGGTGGAGGTTGCATTGAGCCAAGATCACACCACTGCACTCCAGCCTGAGTGACAGAGCGAGACTCCATCTCAAAAAAAAAAAAAAAAAAAAAAAAGAAAGATGTTTAATTGACTCTATGTTCCACAGGCCATACAGGAAGCATGGCTTGGGAGCATGGCTGTACTCCAGCCTAGGCGACAGAGTGAGACTCTGTCTCAAAAAAAAAAAAAATCCCCATATCCCCATTCACTGTCCTTTTCTCTAGAAAATACCCCATTTCATATAACTGTCTAAACAACGGTTTAAGGTCTACACAAGATTGTGAAGTGAACCTGCAGGATTAGGAGGGTAAGGATTCCCACCTAGGTGGGCTCACTTGCTCTGCCATACCTGGGTAGGATCCCAGCCTGCTTCTGTGATTGTCAGGAGGCACCAAAAAGGCTACCCTAGGTTTTCTGTCATTCGGCCCAAACATTTCCTCTGCTGGGCAAATGTGGAAAAGAGGCATTAAGCTGGTGCTCCCACAACTGAAAGGAAAGCAATTCTCTTTCTGTTGTGGTTCCTTCCTCTTTGGACTCTTTTCTTCCATTCCAGCCTATCCCCTTCTTGGAAAAGCTGTTCTACCAATAGCAGGGAAGAAACAGCACCGTGTACCTGATACGCTACCCTGGGCACAGGCGATCAGACCAGGGATAGACACCTGAACTGATCTGGGCAGATGCCCTCTTCTGGCCATTGAGAATTGACAGCATCAGACATCTAGAACATAATAGTATTTTTAAATTCTGCAGGGACATCCACCAGGCTGAGGGGGACCAATTTTGTTTTAAAAATGTATCCTGAACTTGGCCGGGCATGGTGGCTCATGCCTGTAATCACAGCACTTTGAGAGGCCAAGGTGGGCGGATCACTTGAGGTCAGGAGTTTGAGACCAGCCTGGCCAACGTGGTAAAATCCTGTGTCTATTAAAAAATACAAAAATTAGCCAGGCGTGGTGGTGTGTACCTGTAATCCCAGCTGCTGGGAAGGCTGAGGCAGGAGAATTGCTTGGACCAGGGAGGTGGAGGTTGCAGTGAGGTGAGATCATGCCACTGCATTCCAGCCTGGCCAACAAGAGCAAAATTCCATCTCAAAAAAAAAAGTATCCCAAACTTGGAAGTAAAAATAGGATGACTGCACGTCTTTCTAATGCCATACTGGAAGGTTGCCTAACAAACCACCAAAGCTTTTTTTAACTCTCTAAGGGAAGGTACTTTTGTTTGACTTACTATTTACTATTGATTAGGGCCCAGACTCTGCCAAGTTACATGTTAATTTTTGTCTGGTAGAGATACAAATGATTTTTGTCCTGTAAAAAGATTTTATTGCTCCACAGGACATTAATGAGTGAGGTTTCCAAATTAGCAAACTTATGTCAGCATGCTGTTTCTGATGGTCTATCCAAATCTTTCTCCTTCCAATTCTCTTTTCAAACAGCTTTACCATCCTCTGGTTCTTTCTTTTGTGAAGTAAACAGATCTTTATACACACTCCCTATAGACTTATATAAGAATCATGTTTTCACTTTTTGAAAATGATGCTTTGACAATTCCACTGAACAGGCTGGGGAAAATTTTATGAGAATTGTTGGATCCTGCTCAGAAGCAAAAAGATAAAACCAGGCTATCCTCTATCATGGCTGATCTGGGGTTCATTCCCAGAAATGAGGGTCTTGGATCAGGGTCAAATATGTGGGTGGGGTGGGCTCAATTGCTGAGATACCCATCTCATGAGGAAGGATGGGACCCATATTATGGGAAACAAAACAGGAAGAATGAGAGTGAAAAGATTAATCCTTTCACTAAATTGGGAAAACAGGAGAAAGTGTTGTTGGATAAAGAAGGAACTTTAGCACAATGAGCAGAGACAAGACGGTAAATGTTCCTTATCCAGTAATCTCTGATGAAAGGCCAGTGCTCACATCATTAGTAATGTCCAGAAATGATAATATCAGTAGTAGCAATACTCACAATGTAAATAAGTAGCTCTCATGTTTTGATTGCCAATAGTGCTAGCAACCTTACATGTATCACTCTTTACCCCAGCCCTGTTAATTGGTACTATGATGAAGAAAGAGACTCAAAGAAAATAAATGACTCACTCGCGTATTTTTACACAGCTAGAATTGCTACAGAAAGGATTAAAGCCAAGTCTATCCAAATCCACTGTCTATGTCCCTCCCTCCCTCCCTCCCTCCCTCCCTCCCTCCCTTCCTTCCTTCCTTCCTTCCTTGCTCCTTCCTTCCCTCCCTTTCTGCCTCCCTCCCTTTCTGCCTCCCTCCCTCCCTATCTCAAACATCTATTGAGTGTCTACCATGTGCCAGGCACTGTGTCAGGCTCTTGGGATACAGCAATAAGCCAAGTCCTTGCTTTCAGGGAGTTTACATTCCAGTGAGAGGGTCACAGAAACAAATGTATCTCTATGGCAGCAAGTGCTATGAAGAAAATCAGCTTCATTTTTATTGTTTCATGCCCATCATGCAGGTTTCCCACAGTCCATCATCCCCACTCCACCCCCCACCCAATGTAGTGCTTTCCTCTGTCCTGGAGAATCGGAAAGACTTCACAGCAACATCTGCAGTCCCTTTGTTTCAGTGACTTTGGCACAGAGAAGTGGACACGGTGGCAGACAAAGCTGCTGGAAGCTGTCAGGCTACTGGCAGCCAAAAGCTTAATCACACATTCCAAAGGCAGTGTGTGTGTGATGTTGCATCTCTGGCCCTGGAAGGGAGATAGAGGTCACCTTCTTGGGAGTCAGAGTTGGCCCCTCAGCTCCCAGGGGTTCAGCTGAGCAGCTTCAGAGGGCTGACTGCAGAGACCAGGAAGGGGCCATTCACTCTGATGGGAATTGGGAATCATTGATGCTCGAGCAGCAGCTGAGTTAAAATTCATGCTAAGAAATCAGCATTCACATGTGTACATATTTAAGTCAGGATCTCAGTGAAGAGGGCATGACAGCAGTGAAAAGAGGTGCCAGACCTGAAGTAGGCTACCTTATGGTTGCTGCTTCACCTGTTGCTCTACACACACACACACACACACACACACACACGATTCCAGAAGATAGTGGGACAGTAGCAATTTGAAGGCTCTGCCAGAAAAGCATTTGCTTAAAGTGTTGGGAATTTTTTGTTGGATTGTTGTTTCATTCATAGGGCTTCTAAATTTCACTTTTGCATTTTAACCATTTCAAGGAATTCCCCCTGATTTTGAGTGTGAATGGGTACAAAAGACCAGGGGTTGTTAACCAAAAGCCTGGAACATTCAGGTGAACGGCTGTTCTGCAGGGAAGGAGGGAAACAGCAGGGTGAGATGGATGGTCAACCTTCAAAGGCCTTACACAGTCCCGGCCAGGATAATCTTCGCCTCTCCCTTCTGCTGGGGAAAAGTCTGGATTGCTAAGACCAGGGTCTCTATAGTGGCATCTCCAACACTCAGGCCGAGCTTCATGGCTGGGTTCCTGTTTTTTCATTTGCTCATGCCCCTCAGTGGTATCATCTGACTCAGCTCCTTTCCCTCCTGTTGGGCCAGTACTTACAGTGGGTCTCCTGATGAAGCTGAGGTCATGGGTTCATGAGCCCAATTATCACCATGCTGACCGCACCACTAACCTGGCTCCGTGTAGTTGCAAACTTGGCTGCACATTGGAATTCCTAGGGAGAGTTTTAAACATCCCAACGACCAGGCTGCAATGAAATAAGACCGATGAAATCAGGATCTCAGGGGTGGAATGGGACTGGTAATTTACAGAATCTCTCCAGCTGATTCCATATTCAGACAAGTTAGAGCACCAATGCCCTCAGTCCTGAGAGTGAGGGCTGGTCTCATGAATCCATTCACACAGATGGAAGTCCATCCTCACAGCGGTCAGGCCTCACACAACATCGGGCATGTTGGTAGGCATATGCCTAAGTTTCTGTGCAATGAATGCATGCCTTACTGGTGATGCATCAATAGCAAGGCATTCAGGGGAGAGAGTACCCTGCCTCTGTGCCTAGCATGAGACATACATCCAGGACCATGTTTTTATTCCCATCTTATGGATGAGAAAACTGAGGTTCAGAAAGGGTAGGCAAAATCCCCTAGCTCACCTGGCTGGAAGGGGGCAGAACTTCCCTGTACGTGCTGAGAACACCACTGTTCGAGCAGAGGGGAAACCTCTGCAAATTTCACTCTGTGTTCAGTGGGTGACTTGCCAAAATGACTTGCCAAAGCCCTTTAGGGCCAATAAGTTAGAGTGTTTGCATCAAATTTCCATGCACAAGAGCCAACTCAAAACCTTAGATCCAATTCCATTGGTTCCCATAGCTCTGAAGTGGAGAGATGCTAGTAATAAATCCTACAGGCTGATGGCAGGACTTTGATATATAATATTAACTCTGATCTTGGTGGTGGTCTGACTCAAGACAGAGGGAATATTAAAAGCAGTAGTAATCCTTCTAAAAGTTCCATGCGCTTCTGCCCAGATATCCAGGGTTTCTGGCTGAATTAGCCTGCAGAAGCAATTGTGCAGATTAGGTGATGTTGAACCACGAGAAAGTGTCTTCCCACTTAGCAAATCAAGGGTCCATGGGATGGAGAGAAAGGAGGGAATAGAGTTTGTCACTTGGGCTGTACTGACCCCAGTGGTGATGTCTTCCCTTTGATGGGTGGTGTTGGGACAGCAAGGCAGTCATCATTTAGCCCACTAGTGCTAAGGTGGAAGGCATCCGCAGTGCATGGTCTGGCATCCCCAGGCAAAGACAAGAGGATGGGCCCTGCAGAGTGTTTTGGGTTAGAAACAAGCTGAGTGAACTGAGTGTTTCTTCAGGGAGCGCACTAAAGATGAGCCGACAAATCCACGACAGTGGGGAGTGAGGTGAGGCAGGGACACAAATCCACAGCTGACTCACCCAGCACATTCCCACCTCCTCAGCATAGAAAACCACAGGGACAAACTGACCAGAAGGCCATTCATCCATGGGTCTATCCCGTGCCTTGATCAGTCTTCCTAAATCCCACCTTTGCCAAAGTCACTCCAGTCTGTGAATTTTCCATGGCTTCCTGATGCATATGGAAAGACGTTCAGACTCCCAATCTGAGGTCCAATGCTCTCCAGAATTCCATCTTTCCCTACCTTCCTGGAATCATTTCCCATTGACTTGCCATCTACCTGGACAAGCTGGAATGGCTGCTTTGGCTGTCTTCTGAAAATGCCCTGAGGTGTCTCTGCCCCAGGCCTGTCTCCTGTGCCCCCAGAGCTGCCCAGGCCCCTGCTTCCTACAGAGACCAGCTCACAGTCTTCTTGTCAGTGGTCATCTAACAGTGGTCTTGTAAAAGCAGAGCAAGTTCCAATCTTATTTATAGCATTCAGCAGTTTTTTTTTTTTTAGAGCTGGTGTCTTGCTCTGTTGCCCAAGTTTGAGTGCAATGGCTCAATCACAGCTTCACTGCAGCCTTGAACTCCTGGGCCCTAGTGATCCTCCTCTTTCAGCCTCCTGAGTAGCTGGGACCACAGGTATGCACCACCATGCCCACCTAAACACAGTCTACCTTTATGTGTGTGTGTCCATCCATCACCAGATGCTCACGGAAGGTAGGGCAGAAACATTTTGAAAAATAATTTTTACCTTTGAAGAGTAATCTTAATGATAACCTAGCAGGTGCTCAGATACATCGGGTCGATTCACTTCCTATGGCTGTGTAACAAATTACCACAAACTTGGTGATTTAGAGCAATGCCCATTTATTATCTCAGGGTTTCTATAGGTCAGAAGTTTGGGTGTTGCATGGCTGGATTGTCTGTTTAGGATCTCACAGGGTTGAGATCGGGGTAGCCAGGTTTGCTTCTCATCTGGGGCTCCAAGTCCTCTTTGCAAGCTCACTGGTTGTCAGTAGAATTCAGTTCCTGTGGTTGTAGGACTGAGGTCCCCATATTCTTCTTGCTGTTTGTCAGTCTGGGGTGCTCCCAGCAACTCAAGGCCACTCTCAAGTTGTTGACACAGGGTGCCAACATCTATCTTCAAAACCAGTAGGAGGATTTCTCTTGCACTGAATCTCTTTTGCATCTCTGACATTCTCAGTCTCTGACCTCTAGATCCAGATTTAAAGGGTTCACTTGATTCTATCAGACCCACTCAGGACAATTATTTTGTTGTGCGTCCCTTTTTCTGGGAAGTGGGTCCACCACTTCTATCACGTTCTTAAAAGGGTCTGGGAATGTTCACCCATCACAGACATCCACACCAGGCCAGTTAAGTCAGAACTGCTGGAGATTCCACATTCTCCTGGGCAGTCTGGGTGGAGAACCACCTATGTGGAAGGAACACTGGGCTCCAAAGATAAGGGGCCTTGCATTTTATTTCATTACCAGTGTCTATTGGCTCTGAGACCTTACAGAAATCACTCAACTTCTCAGGGCCTCATTTGCAAACACGGATGATAATAGTAAGCTCCATCTCTCACGGTTGTTAGGAGGATTAAAAGTGTATAAAGATGCTCTGCAAGCTCTGAAGTATTAGCCAACCGTCTAGTCAGTGTGAAGAGACACTGAAAAGTGAGGTGGGACACAGCATTTTAAGTGAAAAAGAAGGGAGAAGCTTATCTTTATCAAAGTTAAATATTAGATACTGAGTACTTTGTAAAGTCTGTTGCTGCTGGGGATCAGGCAAATTGTTATAACCTTCCTGGAAGGCAATTTCCCATAATTATCAGCAGTTTACAGAATATCCAAGCCATTTGACCCTAAGATAATGTTTCTAGGGATTTCTCTTAAGGATTTAATCAAGGACACATACACAGATTATAGCAGTTCAAAATTGGAACCCATCTATTTAACAATAAGGGATTGTTTAATTACACATGAAATATTATTTAAACGTGAACATTATATTGCCTTTAAATATTTGACATGGAAAGAAGCTTAAAACTCAGTCCTATTTCCTTATCAATGTTCTATCAACAAGAGGCAGGAGGTGTCACCTCCTTGGGAATCAGAGTTGGCCCCTCAGGTAGGTGTTTGGAGCTTCCTGGTAGGGGCTGGGGACAAAGTGTGGATGGGGCACCTGCTGGACCTGTGGCGAGATCATCAGGGATTGCTATTGGTCTCAGCAAGGGAGTGAGGCTGACCAGTTCTCAGCTGCATTTCAGAGAAGGATGAAATGCCCTAATCAGAAGTCAGCTCCCCTCATGACCCTGGAGGGAATTCTGCCCACTCACAGACTCTTTCTTATTCTGGGCCTCTGCTGTTATCTGGGTATAGCTCCCTGTCACAGTCAGTTTGGGGACTGATCCTCCAGGAAATTCCTGGGAACTCTCGGCAGGCTGAATGCTTCTCCTTTGTGACTCCCCTGCCATGGCGGTTGTGCCCCTTCTTACCTTCTACAGACACGACTTTTCATGGGCCTCTTCCTTTCTCCCCACCGGTAAATCACCACCCTTCAAAGGCAGGAACTGTCTCTATTTCATCTTAGTATCCTACGGGCCTGGCCCAGAGTAGATGCTCCAAAAAACTTGTCCTGAACTGAATGGGCGTGAAGCTGGGGCCTGTTGCACTGTGTTGTTGTGGGGCGGGGTGACTTCCAACCACACTGGGAGCCATCTCCCTCTCTCATTCCGAGGGAAGAGTCCGCAGCACAGATGGGCGCAACCCAATGTCAGGAGCTGACACTGTGATCAAAGAAAATCATTTCCATTGCTCCTGTAGATGGAAAGAGTCAAACTCAGTAAAATATTTGAAGAGATGTATTCTGAGCCAAATATGAGTGACCACGGCCCTTGCCATAGCCCTCAGGAGGTCCTGAGAACATGTGTCCAAGGTGGTCGGGGTACAGCTTGGTTTTATGCATTTTAGAAAGGCATGAGACATCGATCAAGTACATTTAAGAAATACACTGGTTTGGTCCAGAAAGGTGGGACCAAAGCAGGAGGAGAGGGGCGCTTCCAGGCTATAGGTAAATCTCAGTGAGTTTGTCTAAAGACCTGGGATCCATAGAAAGGAAATTTTCAAGTTAAGATAAAAGATGGTGGAGACCAAGGTTCTTTTGAAGTCTTATAGAGGCTGTCCTCAGAGACAATAGATGGCAAATGTTTCCTATTCAGATCTTTAAAAGGTGCTAGACTTGGCCAGGCACGGTGGCTCATGCCTGTAATCCCAGCACTTTGGGAGGCCCAGGTGGGTGTGGATCAGAAGGGCAGGAGTTTGAGACCATCCTGGCCAATGTGGTGAAACCTCATTTCTACTAAAAATATAAAAATTAGCTGTGTGTGGTGGTGGGCGTCTGTAGTCCCAGCTACTCAGGAGGCTGAAGCAGGAGAATCGCTGGAACCCGGGAGGCAGAGGTTGCAGTGAGCCGAGATCATGTCACTGCACTCCAGCCTGGGCGACAGAGTGAGACTCCGTCTCAAACAAAAAAAAACAAAGTGCTAGACTTTCAGTTAATCTCTTTAGGATTGGGAGGGCCTGGAAGAAAAATATCTAGCTATGTTAATAGAGATTCTTTACAGATACAAATTTTCCCCCACAAAGGACAGCTTTGCAGGGCCATTTCAAGATATGGACAAAAAAGCCTATGTTTTGGGGTAAAATATTTTGATTTTCTTCCTTGTCTCATAATGTTATGACAGAGTCAGTTTGGAAAGTAAGTCACAATATATAGGGTTAAATAAAATCCATCTGATGAGAATTTATGGTTTGTAGGACATCACTCCCCAGACCCTTTAGATAGGGAATTTGGGTAAGATAAAAAAAAAAAATCAGAGCTTAGTCTTCACTTGCAAGGGTGCCCCTGTGTTCCTCCACTCTCCATCCCCAAGCTGGGCTGGGATTTCTTGAGCCAGATGAGTTGAAGATGCTGCAAAGTTAAAATGGCCTTGCCTTCCTGTGCAGTCAGATGGAGCACCCCCTTCCCTCATCTGGGCCTGCTGAGTAGGGTCTCACTGATCCCCGCACTGTGTGTCCCTTAGACCTTTCCTGAGACCCAGCCCTTCCCCCGGTGGAAGGGAGAATTATTTGAAAAGTGTGGGTTTTGGTGTCAGACAGACTGGGACCCAGGTCTAGGCTACTGAACCAGTGAGCTGTGTGGCTTTGTGCATGCTATTTAGACACTCTGAGTTTTAATTTCCTAATTTCTAATTGCCAGACAGGTTGGTTGGGAGGAACAGCTTAGATTGACCTATGAAAGCATTTGTAGACTCGGAAGTGTTCTCATGGCACTTTGGATGAAATCGTTCCTGCTGCTTCAAACTACTGTGTGATGAGTTTCCAAAAATCATTGCCTGTGATCTGCAGGCTCGTTGTATGTCACAGATCACCAGATGTGCTTCCATTCCATGCTTGCTTCTGCAGTCCTGTTCTAAGCTCTGGCCTAATATTCTTCCCGCCCACGGAGCTCTTGCCACTGCCTCACCGCAGAGACTGGAACCCTGTCCTTTAACTCCCAGCTCAGAGTGTAGGGAAGTGTTTCTCAAAGTATTCTCTGTGTTATCTGCTTCCAAATTGCCTGGATATTGGTTAAAAACCAAACCTCTGGTTCCCCTTCCAGACTGAAGGATGAGAATTGGCTGTGGGAATGAGTGGGAATCTACGCTGTTGTGAAGTTCCCCACAGGGATCTCCTGCATCTTAAGGCTCAAAGGCCATGGACCTAGCCCCTGGATACTGGGCATAGGCATCTCAGATGCTGTCTGTTTCTTCACTTCCCTGACTGGCCTGGGCTCTGGGGTTGGGCCCTTCTCATTTCTGGATTTGTGATACTTGTCTTGTATCCCCTTTTATCATAGTGTGCTTTTGCTTACAAGTGAACAAAAACCCAATCCAAAGTGATTTAAACAAAAAGAGCACTTATTGTAAAAGTTCAGAATAAACTGCCTTCAGGCGTGGCTTGATCCAGGGGTGCACACTGTGTTACCAGGAGGCAGTTTCTCTCTGCCTCCTCACTTGGCTACATTTTTCTCTCACTTGTGCATCCTGAGCCATTCACAGAGCTCAGGAGGATGAGTGTTCTGATGGAGCAGGGTATGCTGGTGGTTAGTGCCATCAAAAACAGAATGAGATAATGATATGGCTCAGATGACTGGAGGAGCACCAGGGTTCTTGGTCTAGCACACACTTGGATAAAATGACACAGACACACCTGGAGTGGTTTTAAGGAGCGAAAAGTTTAATATACAAGAAAGAAGGAAGGAAGAAGAAAACAGCTCCCCAGTACAGAGACAGAGGGAGAGGGGATTTGAACAGAGAGAAAACCCCGGTGGGGAGAAGGGATGTGGGGGGAGGGCGTGTGTGTGGTGTAATCAGCTAGTTATATGAGGAGGCTGGAGGAGGCGGTGCTGGCTTGCATAGGGCTCAGAGGATTGGTTTGACCAGGCAGGTCATTCACATAGCCTGCGAAAAAGCTGGCCCTCACAGTCTAGCCTTTTAAGATGCAAATGCAGGGCGCCATGATGTTCTACACACGTGGGGATATGTGGGGGCGGCCATGTTGCCAGCCACCTGTTGGGGCAAGGAAGAAACCTGGAATCTCCATGTTTGGGTGGACTCAGTTTCCAGTGGCCTGCGTTTGCATATCAAAGCTTGCCAGTGGCTCTTAGAGCTGGCGCTCTCCTGTTAGACAAGAAAGGTTTCTGGATCTGCTTTAAAATAAACAAAAACTTCCCAAGGACCTCTTTTCCTCTCTATCTGCCTAAAATAATTTCTTAATAACTCCTATAACAATAAGGGGGTGGTCCATTCCCACATGTAAATTGAGGCTTTTCCCAGAAATAGGGTGAATAGATGCTGAGTTACCCCAGTCAGCAAATGTCCATTTATCTCATTTGTGAACTCTGGACTCTGCACAGAGACTGTGGTGACACAGGCTGTCCTGTGACCCTGTGGCTGGGTCAGCTCCTGTGTCTGCGACAGGATGCCCTGAGTCCCCATGGATTCCTCAACCCCACACCCTGTCCTACTCTTAGCCAAGTCAGCCATGCCCCTCTGAGGGCTACGCTGCTTCAATAGGCCTGGCTTCCTAAGTACCTTTCATTATCACCCAGGCTCATACCCAGAAGCAAAGCAGAAATTTCTTTTGAGATCCAGGGTGGGAAATGGTCAGTTGAATTGAGTTGCAACCGAAGGTGAGGAAACGTCTTTTATGAAAACCCATTTCCCTCTGTCGGAGGTGATTTCAGTCACATTTTCCAAGCTCAGGATAATTTACCCCCTACCAGGGTGTACTGCAGAAGGTCTGGCTGGAAGGCCCCGAGCACAGGAGTTGATTGCTAGCTGCTAAGAGGCTGCGCTTTGTTCCCGAAGGAGAAAGCTGCAGGTTAAGAGAACATTCCCCACCTTGCCAGGGGTGACAAAGCAGGGGACTGCTTGAGGGCTGACACTGGAGTTAGAGATAATGAAAGGAGAGGAGGAAGAAGAAGCCAGGGCCTGGCTCAGCATCTCACCGCATTGGTGGGGAGAGGAGCTGCTCACCTTCTCGCACCTGTTGTTGGGCTGAGACAGATTTTCAGAGAGCAATGCCTCCTGGACAGAGGCTCTTCCCCACAGGGCAAATGTAATTAGATGAGAGAAAAACAAAGCTCTGAAACCCTAATTAGGTGCCAAGCCCTCAGGCTTTATACATCTAAACAGCTAAGGAACAGAGGATAAGATTCTCCAGTCGGCACTCCCTTGCCAGTCCTGGCTGAGCTAATGGTGAAGTGAGAGCTGTGCCACAGATCCCATGGTTGGCTTTTTGTTGTTGTTATTTCAGATGGAGTTTCACTCGCCACCCAGGCTGGAGTGCAGTGGTGCAATCTTGGCTCACCACAATCTCCGCCTCCTGGGTTCAAGTGATTCTCCAGCCTCAGCCTCCCGAGTAGCTGGGACTACCAGCGCCCGCCACCATGCCTGGCTAATATTTTGTGTTTTTAATAGAGACGGGGTTTCACCATGTTGACCAGGCTGGTCTTGAACTCCTGACCTCAGGTGACCTGCCCACCTCAGCCTCCCAAAGTGCTGGGATTACAGGCGTGAGCCACTGCACCTGGCCCCGTGGTTGGCTTTTACTCCTTCCATTCTGCCACCCTGAAGCTGATCCTCTGGAATTTGCTTGTTTTTGGTGTGTCCAGAAATGAAGGTCTATCAGTTCTTGAAATTGGGTTGTTTTAAGTAACTGATGTGCTGGGATGACAGTGAAGAAGACAAGATAGGGATTCCTCTTCCTAAACTTTAGGGCCTGAAGGGACTCCTCATTGACAGCAGATGGGATTTTTAATTTAACTCTGGGATGGAGGAAGTGGAGAGGTGATCCAGGCTGGATTGAAATCTCTCAAGCCTGGGAGATTTTGCCCAAAGACTTTTGACATGGGAACAGTAGAAACATTGGGAAAATTGGACTTTCAGGTCAGCATTCTGGGTATTTCCCCAGTCTTCCCAGGGTGGGATCATCTGGCCCCAGTTATGGGAATAAGACCACATAAATAGAAGATGACTTGGGAAGTCATCTTCCCAAGGTGTCAGGGAGGAGGTGGAGGACCACTGTTCTGATCAGCCTCCTTCAACCTCACAGTGGGGTTGGTCTCAGATGGTGCCCAGGAACCTGCCAGCAGCGGCACTTTGATGGCACCAAGATCGTGGGTGCAGGGACCCAGATTTGCTTCCTACTCATGTCTCCCTACCCACTGAAAAATGGAATATCAGTGAGGAATATCTTAGAGGGCTGCCTTTGCTCCTTTTGCCAGAGAACCATATTGGTTATTAACAATTGGGCCACATCTGGTGTGCAGAAAAATGAATATTTTAATAGTGCTTCATAGGGTATCGTAGCATCTTATAAAAAGTGGCCCATCAAATTATTGATTCAATCATTTAAAATGCATTAGCAGAGGATGCCTATCAGACTAAGACATCCATGTTTCTGATCCAGTGAAAAGGGTCCAGGTAAGGAACACATATGAAGCCTCTTGGCATCCTTGTGTGAGCACGGTGCATGACGTGGCCATCAGTATCATTGTTTTCTTTGAGTTTTTGCTTGAGTGTTGAGATGTGTGAGGGATAGAAGATCCTTGTTTGCTTCTAGTCCTGACCTACACTGTCCATTAGGGAAATAATTTGTTTTCTTGAACCCATTATATGAATAATTTTGTTTTTAATCAATAGAAACAAATGGTCTTTATTTAACTAACAGAAAAAATTCCAATGAGGCCAGGCCACATAGGGGTTTCTGTAAATGTCATATCATTTCTCTTCTGTCCCCTCAGCTAAGAGTATAAAAAGTTCAGGCGACCTCCAGGGGCTTTTGCCTACTTAAATAGTATTACTTAGAGATGAGCTAGTACTTGGTTTTAAAAGTAATTTTTTTTTTCTTTTTTGAGACGGAGTTTCGCTCTGGTCGCCCAGTCTGGAGTGCAATGGCACAATCTCGGCTCGCTGCAAGCTCCACCTCCTGGGTTCAAGAGATTCTCCTGCCTCAGCCTCCCAAGTAGCTGGGATTACAGGTGCCTGCCACCATGCCTGGCTAATTTTTGTATTTTTAGTAGAGACGGGGTTTCACCATGTTGGGCAGGCTGGTTTCAAACTCCTGACCTCAGGTGATCCGCCTGACTGAGCCTCCCAAAGTGTTGTGATTACAGGCGTTAGCCACTGCTCCTGGCCCTAAAAGTAACAGTTCTAAGCTTTGTACTTACGACACCAAAAACATACAGACTGACATCTAAGTAATTAAGTCAATCATTAAGATATTTAGTTATGTCATGCAAAATAATAATCTCCAAGGAGTTCTCAAAGAATTCAGTAGTTTGATGTTATTGCCAGCACAGCCTTTACTGAGTCCTCTTATAAATCTTAAAGAAAAATTTAAGATTTTTAATTTTTAAAGATTTAAAAATTTTTAATTAAATTTTTTTTTTAGGGCTGGACTCTTGGTCTGTCGTCCAGGATAGAGGGCAGGGATGCCATCACTACTCACTATAACCTCAAACTCCTGGGCTCAAGCAATCCTCCCACCTCAGCCTCCGGAGTAGCTGGGACTACAGGCATGCCCCACCACATTCGGCTAATTTTTAAAATTTTTTTGTAGAGACAGGGTCTCACTATATTGTCCAGGCTGCTCTCAAAATCCTGGCCTAAAGTGATCCTCCTGCCTCAGCCTCCTGAGTAGCTGGGTTAGATCCTGGCAAATGAAAGGGCCCCAGCTTTGAACTACCTTTGGGGAAGATCTCACTGCACACGGGTTCTCACACAGCACACCCCGTCACACACATGAACTCACACTGAGAACATATGAACACTACACACACGTTCTCACACAGCACACCCTGTCACACATATGAACTCACACTGAGAACACGGGCATCACACATAGGGACTCACGCACAGAGGACATGTGAACACTACACACATGTTCTCACACAGCACACGCCCCGTCACACCCATGAACTCACACCGAGAACACAACATCACACACAGGGACTCACGCACAGAGGACATGTGAACACTACACACACGTTCTCACACAGCACACCCCGTCACACCCATGAACTCACACCGAGAACACATCACACACAGGGACTCACGCACAGAGGACATGTGGACACTACACACACGTTCTCACACAGCACACCCCGTCACACCCATGAACTCACACCGAGAACACAACATCACACACAGGGACTCACGCACAGAGGACATGTGGACACTACACACACGTTCTCACACAGCACACCCCGTCACACCCATGAACTCACACCGAGAACACAACATCACACACAGGGACTCACGCACAGAGGACATGTGGACACTACACACACGTTCTCACACAGCACACGCCCCGTCACACTCATGAACTCACACCGAGAACACAACATCACACACGGGGACTCACGCGCAGAGGACATGTGGACACTACACACACGTTCTCACACAGCACACGCCCCGTCACACCCATGAACTCACACCGAGAACACAACATCACACACAGGGACTCACGCACAGAGGACATGTGGACACTACACACACGTTCTCACACAGCACACCCCATCACACCCATGAACTCACACCGAGAACACATCACACACAGGGACTCACGCACAGAGGACATGTGAACACTACACACACGTTCTCACACAGCACACGCCCCGTCACACCCATGAACTCACACCGAGAACACAACATCACACACAGGGACTCACGCACAGAGGACAGGTGAACACTACACACACGTTCTCACACAGCACACACCCCGTCACACCCACACCCCCACATGCGTAGACACACACATCCTTACTCTGCGTGCATCCCTGGCCTGGTGGACGGAAGATCGAGCGCTCTGGGTGGACTTACGGCCACAGGACGGGGGCAGAGTCGGCAGGGAGGCCCCTCCGAGGCCCAGTGGGCCCCGCGCTGGCCCCGGCCGCAGACGCCCACCTGCTGCTGTGCTGGCTGCGGCGTGTGCCCCGGGCTCTGCGGCTGACCTGGCCTCCACGTCTCACCCATGAAGCAGGCATGAAAGGCTGGCCAGGTTGGCTAAATGGGACCACAGCAGAAGCATGAGCCCCAGAATGTGCACGAAGGAAGAGAGAGCCGGGGGAGGTGGCGGGCTGGGTGTGCAGAGTGGGCCTGAGCTCCGGCCTCCTCCCTGGACGCCCTCCCGTGGCCGCAGCCATCCCTGCACCCACTGGTGTGGCCTGACCCCTCACCCTGAGCCCACCCTTCGCGGCCACTAGGGAACCTCAGGAGAGGCCGCCGCGGTGGGGTGGGCGGATTCCCCCGGAGCAGGCCCAGGCCCCTGCTCCTGAGCTCTCCTGCAGCGCCGCCTGCTGGCCACAGAGAGCCCACGTGCGCCAGCCGCCAGGCCTGGGCATCTCCTCTCCTGCAGCGCCGCCTGCTGGCCACAGAGAACCCGCGTGCGCCGGCCGCCAGGCCTGGGCATCTCCTCTCCTGCAGCGCCGCCTGCTGGCCACAGAGAACCCACGTGTGCCGGCCGCCAGGCCTGGGCATCTCCTCTCCTGCAGCGCCGCCTGCTGGCCACAGAGAACCCACGTGCGCCGGCCGCCTGGCCTGGGCATCTCCTCTCCTGCAGCGCCGCCTGCTGGCCACAGAGAACCCGCGTGCGCCGGCCGCCAGGCCTGGGCATCTCCCCGGGCCCTAGTTCCCCCCCTCACCTAAGGGGAGGGACTCCCGTCTTTCCATCCACCCCCTCCTTGCCTCTGCAGAGCTCCAGGGAAGGCTGGCACCCGCTCACTGCATTTAGACTCCATCAGGTTCAGACAGTGGGTCAGGGTACAAGGCTTCAGCGGCCAGGGATGTGGCCTCTAATTTGTAGAGAGAAAGAAGGGCAGAGGCAAAGGTTTGGGCCCAGGGACTGGGCTCCGTTTCCAGAATCACTCTTGGAGCTGGTGAGCAGAGGGCTGGACACTGCCCTCCATGACCAGCACTGCCCTCCACCCTAGCTCACTCCCCTAGCTGGCCCAGGGGTTCAGGCTTTCCTTTCATAAAGTGGGGTCCAGGAAAGGCAAAACCTCCTCCCCTGGGCCACACGAACCGTGGTGCACAGGCTCCCACTAGGTGGGCCAGTCAGCTCATCCCATGGACACACCAGGGGCATCGAGAAAGGAATAGCGACCTGAACCCCATACCCGAAGGGTGGCCCTCAGGACCCCCAAGGCAGGGAACAGGCTGCAGAGGGTTTGGGGGAGCATCTTGGTGCATAGAAAACAAACACTCTGGGAAGCCGCTGTGAGTGTGTGTGGCTCTCAGGCCTGTTCTGTCCTGGGTGCGCTGCGTTCCCCAGGCGGCACCATCTCTCTGCCTCTGTACCCTTGAATTCCCTCTGCCTGCACCCGGTCCCCACCCACCTCCTGCCCAGCCCCACAAGCCCTTCCAGACCACTGCTGGGGCATTCCTGGGCCCCCTCGGTTCTTGGTGACTACCATGCAGTTCTCTATGGAAACTGACTCTCACTGAAAACAAGTGTAACCGTCTACCTAAGAGACTCACACAGAGTTCTCAGCCAGGTCTCCAGGACAATCAGACGCAACTTGTCATTCTCACTCATCCCATCACCCGACTAGCTTCTCAGCCCAGCCCCGGGGGAGGTTTTCCCCTTACTTGAAATGCCTCTTGGATTTGAAAAATCCCAGCGTTCACCCCTGGTGCCGACACTTGCCTCTGTAACCTTCTGCCTGCTGCTTTGCTCTCATCCAGACCGGTTGGCACTTGGCCCCCTCTGGCCAGCTGGTTCCCCAGAGACAACCATCTTGCCCACCTTGTGGAAGGCCCCATGGCCTGCCTCACCCCTCACTCCCATTTCACAGCTCTCGTGGTGCTCTACAAGAAAAATCTGCTTTATAGATGAGGAAAGGCCCTTGGGGCAGACAAGACAGTCCCTGTTTGACATAATTCCTTTATCTCTTCTCCCCCAGCTCTGCTGCCCCCTGCCCCATACACGTGATGGAGCAGAAAACGTGCTGTGTGAACCTGTGACTTCAGGGCCTGTTGACGTGGTCGTGCTTGCATACTCTCTGGTGAGGGGTGGGGAGAGGGGGTGGGAGACGGGTAGAAATAGATGAAGTAGATGATGGGTGGATTGCTGGCTAGATAGATGATAGATAGGGATAGGTGGTATATGGGTGATAGGTAACAGGTGATGGATAGATGACAGAAATAGATGATGGATAGATACTTGATAGGCAAATTAGATAATAGATAGCAATAGATGAACTAGATGATAGATGGAAAGGTAGGTAGGTAGATATATGATAGATGGTTGATAGATAAAAATAGATGAAATAGATGGCATGGTTAGATAGGTGGGTAGGTAGATAGATGACAGATAGAAAGACAATAGACCACTGGGGGCTGAGCCTGGCCTGAGCCAGAAAGGTGAGAAGGGGACAGCGGTGAGGACCCCACAGGTCCCTGCTCTCACCCCTATTAGCCCCAGTGTTTGGCCTGAGCTCTGACTGACAGCTCCCTCTTTCCGAGATGAGACTCAAGAGGAGGAAGAGGGGACTTCCTAAGGACAGGGATTCTTGGTGTCTCCTTGGGGGTGGTAGACACTGCCTGCCTCGCCTGCTGTGGCCTCTCTGCACACAACCAACGACCCCTAAAGGGCTCCATGGGCGCCCATGCTGCCCCCATCAGCTGACACCCCCTGTGCGAAGATTCTCCTCCTCCTCTTCCTCCTGCCTTTCTGTCCCCTCATCCTCCTCTTTATGGAATTAACTTCCCTTGGTCAACATCTTCCTGCTTCACTCACTTCCCTAAACTCCTCCCTATCCCTTCTCAATCTGCAAGAAAAATGTAGAAGGAATATGGTAAAGGAAAGCTTTGAGCCCATATTTGGGTCCAATGCCGACACCACATGCCCCAAAGCCCCCTTGAGAGCATCCACGTCCGTGTAGTTGAGTATTGCCCGAGCTGGAGTGAGATTTGCCTCTCTACGGAGCTGCCTTCCTGCAGTTCAAGAGCACTGTCTCTTTTCTGGGCCTCCTGCCTGGTGCAAGGGCCCCAGCTGAGCCTCCTCCAGCTCTGACCTCTGGTGGTTCCGGGCTGCCCCAGAGGGTCTTGCCCAGGCTCTGACACTTGGCATGGTCTGGGAGCTCCAGCAGCCACAGCCCAGCCCTGGGGAGGCTTTGTGGTCTCTGAGGGGGAAGGTGCACTCCCCCAACTCCAGTTCATGTTTTTCCCTCCAACTCTAAGCCTTTTTCTTCCTCTGCTATTACCCAGGCACCCTACCCTGTCAACAACACTGGCCTTCAAGACCCTTTGTAGCATAACTCCCACCTATAACTCCCACCTGAAGCCAGCCCTTCCCACCTCTGCGCCTCTGATGCCCAGGACAGCTCTGACCATGGGCAGCTCTGACCCAGGACAGCTCTGACCTTGGGCAGCCCTGATCTGGGGCAGCTCTGACCTCGAGTAGCTGTGACCCTGGGCAGCTCTGACTCTGGGTAGTCGTGACCCTGGGGAACTCTCAGCACGGGGGTTGCATGCTCCTGTTTAGACAGCTGCTGTCCCCCAAGCTGGCTCACTATCCCATGTTGGAGTGCACTGTTCGGGGCTGCCTGCCTGGATTGATGCAGGGAAACTTGGTTCCAGCCCACCTCCTCCTGCGGAGGCTGAGTCAGGGGCTCTTCCCTCGGCCAGGCTGAAAGGCAGCAGTTGGTCCCCCTGTGAGGTCTTCCACATGGCCTGGGAGAGTCTCCCCATCTCTTCAGGCAGAAGGGAGGACAGTCCATAATGTTCCTTCCAGTCCTCTGACTTGTCATTTTTCTACCCCAAATCTTGCACTTTACCCCCATAGAGAGCTCCTGAAGGGGGAATTTTAACTGGCAAAACTCAGAACTCCATCCAAACACAACCGAAACCATCCTGGGTGGCTTAGAGGTGGCTGCCTCCCAGACAAGTCCATAGCCCCACAGAAACGTCTGGTCCTTCACCTGCCAGAGCTCAGGCTTTTTGGTTGAAGCCGGAGACAGGCCCAGCTCAGAGTGTGCCCCGGTTTATCCTGAACACCGACTTGGTGCGGTGTGTGTGACAGACCAGCGAAGCGGGTCTTGCTGCCTGTCCTGTGGTTGGCCCTTGGCTCCCAGCCTCGAGTCCTACCCTTAGGCCAGGTCAGAGCAGGTTCAGCAGCAGGACTGGCTAGGCACCACCCAGGCTCATGAGGTGGCTTTGTGGGGAGGAAATGAGGTTTTTTTTTTTCTCTTGTAAAGTTGCTTGTTGTTAATTTAAAATTTTAATTTCATTTCTGAATTAACATTCAGCAAAACTGCTATTTTTTGGTGTACAGTTCTATGAGTTTAACACATTTATAGATTCATGTAGCAACACTGTGGATACAGAACAGTTACATCACCCCCAGAACTCCGTTCACAGTCACACTCCCCGACCCAGCCCCGGCAGCTCTCCCTGTGGTTTGTCTTTTGCAGAGGAAATCCCGCAGCTGGCGGCACTTGGAGACCGGCTCCTCGCCGAGCCGACCGCGCGTGCGCGGCTCCCTCCTCGTCCGTGCTGAGCGCCGCGTGGGGTTCCGCGTGGAGGCGCCTGTGCCGCTGAAGCGTGTTTGGGTTGCTTCCAGGGTGGGATGGTTGTTGGATAGAGCTGTTTGTGCATTTGCGTTGTAGGTTTTTGTGTGAACATAAGCTTTTGTTTCTCTCGGGTACATACCCAGAAGTGCAATTGCTGAGTCATGTGGGAAGCGTGTGCCCAACTTTACAGGAAAACGTCGCAGGCCGCCCCTTCGCTTTGCGCTCCCGCTAATCGGGAATGAGTGCCTGCTGCTCCGCGTTCTTGCGGGCACCCAGCATTTTCCGTGCTTACATTTCAGCCATCCCGGAATGAATGAAAAGGTTTCCTAGTGGCTGTAATTTGCATCTCCCTGGTGGCTGATGGAAGCTTATTTCCCATCCATATCCCTTGCTTGGTGACGCATCTGTTCAAGTCCTTCCCCGGTTTGTAACTGGATTATTTGGTGTTTTTACTGTTGGATTTTGAGAGTTCTTTATGTATTCTAGATACAATTCCTTTGCCAGATATGAGATTCACAAATATTTTCTCCAACTCTATGTCTTGTGTTTTCATTCTCTCAACAGTGACTTTTGCAGCATTCATAGGGATTTTAAGTTTTCTTCTCAAAGTTTTATAAACCACTATATTTAAAATTTTAATTTAAAAACTATAAACCTATTATAGTTTTTAAATTAAACTGTAAACCTCTTATATAGATTTTCTGTTTAAACTTATGATTCCTTTTAAGTTAATTATTATGTAAGTTGTGAGGGTTGGGTCAAGGCATTCCTTTGCTTAAAATCCCCAGCTTTTCATTTCTCTCAGACAGAAGTCTTGACCTGCAGGGTCAGGCTCCCCTGCTCTCTGAGCTCGCCCTCCCCACGCAGCGCTAGCCCCTGGACTATTCTCACCACTCAGGCCTTGGCCTCCATACCCGCTTGGCACCCACCAAAGGGTCGGGGGACCCCTCCACAAGGCAGCGTTCTGTCTGTGAGGTGAAGCGGGAGCAGAGGGCCAGGCAGAGCCAGGCTGGGACCCAATCTCTGCTTCAGGCTGGTCTTTTTTTTTTTTTTTTTTTGAGACGGAGTCTCGCTGTCGCCCAGGCTGGAGTGCAGTGGCGCGATCTCGGCTCACTGCAAGCACCGCCTCCCGGGTTCACGCCATTCTCCTGCCTCAGCCTCGCGCGTAGCTGGGACTACAGGTGCCTGCCACCATGCCTGGCTAATTTTTTGTATTTTTAGTAGAGACGGGGTTTCACCGTGTTAGCCAGGATGGTCTTGATGTCCTGACCTTGTGATCTGCCCGCCTCGGCCTCCCAAAGTGCTGGGATTACAGGCGTGAGCCACCGCACCTGGCCAGGCTGGTCTTTTTTGCCAGAGTTAGTGTTGTATTGAGGGACATGGAGGGAGAAAAGGGGGTCAGTTAGGGGCAAGTTTACTTGTGCAGGTAACCAGGGTGAGGGCTCGAGGGGAGAGGAGAGATAAGGAGGGCAGAGCTCAGCCAAGTTGGCCTGATGACATGACCAGAATGTGATCACTAGATCCCCTGCCTGGAGGCCCAAGTGTGGCCCCAGGTCTGGATAGTTGCAGCCACTGTGGGGAAGCTTCAGTTTGGGAGCCACAGAAACCAAGAATATTGTCTGGGAAGCTGATGTGCAGAGAGGAGAATGGAGCGGATGGAGGTGCGGTGGGGGAGAGAGACAAAGAGACAGAGAGGAGAGTAAAAGCCTGTTGCTGGCTCCACTATGTTGGGCTTGTCAGCCCAGCTTCTTCTTGTCCCATCCATAAAATGGGCTGGTGTCGCCCATCCTGGTTAGGAGGCACAAGGAAGTATTGCGCTGTGTGCTCGGCCCAGCTGACTCAGCAGCTCTCCAACCTTGGGGACTCTCCAGACAGGTGTGTGCAGGTGAGGTGCTGGACCAAGGAAGGGCAGGTGGAGGACATGGCCGAGGGGAGCTCTGTGAGCTGAGCTGCCTGCTTCGAGGGTGCCCTTGAGGCCCAGGACTGACCCCTGGAGGGAGAGGCTTCCTTCCTTCTGTTGGGGCTCAGAAAACAACGCCCCAAAATGAAGTCCTCAGCAGCAGCCTCAGAAGCAAAAGTTGTCTCTGACCTTCTCCTGCCCTCCTGTCTCTCAGTCTCATTCTCCCCGAAGGCGCTGTAGAAACCAGACTCTCTTTTTCCCCAAGGCCGGTCACAGAAATCAGAACCCCTTCTCCCCAAAGCTGGTCAGAAAACCTAAAAATATTACTCAGTGTTCCGTCTACCTTTCTATATAAGAGCTGACTAGAGAGAAATGATCCAATATCCCTTGTTTGACTGTAGGTCATGAGACTGTCATTCCAGAGAGGGCCCTGCCCCACGTCCAGAGAAGAAAATGCTCAGAGACGAAGACAAATCTAGACAGACCTTGCTGGGTTCCCACTCAGTCTATTCACATTAGATCAAGCCCTTTGTGTCCAATCCTTTTTTTAGAGGACTGTTCATACGTTATTAAACCTAAACATAAAAATGGACAATTTCCCCCATCGTTGGGTCTTCGTTCTAAAGGTTCTTATATGTACACATCACATAAATTTGCATACCGTTTCTCCTATTAATCCATCTGTCTCATGTCAGTGACTTCTCAGCAAACCTTTAGGGGCCAAGGGGCCCCACACTCTCCAGCGGCAGGCACAATGGGCCTGGGGTGCAGTTGTGGACACTCGGACCCTCCTTGGAGCTGGTTTAGCTGTGCTGTGTGCTTGTGGGAATGGATTGCCATGATTTCTGGGCTCTAATAAATTGTGCTTCAATCGACTCTTGAGGAGTTAATGAGAGGCCTCACTTCAGACCATAAACACCCTCCCTGTGTGGGATAGAAACACACATCGTCACAGCCAGGAGGTCAGTCGGGTGAGGGTCTGCTTTGCTTACAAGGTCCAGAAACCCAGCAGAAAACCCTCGAGGCCACATCAGTGAAGAGTAACTTATTTCAGCAACATTTCCATGTGTGACACAAGACACACATTTCCTGCATCCACCTTTAAAGTCAAGAAGTTGAAGCTGAATAAAGCCAGCAGGCAGCGAAAATCACCTGCACTCAGTTCAGTTGTGGCAGGAAAGGGAAAGAGCCATGAAGAAAGGAGAGGGGGATGGAGAGGGAGAAAGGAGAGGGGGATGGAGAGGAGAAAGGAGAGGGGGATGGAGAGGGAGAAAGGAGAGGGGGATAGAGAGGAGAAAGGAGAGGGGGCTAGAGAGGAGAAAGGAGAGGGAGATGGAGAGGGAGAAAGGAGAGGGGGATGGAGAGGAGAAAGAAGAGGGGGTGGAGAGGAGAAAGGAGAGGGAGATGGAGAGGGGGATGGAGAGGGGGATGGAGAGGAGAAAGGAGACGGGGATGGAGGGGGGATGGAGAGAAGAAAGGAGAGGAGGGTGGAGAGCGACAGCTGCAGAGGGAGGCAGGGAGGCTGGCTGGGCGTGGACAGCTGCAGAGGGAGGCAGGGGAGGCCGGCTGGGCATGGACGCTGCAGAGGGGACACAGCCACTCTGGGAACAGCAGCCAGTGGCGGATCTGCCTGGAATGCTGTTCCCTCCTGTCCAGGATGGGCCTGTCTCTGCAGACAGGGGCCCTCCCCTTCCTGGCCTGGCTGTGCACTCCCCATGTGCATGGTGGAAGCTCTGCAGAGGCCGTTCTGCTCCAGAGTGGGGCATAGCCTCGGGCGAGGTTCACAGCTTGGGGGGCTGGTCCTGCCCTGTCCCACATGTGGCTGTGTGGGCAGCATGGATCTTCTTCCGCGGTGACCCTGTATGCCCACCCCCCCCAACTTATGCCTGCTTCCCAAGGCCATGGGCCTCACCCTCAGACTTCACTTTTGTGTATATGGAAAGACACAATTATCGGGACAGAAACAGATCAGTATTTGCCAGTGGGTGAGTGAGGGGAGAGGAGTTTACTACCGAGGGGCCGAACTGGGGCCATTTTTGAGGGATGAAAGTCTTCTGTGTGGCTCTACAGAGCTGGGTACGTGATGCTGTGTTTGTCAAACCCCACAGGACTGGACCTCACTGTGGGAACAACAAGATCAACAAGAGGAGCAAGAACAACATCAAGAGTCAGGGCCCGGGGGTCCTGACGGGTACAGGATGGGTACAGACCCACACAGGAATCCCAGAGTGTGTTCCACAGCAGGACACGCCTGCGCTGAAAGAGTGGGCAGAAAGGAGCTGACCTGGGTAAGTCCAAAAACAGTGTTTTGATTAGATTCTGGAAAGAATCAAATAACTCTGCATATCTAAGCACTAAACTCCAATTGGTAAAATTGTTTCCCACAGCAATACATGTTAGCAACTTTGAAACTACTTTTATATATACTAAGGTTTCACAAATAAGTCAATACAGTAGTAAGAGTCAGGGTTCTCACAGCTGGATAAGGAAGTCATGGAAAAGCCAGCGGGGACCCTGAGGTCCATATATAATATATATTATACATATATACAGATCAGAATGGACCCTAAGGTGGTCGGTTATAGACAGATATGCCAGCAGGAACTCATGTTTACATGATACATATATACAGATCAGAATGGACCCTGAGGACCATATATAATATATATTATACATATATACAGATCAGAATGGACCCTAAGGTGGTCGGTTATAGACAGATATGCCAGCAGGAACTCATGTTTACATGATACATATATACAGATCAGAATGGACCCTGAGGTCCATATATAATATATATTATACATATATGCAGATCAGAATGGACCCTGAGGTCCATATATAATATATATTATACATATATACAGATCAGAATGGACCCTGAGGTGGTCAGTTATAGTCAGATATGCCAGCAGGAACTCGTGTTTACATGATACATATATACAGATCAGAATGGACCCTGAGGTGGTCGGTTACAGTCAGATATGCCAGCAGGAACTCGTGTTTACATGATACTTATATACAGATCGGAATGGACCCTGAGGTGGTCAGTTATAGTCAGATATGCCAGTAGGAACTCGTGTTTACATGATACATACATACAGATCAGAATGGACCCTGAGGTGGTCAGTTATAGTCAGATATGCCAGTAGGAACTCATGTTTACATGATACATATATACAGATCAGAATGGACCCTGAGGTGGTCGGTTATAGTCAGATATGCCAGCAGGAACTCGTGTTTACATGATACATATATACAGATCAGAATGGACCCTGAGGTGGTCGGTTACAGTCAGATATGCCAGCAGGAACTCGTGTTTACATGATACTTATATACAGATCGGAATGAACCCTGAGGTGGTCAGTTATAGTCAGATATGCCAGTAGGAAATCATGTTTACATGATACATATATACAGATCAGAATGGACCCTGAGGTGGTTGGTTACAGTCAGATATGCCAGTAGGAAGTCGTGTTTACATGATACATATATACAGATCAGAATGGACCCTGAGGTGGTCAGTTATAGTCAGATATGCCAGCAGGAACTCATGTTTACATAATACATATATACAGATAGGTTAAATATATACACACACACGTGCGTGTGCATACATGGCTTAGCACACACATCTGTAGATCCTGGGTTTGTCCTTTGAGAGGGGACACCCCAGTAGCAGCAAGCACATTCCATGCCCAGATGTTAGTTTCTAAATTTCATCTTCAATAAAAGGAGCCAAGTCTCCCTGGAGAAATGGCTGATAATTGGGATGTGGGAGAGAAAATACAAGATGAACCTGGAGCATCTTGTAGTCCCAGGAAGTAAGAAAATGCTCAAAAATAAAATTTTTAAAAAGCTGTGGGCATTTCAAAAGGGCATGGAACCCAAAATGTAAGAGCTCCCAGTGGCCACAGCTACAATGATTTGAGTGCACACACACTCACACAGACATACACACACACACACACAAATCGGATTATGCCCCAAAGAATAAAATGAATGTCCATGGATTCGTAAGCATATAAATAAATTATTGAATAAATTAAAACTGAAAGGGTAGCTGGGCGAGGTGGCGAGCGCCTGTAGTCCCAGCTACTCGGGAGGCTGAGGCAGGAGAATGGTGTGAGCCCGGGAGGTGGAGCTTGCAGTGAGCCAAGATCACGCCAATGCACTCCAGCTGGGGTGACAGAGCAAGACTCTGTCTCAAAAACAAAACAAAACAAAACAAAACAAAACAAAACAAAAAACTGAAAGGGACAGGCCTTTCTTGGAACAAATTCCAAACAAGAAATGTGGAGTAAATAGGGAAAATCACCATCAGGCTGGGCACAGTGGCTCGTGCCTGTAATCTCAACACTTCGGGAGGCTGAGGCAGGTGGATCACCTGAGGTCAGGAGTTCGAGACCAGCCTAGCCAACATTGTGAAACCCTGTCTCTACAAAAAAATACAAAATTAGCTGGGCCTGGTGACACATGCCTGTAATCTCAGCTACTTGGGAGGCTGAGGCAGGAGAATCGCTTGAACCCGGGAGGTTGCAGTGAGCTGAGATTGTGCCACTGCACTCCAGCCTGGGCAATAAGAGCAAAACTCTGTCTCAAAAAAAAGAAAGAAAGAAAGAAAAGAAAAGAAAAAAAAGAAAATCACCATCAGTGCTGCAGGCAAGCTCCCCTGAGGAATGCTAAAATTCCTGTGCAAAGTTTAAGGAGAAAGAAGATATTTGTATACTGTCAAAGTGTCTCCCCTAAATGTTCAGTAATTACCGCGGTGCCCAAATTCTTTGATGCTCCTTCCTGTAGGAGTTGGAGCTCATGCTGGACTTCATGACTCACTCTTAACCAGCAGGACATGGAGAGGAAAACAGTCACTCTCCCGTGGGGAGACCTGGCAGGCCTCACCTTGGCCGTGTGATCAAGGTCCAGACCACCAGTGATGAGGCATGTTGACATCGTGGCCCCTGAGAGCACGTGATGAGAAGAGCGCCGCCCCCCCCGCCGTGTTCTTCCGCAAACGCACAGTTCCAATGTAATCAGAGAGAACATCACACAAACACCAATTGAGGGGCATCTTGCAAAGTACCTGAGCAGTACTCTGCAAAGCTGTCAAGGCGGTGAAGCGAAGACAGGCCAGGAAAGGGTCACAGGTGCAGGGGACTAAGGAGGCGTGAGGGCCAGTGCAGCCTGGGGTCCTGGACGTGAGCTGCTGAGACGGCACCCGCGTGAGTGTCGCAGTTTCCACACCGTGAGCTGCTGAGACGGCACCCGCGTGAGTGTCGCAGTTTCCACACCGTGAGCTGCTGAGACGGCACCCGCGTGAGTGTCGCAGTTTCCACACCGTGAGCTGCTGAGACGGCACCCGCGTGAGTGTCGCAGTTTCCACACCGTGAGCTGCTGAGACGGCACCCGCGTGAGTGTCGCAGTTTCCACACCGTGAGCTGCTGAGACGGCACCCGCGTGAGTGTCGCAGTTTCCACACCGTGAGCTGCTGAGACGGCACCCGCGTGAGTGTCGCAGTTTCCACACCGTGAGCTGCTGAGACGGCACCCGCGTGAGTGTCGCAGTTTCCACACCGTGAGCTGCTGAGACGGCACCCGCGTGAGTGTCGCAGTTTCCACACCGTGAGCTGCTGAGACGGCACCCGCGTGAGTGTCGCAGTTTCCACACCGTGAGCTGCTGAGACGGCACCCGCGTGAGTGTCGCAGTTTCCACACCGTGAGCTGCTGAGACGGCACCCGCGTGAGTGTCGCAGTTTCCACACCGTGAGCTGCTGAGACGGCACCCGCGTGAGTGTCGCAGTTTCCACACCGTGAGCTGCTGAGACGGCACCCGCGTGAGTGTCGCAGTTTCCACACCGTGAGCTGCTGAGACGGCACCCGCGTG
Organism: Homo sapiens; assembly: GCF_000001405.40. Lineage (NCBI taxonomy): Eukaryota > Metazoa > Chordata > Mammalia > Primates > Hominidae > Homo > Homo sapiens. Next base: position 82,808 of record NC_000008.11, on the reverse strand, counting down.
AGTGTCGCAGTTTCCACACCGTGAGCTGCTGAGACGGCACCCGCGTGAGTGTCGCAGTTTCCACACCGTGAGCTGCTGAGACGGCACCCGCGTGAGTGTCGCAGTTTCCACACCGTGAGCTGCTGAGACGGCACCCGCGTGAGTGTCGCAGTTTCCACACCGTGAGCTGCTGAGACGGCACCCGCGTGAGTGTCGCAGTTTCCACACCGTGAGCTGCTGAGACGGCACCCGTGTGAGTGTCGCAGTTTCCACACCGTGAGCTGCTGAGATGGCACCCGTGTGAGTGTCGCAGTTTCCACACCGTGAGCTGCTGAGATGGCACCCGTGTGAGTGTCGCAGTTTCCACACCGTGAGCTGCTGAGATGGCACCCGTGTGAGTGTCGCAGTTTCCACACCGTGAGCTGCTGAGATGGCACCCATGGGAGTGTCGCAGTTTCCACACGTGCCTCATTGCTGTGTAAGATGCTCAAGTGAGAGGAAGCTGGTGAACGGGTCTGTGGGAAGTTGCAGTACTGTCTTTGCAACTCTTCTGGACATCTTTTTTTTTTTTTTTAAATAAAACATTTTTAACATGAAAATATGCAGAGCACGGTGGCTCGCACCTGTAATCCCAGCACTTTGGGAGGCCGAGGCAGGTGGATCATGAGGTCAGGAGTTCAAGACCAGCCTAGCCAACATGGTGAAACCCCGTCTCTACTAAGAATACAAAAATTAGCTGGGCGTGGTGATGGGCATCTGTAATCCCAGCTACTCGGGAGGCTGAGGCAGGAGAATCACTTGAACCCGGGAGGCAGAGGTTGCAGTGAGCCGAGATCGCACCCCTGCACTCCAGCCTGGGTGACAGAGCAAGACTCCATCTCAAAAAAAATAAAGGAAATATGCGTCGTTGGATGCTGTATGACAATCAAGCTACTTATAACAAACAAAATTGAGAATGAAGGTAAATTAAAAATAATTTATAGTCTTTAAAAAGCAGGAACTACAAAATTTACATTTCTGAAAATGGCAGAAAAATCCCACATGGCTGTATATGTATGTGTGAGATTGTATGTGAATGAGCGCATGCATATATTTTTGTGTGTTTGGATTATATGTGTGACGGTGTGCATGAGTGTGTATATGATTTGGGGGTATGTGTGAGTGTGTATGACTGTGTGTATGAGTGTGTATGATTTGTGTGTGTGAGTGTGTACATGTATACACTAGTGTGCGTATGATTTGGGGGTATGAATGTGAATGTGTACATATGTATTTATGATCTGAGTGTGTATGAGTGTGAATGTGAACATGTGTGTGTGAGTGGGTATATGATTTGGGTGTGTGCAAGTATGAATATGTATTGTGTGCATTAATGTGTATATTATTTTGGGCTGTGTATGAGTGTGAATGTGAACATGTGTGCACGAGTGTATATATGATCTGGGTGTGTATGAGTGAGCATGAGTGTGAACATGTGTGCATGAATGTATGATTTGGGTGTGTATGAGTGTGAATGTGTGCACGAGTGTACAATCGGTGTGTATGAGTGAGCATGAATGTGAACATGTGCGCACGAGTGTATATATGATCTGGGTGTGTAGGAGTGAGCATGAATGTGTATGCACAAGTGTGTATATGTGTGTATGATCTGGGTGTGTAGGAGTGTGAATACGAACACGTATGCGCAAGTATGTATATGATCTGTGTATGTATAAGTGAGTGTGAATGTGTGCATAAGTGTGTATGATCTGGGTATGAGTGATTGTGAATGTGAGCATGTGTGCACGAGTGTGTATATGATCTGGGTGTGTGGGAGTGAGCATGAATGTGTATGCACAAGTGTGTGTATGTGTGTATGATCTGGGTGTGTAGGAGTGTGAATATGAACACGTGTGCACAAATGTGTATATGATCCGAGTATGTAGGAGTGAGTGTGAATGTGAACATGTTTGCACGTGTGTATATGATATGGGTGCATGTGTGGGTGTGTTTGTGCAGGTGCACTGGGAGCTTTCAGCATTGAGTCTGTGTGGCATCCAGGCTTTTCTGGATGATGTAGAATCAAACCCCATAATTAATTCCAGTAACTTAGAAATTTTCACTTATGAATACTAAATTCTCCTCACCTAGCAACTGACTGAGCAGGTTGAACAGCACCCTTCGCCGTTCTCCTGCAGAACCCCGTGGAATGGGCCCTGCTTTCTCAGAGTGCTCCTAGCGGTGATGAGGGAGCCCAGCTCATTGCGGTTCGTGCAGAAGGCTGTGTGCCATCTCCGGGACTGCACGGAAAGGCGGAGGCTCAGGCGTGGGATCTGAGCTCAGTGGGCCCTTTAAGGACCGCTGCCTCCTTTCCTCCCTTTGGCACTCAGCATCGACTTACGATGGCTCCCAGTCACAGTCCTTGTCACTGCCTGGCATTACACAGGGCCACAGTCCCTTAACTGAAACACTTGGGACCAGTTGCATTTTGGAATTCGGAATGTTTCTTGATTTCAGAGAGAGAAGAGGGGATGGACTGTTGGGCAGCCCTGATTAACCCTGCAGCGTCTTGGCTCTAGAGGGGCCTACACGGCTGGGAGCGTCTCGGCTCTAGAGAGGGGCCTGCACTGCCGGGAGCATCTCGGCTCTAGAGAGGGGTCTGCACTGCTGGGAAGCCTACACAGCTGGGAGCGTCTCGGCTCTAGAGCCACAGCTGATGCATGGCAACGATGAGCTCTCCTGCTTAGTGCTGATGTGCCTCAGCCCCTAACCCCACTGGTGTCCAGATGAGGACCTTGAGGCTCAGAGAAGCTAGGTCAAGGTGAACACCAGTGTTGAGTTTCAGCCCCAGGTCTACCTGATGCTGCCTCCACATTGACTGAGTTGGCCTGGTCCATTGTGAGGGCAGGTAGAGCCAGGGCCGAGGTGGGGATGCCAAGGTCCCATGCCGCAAAGATGGGTGGGACGGCACAGGAGCCAGTCATCATCCCCAAAGACACAGCTCCAAATACCTCATCCTGAAATCCCAAAGATCAAAATCCCAAAAGTATAAATCTGGAAAAAATAATGTCGATGTTATTTATTTACATTTTTAAAAGGTATGTATTTGAGAAACATAAAAACACAACAGAACATTTCATAGGCCACTTTACACAATAAAATAGGCAACGATAACAGGTATTTTTGCATAAACACTGAGGTAACTAATGACGGTAGCATGGGTGTAGCAGTTATAAGAAGACAGACCATAAAGAAATAAGTCAAAAGAGAAACGTGTACACGTATATCACTACGGTTACTAATTGTGTGCACCTAGCCCTATAGCTGTGGTCATCTGAAATATCAGGGATTTTAGACTTGAGGGATTTTGATCTTTAGGGATTTCAACATTCCACATTATGGTGCTTGGGATTGTGTCTTTCAGGATTATGATCCAAACTCAGCTGGGCCTCCCCTACCTGCCCCAGGATTGTGGAGTGAGAACGTTGCAGCAGGGGAGAACAACGCAGCAAAGCACAGCAGGGGAACCGGAAATGCTCACCCTTTGACAGGGTACTTTTAGTTCTGGGGCCTTATCTTAAGGATATTCCAACATATACAAAAAGATTCATGCACAGAGATATTTACTTTAGTATTATTTACCATAGGAAAAAAGTTGGAAACAATACATTTTATGTTCTGTAAAATGAAAGAACAGTTAAATAAATCATGGCTCTAAGACGACTCCAGGGCTGTGTACGGAAGTTCAGGGACTGAATCAGTTGAGGCTGTTCCACCTGAGCCTAAGGTTCCTCTGCTGTATGTCGGGAATCAGGTGGGGGCCAAGCGAGATCACCACAGTGCAGGCCAGTGTGCAGGGCACAGGTGGGCGCCAGGGAGGGGACGCCGCACAGCCCCATGCTCTCGCCAAAAACGTGCAGCACAATTTGGAAGAAAACATTTCCATCTGTTAATAAAGAGCAACGGCCTCTGGTCATAAGTGACACATGACCCTTTGCCTGAGTCTTTTTAAATTTTTCCATATGTTCCATATTTTCTACACCAAATGTAAGCTACTTTCATAATCACAAAAACTTAATGGAAAGAGGAGGAGGAGGACGGGGGTGGGGAGTAGTAGCCATGGGTTCGAGCCCTTCCTCTCCGCATGACTTGGATAACACGGTATATTCACACAGCTATTTCCCCATCTATGAACTTCTGAGGTGCTTTTATTAGTTGATGTCTGGGACCCCTAGGAGCTCTCTTTATACCTCATGATATCAAATGCCCACCTTTCCAGCTCCTCTTGGCCTCCTGCCCTTCCTGGAGGGAGATGCGCTCCCTGGAGCTGCTGACTAGGTGGAAGCAGACTGGCTCCTTCAGTGGGTAGGCCAGCCTGCCTGTCTCCCTAGCCCAGTCCCACCGTGCTGGCCTCAGTGGTGGAGGCAGGCGTGGAGCCTTGGAGGAACCACTCCTCCCCAGCCGCCACCAACATTTGTGGCACTGAGAAGCACCCGTGCTATTCCGGACAGGGATGGGGTTGGACACCCATGCATAGGGGACCCTACACCCCCAGGCTTGGCTCTGGGCTAAACAGCAGGTGTGGATGTGGGCCTAGGCCTCAGAGAAGCCATCAGCTAGGGCAGAATTCCCATGTGGGCAGGATGTTATTTAGGAATTCCAGGGCTTTCTGTATTCCAGATTTCCTGTATTGTGCATATGTGCGTGCACGTATGTGCCCTCAGCCATGATGTAAAGTGTTTTTCTGGCTGGGGTTGCATCACACAGTTTGGAAGCCACTGCTCTGCAGATTCTGAGGACCACCTCCCTTATTTCTCACCAAATTCCCATTTCTTCTGTTTTTGTTCCACCCAATGCAAAAAGCATACTGCCTTCTCTTCTGCATTGGTGGGCAGCGGGTCCTGCAGCTCAGGTTTCTCCAGCGAGGGCCCTGAACGTGAGCCTGGTGGCGTGAGCAGGGGGCTGACTCCATGTGGGCCAAAGGCAACCTATCCAGCTCTTCAGAATGGCTTTTCTCTCCTCCCTATAAAACATATTTTCTCTCCTCCCTATAAAGCATATTTTTGTATTAGGGTGTTTGTTAAAATGAAAACATGAGATCGTTGATGCATAACGAGAAGCCGTGCCATTACTTCCCAGGCCCTGTGCAAGGTGCAAATTGGCGTGTTAGTGGCTGTTTGCATCTTTTCAGTTCCTTTCATCTTTTCTCCTTATCCTGCCCTTTATATGGTTTCTGCTTTAAGTCAAACATTGTGAGTGGATTGATGGACATATGTGTGTGTGAGCGTGTGTGCACAGATGCATGAGAACTGCAGAGAGAGATGGGAGGTAACCAGGGGGATCACTGTTCTCTTCTTCCCAAACATTAGCGTTAGGCTGTTCCGCTTCTGTTCTTGAGAGGGCACCCACCTTACTGCTTGGGAGCCTGGAAATGGCCCCACTGAAGCAGCTCTGAGGCCCTGGGCACCCTTTTCCTGGTTGTGGCCAGCTGAGTTGTGCATGGTCCTCCCCGTGGGATGTGCTTGGAGCATCTGCTGGTAGCAGAGCCTCAGTTCCTTTCCTGCGTTCTTTCGCTACAGGTGTTAGACCTCCTGCCCACCTGTGACCTGTTTACTGCCAGGGATAGACCTGTGGCCAGTGTGGAAAGCGAGATGCTTTGTCCATACAGCCTGCGGGGCTCAGCCTTCCCGGGGTTGCCCACAGCTAGGCTGGGCCAGGACCCCCAAGCCTGGGAACTTACACCTTTCTCACCTGCTTTCCTAAAGGTGGTTTTCCTTTGTGATCTCTCTCCCTGAACGGCTAAACCACACTCTGAATAGAAAACTGTCTTGAAAACTGCTTTGCACGTACATCTGATAAGGTCCTCTGGAGGGCGACCTCCACTGTCTAGTGGGCGAGGATTGTTCAGCCGCCTTGGCTGAGTCACCGAGCTGCCAAGGGCAGACTGTACCCTGGGCTCACCAGCATGCAAAGATATTTTATTCATTTATTTATTCCATAAATATATATTTATATTATTTATATTTAGAGCCAGTGTATCTCTCTGTTGCTCAGGCTGGAGTGCAGTGGCACTATCTCACTGCAGCCTCAAGCTCCCGGGCTCAAGGAATCCTCCTACTTTGTCCTCCCAAACAAAAATATTTTTAAGGAGCCCACTAGGAGAGTGCTGAGTTTAAAATCTAAGTTCTTGTTTCTTTTTTCTTTTTCACTGATGCATAATAGATGTACATAGTTTCAGGGTACATGTGATAGTTTAATGCATTCATATAATTGTGAAAATCAAATCAGCCTACTTGGAATATCTATCGCCTTAAATATTTGTTTTTGCTTTATGCTAGAACCGTTCCGATTCTTCTCTTCTAGCCATTTTGAAATATACAGTAGGCAATTGCCAACTATGATCTATGTAACACTAGGTCTTATTCCTTCTATCAAACCACGTATTTGTACCCTTCAATCAACTTCTCTTTCTCCCCCTCTCCCCGCTACATTTCCCCACCTCTGGTAACCACGCGTCTACCCTCTGTCTTCACGAGAGCTACTTTTTTAGTAGGTGGGAGAGAACATTCAATGTTTGTCTTTCTGTGCTTGGCTTATTTCACTTAACATAATGATCCCTAGTTCCATCTTGTACAAATAACAGGCTGTCGTTCCTCTGTATGGCTGAATAATATTCCACTGTGTATACACACCACGTTCTGTTTATCCATCATCCGCTGATGAACTCAGAGGCTGATTCCGTATTTTGGCGATTGTGAGTAGTCCCGCAGTAAACATGAGAGTGCAGATGTCTTTACGATATATTGATGTTGTTTCTTTTGACTATAGGCCCAGTTAGTGAAATTACTGGATCATACAGCAGTTTTACTTTTAGGTGTTTTTTTTTTGTTTGTTTGTTTTTTGAGATGGAGTCTTGCTCTGTCACTAGGCTGGTGTGCAGTGGTGTGATCTTGGCTCACTGCAACCTCTGCCTCCCGGGTTCCTGTGTTTAAGCGATTCCCCTGCCTCAGCCTCCCGAGTAGCTGGGATTTATAGGTGCGCACCACCATGCCCAGCTAATTTTTTGTATTTTAGTAGAGACGGGATTTCACCATGTTGGCCAGGATGGTCTCGATCTCCTGACCTTGTGATCCGCCCGCCTCCACCTCCCAAAGTGCTGGGATTACAGGTGTGAGACACCGCGCCCGGCCAACTTTTATTTATTTATTTATTTTTTTAAGGAGGAGTCTTGCTCTGTCACCCAGGCTGGAGTGCAATGGTGCGCTCTCCGCTCACCGCAATCTCCACCTCCTGTGTTCCAGTGATTCTCCTGCCTCAGTCTCCCAAGTAGCTGGGATTACAGGGTCGCACCACCACGCCTGGCTAATTTTTTATATTTTTAGTAGAGATGGGGTTTCATCATGTTGGCCAGGCTGGTCTCAAACTCCTGACCTTGTGATCCCCCTGCTTTGGCCTCCCAAAGTGCTGGGACCACAGGCGTGAGCCACCGTGCCCGGCCCCTTTTGGTTTTTTGAGGAGCCTCCATCTGTTTTCCATAGTGGTTGTACTAATCAACGTTCCCACAACAGTGTGTGAGGGTCCCCCTTTCTCCACATCCTCGCCAGCATCCCTTATTCCCTGCGTTTTTGACGAAAGCCATTTTAACTGAGGTGAGAGAAGACCTCATTGCAGTTTTTTATTTGCGTTTCTCTGATGATTAGTGATGTTGAGCATTTTTTCATGTACCTGCTGGCCATTTGTACATCTTCTTTTGAGAAATGTCTACTCAGGTCTCTTGCCCATTTTAAAATTCGATTAATTGTTTGCTATTGTTTGAGCTCCTGGTTATGAATCCCTTGTCAGGTGGGTAGCTTGCAAGTATTTTCTCCCATTCTGTGGGTTGTCTCTTCAGTTTGTTGACTTTTTCCTTTGGTCTGCAGAGGGTTCTTAGCTTGGTGTGATTTCACTTGTCTGTTTTTGCTTTGGTTGCCTGTGCTTTTGGGGCCCTACTGAAAAAGTCTTTGCTGAGAACAATGTCCTGGAGCACTTCCCTAATGTTTTCTTCCAGTAGTTTTATACTTTCAGGTCTCAGTTTTACCTTTAATCCATTCTGATTTGATTTCTGTGTATGGTAAGAGAGACGGGTCTAGTTTCATTCTTCTGCATATCTTTATCTAGTTTCCCCTGCACCACTTATGGAAGAGACTGTCCTTTCGCTCGTATGTTGTTGGTGCCTTTGCTGAAGATGAGCTGGCTGTAAATGTGTGGATTTATATCTGGGTTCTCTATTCTGTTCCACTGGTCTATGTGTCTGTTTTACGTGATTACCAGGCTGATTACCAGGCTGATAGGTTGGCTCATGCCTGTAATCCCAGTACCTTTGGAGGCCCAGGTGGGAGGATCACTTGAAGCCAGGACTTCAAAACCAGCCTGGGCAACAAAGCAGGACCCCATCTCTACAATGTTTTAAAAAATTATTTGGTGCAGTGGCATACACCTGTAGTCCCAACTACGCAGGAGGCTGAGGTGGGAGGATCCTTTGAGCCTAGGAGTTTGAGGCTGCTCTGAGCTGTGATTGTGCTACTGCACTCCAGCCTGGTTGACAGAGCAAGGCCCTGTCTCTTAAAAAAAAAAAAAACTATTGCAAGAGGAGAGAGAGAGACTGAATTCAACTCTCAATACAACAGAGACAAGTGGGGATAGCCAATGAGCAGGGTGAGGGAGGTGATGAAAAGTTGTTGAAAGGAGCTTGGTTAGTTAGCAAGGGTGGGGAAGATTCTCACTAAGGACCTTAGCAGCATTCCTTGCTAGCACTGAGCTCAGCAGGCCAAGGATGAGGCTTCATCAAGGAGAAGGCTCAAAGGAGCCTGAGTGGAGTTTGGTCAAGGAGAGCGTCTTTGTCATCCTTGCAATGACTCATTTTATAGGTAATTAAGTAGGGGGTTCAGACAGGTCAAAGACTTACCAAAAAGAGGAAATTGTGTCCATGTGGCTGGTGGCTCACCCCAGGAACTGACAGTGGCTTACTCTCAGAAACTCAGAGTGTGCGTGTCTCTTTGAATCCGTATCTGTGTGTGGGTGGGTGTGTCTGTCTGTGTGCGTGCCTCAGTCTCTTCTGAATTTCTCTCCCAATCCCCGTCTCTCTTTCCTCGGGTCGGTGTTTCCCTCCTGCTGGCCTCTGGCCAGCTATTTCTGGAAGTGTCAGCTGCTCTGTCTTCCTGCCCCTGTCTCCACCATCACGTCTGTGTCTGACTCCCTTTCTTTCCCATACAAAACCCCTAATGCAAGTCCTACTGTTTCTGTAACTGGCCACTGCCTATAACAAATCTTTGCTTAGGTTGTGTTTCTTTGTAGAATAGACTGATGTACTGTGTGCTTGATTTTTACAAGATGAGCACAATACCTTATCTTTCTTCTTTATTAAAAAAAAGGAAAAATCCAAACACAATATCTCGTCATGGACTGTGCCCCGCTCGAGCCTCTCCACATGCAGCCGGAAGGAAAGTGGAGGGAGCTGCTCCTTTCCGTAGCCGGGGTGCCCACCCCAACCAGGCTGCCTCTGCCACCCAAGACAGAGGTTCTCTGATAATAATTTATGGGGATTGTTTCCAGAGACCACACCTGAAGCTGCCAACTCCCCGGAGGGAAGGTCCTGATTAATGGCCGATGAATTTCTCCTTAAGGCCCTGAAACTGCCTACTCAGAACCAAGCCAGTTTTTCCTGCCTGTCCTGTTTGGGCAGGCAGAGGAGGCAGCTAGAAACCCATTATGCAGGGGATGGGGGTAAGTGGAGGAGGGAGGGGTCGGGGGAGGAGTGGGGAGGAGGAGGAGGGAAACAGGAGACCCCAGGCTTTGGCTATGATGGGGTCAGCCTTTCTACACCATTCCGGGATGCTGGTGTCCACCACTGCTGCCTGGGCACGGGGAACAGAGAATCTGCCTGGTGGGAGCAGACAAGAGGTTCGAGGACCAGAGCTCATCCTCTTCGGTGTGTGCCTGGGAGGAGGTGTAGGTGCAGCCAGTGGGGTATGATTAAAAAGAAGGGACGCGAGTTTAGGGGACAGCCGCCCACGTGCACCAGCTCTCCGTGTGCCAAAATCTTGCCTGTCAGGGACCAGGATCCCACTTCACAGTTAGCAAATAGCAGCTCAGGGACATTAAGCAACTCGCCCAGCATCCCACCAGCAGACAGTCTCACCTTCAGGGTCGTCTGTGTCTGTTAAAGTCGAGTCTAGTTTCGGGTCTCAGAGCACCTCCCTAAAGCTGCCGTAAACCAAGAATAAAATTCTAAGCCCCACAGCCGATCGCGTGGACCCCGCCTCTGGGCCAAAGGGATTCCAGAGAAACCTGAAGAACTAGTTCAGGCCGTGATGAGGAGGAGTGGGGGCTGGACAGGCCTCATTGTACCCTCCTCCCTTTGGAATTTGGGCAGAACTGACCAGAACCAACATTAAAACAGAGATCTGAAGACTGACAAGGCTCTCTAGCAATAAGATACCAAATTCCAACCTGACTCCAGTGCAGCATCACATGACAGACAGAGGCCATGAAATCAATATTTTACCTCAAAATATATTTCTTTGACATACTTTGAAATGGCCCTGCCAAGCTGTCTCTTGTGGGGGACATTTACATTCTGTAGAGAATCCCTTCCCTTTCCAGGTCTTTCTCTGATCCTGAAGACATTGGCTGAGAGCCTAGCACCTTCTATGGGTCTGAACAGGAAACATTTGCCATCTATTGTCTCTAAGGGTGGCCACCTATGAAACTTCATCTACATAATAAGAACCTTGGTCTGCACAGTCTCTTATCTTAACCCAGACTCTCCTTTCTATTGATAGCAGGTCTGTAGATAATAATTCTTTCAACCAATTGAGAATCAGAAAATCTTTGAATCTATCTATGACCTGTAAACCCCATTACTTTGAATTTTCCTCCTTCCAGACCAAACCAATGCACAACTCCTACGTACTGATGGTGGTCTTACGTTTCCCTAAGTTTCTGCCGACTAAACTGTGCACACGTTCTCAGGACCTCCTGAAGCTGCGTCACAGGCGCTGATCAAAGAACACAACCAAGGTGAGTGTCAATCATTTCAAGAAATCTGTTTGCAAGGTTAAGGACACACCTGAGAAAAGAACAGAGAACCACAGGAAAAACTGTGGTCCGTGCTTTTCCCAAAGGTTGTCTGGGGACCTCAGTAAGTAAAGGGGAAAAGTGCGGGTATTGGGGAAAGGGGAAGAAGTGGAAAAAATGGGTGTGGGTAAATCAGAGGCAAATGGTTGCATTCTTCTGTCTTTGGTCAGCGTTCACTGAATACACATTTTGCATGCGATGGAGGTAGAGGCAGGGATGTAGCTTTTTTGTCTTTGTGTAATAGCTATCTTATTTAGGAACCAGATGGGAAGCAGGTTTGCATAAACCAGTTCCCAGCTTGGCTTTTCCCTTTGGCTTAGTGAGTCTGGGGTCCCAGGATTTATTTTCCATTCTCACAGGTTGTGGTCCTCACATTTGGCTCAAAATATTCAAATTTTTTCCAGAGTTTGGCCTTTTCTTCAGCACTGGGAATTGTGATCCAAAGCTTTTCCTGATGAAGCACAAAGTTGGAGAAAAAAAAGCAAACTAAACAACAACAATGAAACAGAACAGAGTTAATCTGCTGTAGCTCAAGAGAGGACGTAGCTGCCCCCACTCCGCATCCCTGGGCTCGGGTTTGCCTTGCTGACCTCTGCTGCCACCTGGTGCCACACAGAGAAACTGAGGAGAAACCACATCAGTCTCCTTCAGCCTCAGCTTCACATCTGTGGGTCAAGTAACCCTTTCAGAAGCTGAATAATGTGGGAAAGCTTTCCTCTCAGGAAAATGCACACATCCAACTTTGAGAAGATGCCCTTGGGGGTGCTTCAAGGATCCTAGATAAAGAACCCCCTTTCCCGAACATCCAAGAACCTAAGTTTTTTTTTTTTTTTTTGAGAAAGTCTCGCTCTCTCTCCCAGTCTGGAGTGCAGTGGCGTGATCTTGGCTCACTGCAAGCTCCACCTCCCAGGTTCACGCCATTCTCCTGCCTCAGCCTCCCGAGTAGCTGGGGCTACAGGCACCTGCCACCAAACCCGGCTAATTTTTTTGTATTTTTAGTAGAGACGGGGTTTCACCGTGTTAGCCAGGATCGTCTTGATCTCCTGACCTTGTGATCCACCCGCCTCGGCCTCCCAAATTGCTGGGATTACAGATGTGAGCCACCGCACCTGGTCCAAGAACCCAAGTTTTAGATCTAGAGTGATGTCAGCATGACATTGATTTCCTGAGGCCCAGGGGCGAAGGAGCTGAGGACAGCAGAGGGGTGAAGGAACTCAGCTACAGACAGCAGCAGCTGATGCACAGGGCTCCCAGCGCCTGAAGTCACCCGGAATTGGGAAGTGCTCAGAAGCTTACAAAGCTGCCTCGAGGTGGGAACATGACATAAATCCAAGAGCAGATCCCTGATCCTATAAAAATGTACTAGATGCAGTGGGGGCATTTTAAATGAGCAGAGAAGGACAGACAGATAAACAGAAGGACAAACAGTATTGGGATTGGGATAAATGCTCAGCTTTTGCCCAAATCTTAGTGACTTAAGCATCACTTATTTGCTCACGATTCTGTGGCTGGACCATTTGGTTTGGCTCACAGGGCAGGGACTGTGCTGGTCTTACCTGAGCAGACCTGCATGTCTGCGGTCAACTGGGTTGGCAGAGACAGAGTGACTGTCTTCCTCCAGGAAGCAGCAGGTTAACTGGTTGGCAGAGACAGAGGGACAGAGGGACTGTCTTCCTCCAGGAAGCAGCAGGTTAACTGGTTGGCAGAGACAGAGGGACAGAGGGACTGTCTTCCTCCAGGAAGCAGCAGGTTAACTGGTTGGCAGAGACAGAGGGACTGAGGGACTGTCTTCCTCCAGGAAGCAGCAGGTTAACTGGTTGGCAGAGACAGAGGGACAGAGGGACTGTCTTCCTCCAGGAAGCAGCAGGTTAACTGGTTGGCAGAGACAGAGGGACTGAGGGACTGTCTTCCTCCAGGAAGCAGCAGGTTAACTGGTTGGCAGAGACAGAGGGACAGAGGGACTGTCTTCCTCCAGGAAGCAGCAGGTTAACTGGTTGGCAGAGACAGAGGGACTGAGGGACTGTCTTCCTCCAGGAAGCAGCAGGTTAACTGGTTGGCAGAGACAGAGGGACTGAGGGACTGTCTCCCCCCAGGAAGCAGCAGGTTGGCTCTGTTTCCTTCGTGGGGCAGCTGGTCTCCAGGGCAGCAAGAGAGACCAAGCCCCAGTGCACATTCTACAGCCTCTGTGCACATCAGACTTGTTAATATCCCATTGGCCAGTGTAAGTCACATGGCCAAGCCCAGATTAAGGAGTGGAAAGATGGAGGCTATCTCCTCCTGGGAGAGGAGGCCAAGGAGGTGGGAGTATTATGTGGCCACTTATGTTTGCAATCTACCATACTTAGCACTTTGAGAAAAGAATTAACTGAGAAACTTGCTTCAAATAGGGCATTCAGTAAAATGAAGCCCCAATTGAAGTAAAATGCATATATAAAAAATGAAACTGTGACCGATTTTAAGGACAGTATTGGCAAATATTTCTGTGCTCTTGGAGGAGAAGACCCTTATTGGCATGACATGTCAGAAACCACAATGAAAGAATTATTTTAACTTGCATTCATAAAAATTAAAATTATTCATTAAAAACATCGTGAATGAAATTAAAAGTCAAAATGTAAGCCAGAAAATTATTTACAATGTATGTGTCAGGAAAAGACAATACCCTTCAAACTTTGAGAGTTTACATCAGAAAGAAAACAGCAAATGACATGATCCAAACTTGATAAAGGACATGAAAAAGAGCCAGCACTTAGTATGTTTTCTGAATGAATAAGTAGCCAACAGCACATGAAAATGCGTGTAATCCATTTGTAAGCAGAGAAATGCAAACTAAAACAGTAAAGTGTCATTTTCATTTCCTGGATTGGCAAAGGGTTTTATGTATTTTACTGATAGTGCTCAATATTAGCAGTAAACAACAAATGGTGAGTAAATATGAGCTTCGGAACCTCAGGGAAATGATCTCCTTATTTCAACCTGTAGATTCCTTCCTACAACCAGTGTCTACAGAGCACCTACTATGTGCCAGGCACAGCCTAAGTCCTGAAGGTGTAGTCTCCACTGAGAAGGTGATATTTGCACAAAGACCTGAAAGACAGGAGTGAACTGTGTGGATAACTGTGGGTACCCCTACAGGCAGAGGAGTAGCAATGTGGGTCCCAAGGTGGGACCACATCAGACATGTTCGAGGACTAGCTGAGGGAGAGAGGTGGGAGGTCAGAGGAGATGGGGGCCGGCTCTGCTGGCCGTCACGAGCACTCTGGGTGCAGAGGGCGAGAGGTGGGAGGTCAGAGGAGATGGGGGCCGGCTTTGCTGGCCAACACGAGCACTCTGGGTGCTGAGGGCGAGAGGTGGGAGGTCAGAGGAGATGGGGGCTGGCTCTGCTGGCCGTCACGAGCACTCTGGGTGCTGAGGGCAAGAGGTGGGGAGGAGGTCAGAGGAGATGGGGGCTGGCTCTGCCGGCCAACACGAGCACTCTGGGTTTTCCTCCAAATGCTATGAGAGTAGAGGAGTAACCTGGTCTGACTTGGGTGTGAGCAGATCTCTCTGGTTGTTGTTCTGGAAAAAACTGAGGTGCCCACGTGAAAGCAGAGATCGGTTAGGAGGCTGCTGCAGCAATTCAGGCAAAAATGGGTGGCGGGCCTCGGGTGTAGTGGAGGAGAAGCGATCGGATTTTGGATATTTGTAGCTCCCCCAATACGATTTCCTGGAGAAGGAGATGACTTCAATCTTCTGGCCTGAGTAGCTGAAAGGATGAAGCTGTCCTTCGTGGAGGTGGGGAATCCACAGAGAAGCGGGTAGGGAGAGAGTATCAGGAGCTCAGTGTTAGCCATGGATGTTCGAGGGGAGGTATTGAGCAGCTGATAGAGACACAGGCCTGTGGTCCCAGGAAAAGGTCTGGGGGTCACTAGCCCATGGATGGAGTCACAGGCTGCATAGACTGCAGGAAAGCGAAGGTGGAGAGAGAAGAGCAGAGTACCAGGATGGACCATTGAGCACCCTGGTGTTGAGAGCAAGTGGCCTCTAGTCAGAGTTGGGTCAGGGCCACTGTGAGTGGGCTGCCCCCAACATGAGTCGGCTGTCTAGGACTAGTTTATCTCTGCTTCTCACTTTACTGGTATTATGGGGCAGCTCCTGCTGTCTTCCAATTTGGTGTTTGTAAAATGAGACATAAAAAGCAGGTGACAAGGATACCAGGAAGTGCACAGGTCTGAGTGGAGTATGGGGCTGTCTCCAGGGGAGAGGTGGCTGTTTGGAGGGAAGGGTGACAATGGATAATCAGGGTCCATGGGCATCCCTGCTTGTTTTGGAGCCATGGACACTCAAATAACGTGATTTTATGAGGCTATTGGAGAAAAAATTGGCCACAGGGCCAAGAGGGCTGGGAGGACCCCAGCTCTCCGACTGGTGTTTGCTTCTCTGCCATCAGGGTCGGGAGGCCATGCCAAGCATTGTGATTTGCAGAGTCCATGAGACAGGAACACTCCCACCACAGTGACCTGCCTCTGCACACAGCCAGAATGTAGCTGACTCCTTTCTTCTCCCACTTGCATGCTTCCAAGCCTTCAAAACATACTCATCTCCATGTTCTGTGAATTAGCAATTTTTAAAAAAATAAAAAAATAAACAAACTCATCTCTGAAGGTCCAGGTGATTTTTATGTTTTACAGAAAGTTTTGTGAAGAGATGACAGAAAGGGTTATATCACATCCACACAGCAATAACTCCTCAAAAGCAACTTTTGGCCGGGTGTGGTGGCTCATGCCTGCAATCCCAGCACTTTCAGGGGCCGAGGCGGGAGGATCGCTTGTGCTTAGGAGTTTGAGACTAGCCTGGGCAACATAGCAAGTCCCTGTCTCTACTTAAAAAAGAAAAAAAAAATGAGCCAGATGTGGTGGCACGCAGCTGTAGTCCCAGCTACATGGAAGACTGAGGTGGTAGGATCACTTGAGCCAGGAGGTTGAGGCTACAGTGAGCCATGATCACACCACTGCACTCCACCCTGGGTGACAGAGTGAGACCCTGTCTCAAACTTTTTTAAAAGGCCAGGCATGGTGGCTCATACCCATAATCCCAGTACTTTGGGAGGCCAAGGTGGGTGGATCACTTGAGCCCAGGAATTTGAGACCAGCCTGGGCAACATGGTGAAACCCCATCTCTACTAAAAGTCAAAAAAATTAGGTAGGTGTGGTGGTATACATTTGTAGTCTTGGCTCCTTGGAAGGCTGATGTGGGAGGATTGCTTAAGCCTAGGAGGTCGAGGCTACAGTGAGCCATGATTGCACCGTTGCATTCCAGCCTGGGCAAGAGTGAAACCCTGTCTCTCTCTGTCTCTGTCTGTCTCTCTCTCTCTCTGTCTCTTTCTCTCTCTCTGTGTCTCTCTCTCTCTCTCTCACACACACACACACACAACTTATAAGCATCTCTTGTTTCTCCTAAAATTACCCTTCTAGCATTAGCTGTCCCATTAAAATTCTAATAGGCTTTTTTGTGGACATCTGCAAATTAATTATAAAATTTATATGGAAATGCAAAGGGCCAAGTAAGGGCCCTTAAAAGGGACAAAAATGGGAGAAATTACTAGATACCATGGCTCACCATAAAAGCTGCCTTGATTAAGACAGTGTGGCAGTGGTCAGCAAACAGTGGTCTGTCCCTGGGCCAACTCTGCCCACCATCTGTTTCTGTATGGCCCATGAAGCAAGAATGATTTTTACATTTTTAAATGGTTGAAAATAATTGATTGGTGGGGACAATGCTGGTGGAGTCTGAAGTTGTCATGCAGTGACTCACTCAAGGTTAGGCAGATTTGGTGATATATGACACAGAGATGCAAAGAAATGCTGTAGCTGACACACACAGGGTGGCTCTGGGAGATGCAGAAGGAGCATGTCACCCAAAATAGAGCCAGATAGACATCTTTAAGGAAGGAGCAAAGGGGCTGCATCTTAAAGAATGAAGAAGGGATTTGTCATGAGAGATGGGGCAGGAAGTTCTTGAGAGGCAGAGGGAGAGCATCAGAATGCTGGGAAGGGAGGAGAGATTCTCACACATCTGGGAAGCTGACAATTCATCAGCATGTCCGGAAGGAAAATAAGGAGGAGGAGCAGAAATAGATGAGGCTGGATATAGAAGCAGGGCTGAAGCTGTGTTGATCGTGGTAAAGAGTTGTGATTCTATCCAGAAGGCAATAGGTAGCATTCTAAACAGAGATCTCTTAAAACAAGAGTCAGCAAATATTTTCTGCAAAGGGCTAAATGTTAAATATTTTAAGTTTTCCAAGCCATATGGTCTCTCTCTTAATGACTCAGGTCTTCCATTATACCATGAAAGTAACCAGAGACGTTATATAACACATGTATTGGCTGTGTCCCATTACAACTTTACTTACAAACGCAGACTGTGTCAGACCTGGTCCATGCATGGTAGTTTGCCACACCCTGTTTTAGAAAGCTCAGGTTTATGATGTGATGGAGAATGCCTACAAGAGCTCTTGTTTTAAATGGTAGAGTGAATATACACTGGAATTCTATCCTGCTTGACCCAAGCTCTTGATAGCGAAAGGTAGAAAAGATAGATAGTAAATAGATAGATAGATGATAGGCAGGTAGATAGATAGATGATAGATAAAGAAAATACATAGCTGTTCCAGAAAACAGAAATGGATAATTTCATGAACCAAAAGCAGAGTAATATACTTTAGAAAGGAAGCAGGCTGGAAGACCCACAGTTGCAAAGCAAATAGAATTTCCAACTGCCTCTTGTAGCCCCTTCCTGGAAGTAGTCACAGCCCAGGGTGTTCAACTTCTTCCTCTGTTTTTTGTTTGTTTGTTGTTTGCTTTTCTGTGGGGTTTTTGTTGTTGTTGTTTGCTTTTTAAAAAAAATCCCTTTCCCTGCTTTTTTGTCACAGCAGCCTTTGTCACTTCAAACACCGCAAGTGTTCTTTAAAAAAAATTATATCAACCTTTCAACTAAAATGCAACATGTCTGAAACTTGGTATCTGGAGAGGTGAGAGGGACAAAGGAGCCGTTGTTACTGCACGTTTTCATTCTCCAAACTTCACCTTGCACACAGTAACAGACAATGCACAAAGCTACTTCCTTATGGACGGAAATTCTGAAATCCTTTTATGCCTGGCCTTTCCATCCTTCAACTTCCCCTCTCCCATGCTGTGAGTGATTGTATTGGACATTTTTGTTTTAATCTCAGTGACAGGGGAACACAGATAGCTCTAATATAGCTGTGACCCAGATGCTTCTGTTTCTAGCATGTATTAATTTTGCAGCAAACATTACATCCATAATTTTTCACTGTCCTTTGAAAATAATTAGGCAATATCTCATCTGAGGTAGGATGTTTCTAGGGGTTGTGTTCTGAGTGAGAAAAACTAATCTGTTCTCTTTCCACTGCATTCTAGGAACAGTAAGAGGACCTTGTGCATGAATAATTTGTTTCCACACTGCAGAGTGGGTAATAAGCAGATTAGTAAAAACAATTCTGCTTCACTTCAATAACAGCCTCCTCCAACTCATTTTTTCTCAACAAACTTATTTTTGCAGCAGAAGAATCCCAGACTTCTTAGAGAACCCAGTGACTTTTTGCACCTTAAATCTGTGAAATCCTCATGCTTTCTTCTGCCGTATCCATCGTTCAAACAAACATGAGGCAAAGCTAGACACATTCCTGAAGGAACCCAAGAAATTCCTCTCTTTCTCTCTCTGGAATGAAATGAATTCTCTAGACCACCAGTTCTAACCTTCAAAAACCAAACCTGTTTGTGAGATCTCCTTCAAATACTACTGTAGACCCCAGTGTTTATTCATTAAATTTTTTAAATATTTGTTTTATTTGGAATCAAAGTATTTGTAATTTTAGTATTTGTATTAATATAAGGGAGAAATGTTTAAATCTGTCTATGCCACATGTGCCTTCGGCTTATTGCCCAATTAATTGTAGCCTCAGGCTAAACTTTGGTTTCTGTCTTTAATTTTTGTCGGAAGAAATATAACTGGTCTCAAAACATCTGCTTTTATTGTAGGGACTCGTGCTGCCATCTCCATTCCTCTCTCTTTTCTTGCAATCTGGGTGGAAGTTCTTTAATATGAACATTTCAACCACCTTCACTCTACCATGTCCACTATCAGCACATTCAAACGTATCCAGCCAAGGGTATCATCTTAGGCCAGGGATTTTTTAGGAATCTATTTTGCTGTGATGCACCTGGTACCCCTTTGACTCACTTTATCACCCCAGGGTTCTTTTCATTTTAGAAGCCCAAGAGGGCAGAAAAAGAAGTAGGTGAGCAATTAAACTCTCCAAGTCAGGAGCGTCTCCCCTTGTGTTAAGCAATGTTGTAGAACATCGTATTTAGCAAGCTCCTAGCAGATGAGCCACGTGGCTGCTGAGCACACACGCCTGCTTGCTGCTGTGAGCTCAGACACCATCATTATGTCTTTTTCACCTCTGGAGGGAATTGTAAGCGCCACTTAATAACCTGTAAATCGTAGAGAGTTAAAGGTGTTTCCCTAAAACACTGATGACAGAATGAAAGGTAAGGAGTGTTAGCCACAGGTCAAAAGTGCAGGAAAGTCTCTCTATGTGGGTTGTTGAAGAAATGCAGGTCTTTTTTCTTTTGGAAGTCTCCCTAGAATGGGGTCAAGGACTCTGCCCATTCTAGGATGAAAAACTGGGATATTAGACACCCTCAGATATTTATCCCAAGCTTTCATTTTGGGCTCTTAATTAGTTCATCCATCACAATCGCAAATGCTAAGCAGGGCAGTTGAATCTGTCTACAGTCCAAATCAGCACCTTCTTTTAAAGTTGAGTTTCTTATTATTCTCACCTGATATACCTTATTTATCCCACACCCACCCCAATAACATATCGTGCTCACTGTTATCTTTAAGAAAACACTTGAATTTAACTCAGCCTGGAGCTCTCTTCACATGTCTTGTCCAGATCCAGTTCGGACTCATTCTTCAGCCGTGCATCAGTCAATGGGGGCTAGGTTAAACTGTGGTGACAAACAACCTCCAAATTTCAGTGGCTCAAAAATCTTCTTCCTCATTTATTTACATTTCATCATGGGTCAGGTGAGAGGTAGCTCTGTGCTGTGTCATCCTAACACAGGAATCCAGACGGAAGGAGGGACGATCAATAAGATCCCCATTGCTATAGAAAAGATAAAAAAGTATGTGGAATAGCACTCTGTTTCTTGGAGATTTCTCCTGAAAAAGTCACATGTTATTTCTTCTCACCTCCATTGGCAAAAAAAAAAAGTCATGTGGCCATGTGAAAATGTAAGTAGGCGGGATGGAACAGTCAGAATGCATTCATAAAATATGAACTGAAAATATCTGGAGAACAGCACCTATGACTACAACGAATGCCAACATGCATCCCTAACAACCCAGTGCTGTCACCCTCCAAACTTTTTATGTCTTGCAAAGTATTAGAACTTCTTATCTGAAGCCATACCACTCAGAGGGAATGCAAAATACATATTGACATCTCCTTTAGGATGTCCTTAGAGAATTCATGGAAAAGAAGTTAAATAATTTAAAAGTGCTTTTGGGTACAGCTATTTAGCACTAGAGGGTAAGATTAGACATAGATTGTAAAGATAATAATAGGGTTAGGGATAGGATTAGGATCTGGGTCAGAGTCAGGGCCAGAAGTATGGTTAGAGGTGGGGTCATGGTCAGGGTCGAGATCAAAGTCAGGGTCAAAGTAAGGGTCAGAATTAGGGACCAGGATAGGGATCAGGATTTAGGTTCAGTGTCAAAGTCTTGGGACAAGGTTAGGGTTAGAATTAGAACCAGAGCTTTGTTCTCCTCAGGACCCACCCGAGGGTGGGTCACCATGGCTTTGGAGTGCCTGGTAGTGTGGCATGTCCACAGTGAAGACCAGAGTTTCATTGTCCTTAAGACTGACCTGGGGAGACGTGGCTGCAGGCCATTGAGGAAGGTGAGGAAAAACTTCCTGTCTGCTCCCCGTGTGCTGAGGAGGGAGCTCTGCCGTGGGCTTTACTTTCACATGTTATATTCCACAAGTCTTGTTTTACAAAAGCATCCCTTCCTTGAGGCTTCGGCTGCTCATCGCTGCTCATCATCATAGCGTGCCATAACATATAGTAAGATTTGGGTTTGTTTCTGGGGAGATATCTTGGTATAGAGAAAGGAGAAATGCTTAGAGCCACCATCAGGACAGTTGGGATGAAAGTTGGGTATAGGCAGAGGCTGGAGGAAACATGTGCATCCCCTGTAAACACTTTTATTCATGTTTTAATTACTCATTTTTCTTACAGTGTTAAATTAGTAAAGATAGTATTGAAAAATTGAAAAGTAGGCATATTAAAATTTGCAACACTATTTAAGCCTAGATATATTATTTGTACCTCATCAACATTTTTTATTTTGTTGAGAAAGTTTAAGGTTAATTGACAGCATATTTCTAATAGTAGATAGAATAACATCCCTTTTATAAACATTGACATCCTACATTACATGTGTGAACCCTGAAAATCAGAGACAGCTCTCAGATTTTTTAGAAAGTTTATTTTGCCAATCTTGAGGATGTGCACCTGTGATTCCTCCTCAGGAGATGCTGACAACATGGGCCCAAGGTGGTCGGGGCACAGCTTGGTTTTATACACTTTAGGGAGACACGAGAGATCAATCAATACGTGTAAGATGTACATTGGTTCAGTCCAGAAAGGTGAGAAGGCCAGACAGGGGGCTTCCAGGTCACAGGTAGGTAAGAGACAAATGGTTTCATTCTTTTGCATTGCTGATTACCCTTTCCACGTGAGGCAATCAGGTATGCATTTATCTAGGTGATCAGACGGGTGTCTTTGGATAGAATGGGAGGCGGGTTTGCCCTAAGCAGTTCCCAGCTTGACTTTTCCCTTTAGCTTAGTGATTTTGAGTCCCCAAGATTTATTTTCCCTTCGTAAGTGTTCCTATGAGTATTAATTATTCATTGTGTCTTTTATTACACAAATAAGGCACAGATTTTTAAGAAATCATCAACTTCATGGCTACCTATATAGACATAATTACATAGAAGCTCAACTAAATTTGCAAACATTCCAGAGTTTGGGTTTCCAATAATTCTTTGTGATTCTTTAAAAGGTAAAGTATTTTTTCCCATAAAACATAGCAACATGTAAAATCACCCGTAGAATGTCCTGCCATTTTTGTTTTTCTAGTTTCCTCATTTTCTGCAAAGCCTCGCTGAGGAAATTGACTTTGAATATCCTTTTAGACTCTTTTGTTTTAGAAAGCATTGTGGTAAAACATTGAATCATCGTGGTCATAAGTTCCGTTCACATTCTTTCTTTCTTTGAATATTTTTTCCCAGTGGCCAATATTTGATTCTGTTGTATTATGGCTAAAAGGTAGGCATGGGAACAAAATAAAGACAAGAAGTCTTTGGAATAATTGATCCCATCACAATGAATCAATTTGCCATTGGAACATGTTTTTACAAAGTCACTCTTTTGAAAATATTCAGCTATGACTTGAAACAGAGTCTGTATGGTTAATATTTCTCCTGGTCTAAGGTGAACAGCATTTTAGAGAATGAACCCAGGACACAACCACAGCACAAGAAAAAAATATGATAATTAAGTTTACACATATTGTTACTACTGTAACAGAAAACATGTAAAGGACATTTGTTTTGATTTATATATCAGTCTGCACTGTTTAATTTTTTGTGTCATAATTGC